>NC_000015.10:26004146-26307177 GCF_000001405.40 Homo sapiens | reverse complement strand
AGCAAAGAGATTGGCAGCATGTTCTTCTTCACATGGTGGCAGGAGAGAGAAGTGCAGAGTGAAGGAGGGAAAAGCCCTTTATAAAACCATCATATCTCCTGATAATTCACTCACTATCATGAGAACATCATGGGATAACTGCCTCCATGATCTAATCACTTCCCATGAGGTCCCAACACATGGGGATTACAATTTGGATTACAATTCAAGATGAGAGTAGGGTGGGAACACAGAGTCAAACCATATCATTACACCCCTGGCCCCTCCAAAATTTCATCTTTCTCACATTCTAAAACACAACTATGCTTTCTTAACAGTTCCCCAAAGTTTTAACTCATTTCAGTATTAACTCCAAAGTCCAAGTCCTTAGTCTTAACTGAGACAAGGCAAGTCTCTTCTGCCTATGAGCCTGTAAAATCAAAAGCAAGTTAGTTACTTCCTAGATACAACAGGGATACAGGCATTGGGTAAATACATCCCATTGCACATGGAAGAAATTGGCCAAAACAAAGAGGCTACAGGCCCCATGCAAGTCTGAAATCCAATAGGGCAGCCATTAAACCTTAAAGTTCAAAATGACTTCCTGTGACTCCATGTCTCAGATCCAAGTCACGCTGATGCAAGAGATAGGCTCCCATGAACTTGGACAGCTCCGCCCTTGTGGCTTTGCAGGGTATATCCTCCCTCCCAGCTGCTTTCATGAGCTGGTATTGAGTGTCTTTGGCTTTTACAGGCACATGGGGCAAGCTGTCAGTGGATCTACCATTCTGGGATCTGGAGGACCATGGCCCTCTTCTCACAGCTCTACTAGGCATTGCCCCATTGGGGACTCTGTGTGGGGGCTCCGACTCCACATTTCCTTTCCTTTGCCCTAGCAGAGGGTCTTCATGAGGGCTCCACCCCTGCAGCAAACTTCTGCCTAAACATCCAGGCATTTCCATACATCCTCTGACATATGGGCAGAGGTTCCCCAACCTCAATTCTTAACTTCTATGCACCTGCAGGATTAACATTACATGGAAGCTGCCAAGGCTTGGGGCTTGCACCCTCTGAAACCACAGCCCAAGCTGCACTTTGGCCCCTTTTAGTGATGGCTAGAGTGGCTAGAATGCAGGGCACCAAGTCCCTAGGCTGCACACAGCAGGGGGCCCTGGGCCCAGCCTAGGAAACCATTTCTTCCTCCAGTGCCTCCAGGCCTATGAGGAGAGGGGCTGCCACAAAGGTCTCTGACATGCCCCAGAGACATTTTCACCATTGTCCTGGTGTTTAACATTCAGTTCCTTGTTACTTATGCAAATTTCTACAGCAGGCTTAAATTTCTCTCCAGAAGATGGGTTTTTTCTTTTCTATTGCATTGTCAGGATGCAAATTTTCCAAACTTTTATGTGCTGCTTCTTCTTGAATCCCTTGCTGCTTAGAAATTTCTTCTGCCAGATACCCTAAGTCATCTCTCTCAAGTTCAAAGTTTCCTGAGGCCTCCCAGGCATGTGAACTGTGAGTCAATTAAATCTCTTTCCTATATAAATTACCCAGTCTCAGGTATTTCTTCATAGCAGTGTGAGAACATACTAATACAGAGGGCTTCCGAGACTCCTGGCCCATGGCAGTTGAGCCAGGAGCAATGCACTCCTAGTCAGGGAACCCAAATTGTTACCGAAACACCAGGGGTTTGGTCCAGGTCCTGCTGCTCACCACACAGAAAGCCAATCACTGAGATGACCTTTAATTAGGTGCTGCAGCTGAGGAGATGGGAGCTCAGTCTCAAATCCATCTCCCTAACTGACTAAAAGTATGGGTCTATTTAGCAGGGAAGAAACGTTAACAATATACAAGAAAACATAAACTAGGGAGGAACAAGGAGGAATATGGTGTGGTTATCTGATGAGTTTCAGTTCTTTGAGAGGCCTGAAGGTCCTTTCCTGAGGAAAGAACTCTGATAAAACAAATACATGTTTCAGGTTTTAACAGCAGAAGAGTCTATTTCTATGCTTATCCAAAACCAACTGTCTATGGGACTGTTGGGCAAGTTTCGAGAATAGCTATTCTAAGAGTCATCCATGTTGTAACATACCAAGAGTTCATTTTTTATCATTGCTGAGTAATAGTCCATTGTATGAATATATTCCATATTGTTTATCCTTTCATCTGTTCTTAGTTATTTGGGTTGTTTTCAATTTGAGGCTTAAAAACAAAGCTGCTGTGAATAGTTTTGTCTAAGTTTTTGCACAGCCATATTCTTCCATTTCTCCATACCTGAAGTGGAATGTCTGAGAAAGATGGTAGGTATTTAACATTTTAAAACATAAAAAATTTTTTAAAAATTTAAAAATTAAAATTTAATATTTTAAGACATCGTCAAGCTGTTTTCCAAAGAAAATTAAATTAAGGAAGTAATGTATATTTAAAAGTAAACTAAGAGCCCAGAAGTCCTACTTGGACCTTGAACAATGCACTTCCTGTTCACCTAGTGAGCTGGAAGTACATGAGAGGTGTGGTTCCCACATATCCCAATATCTTTACAAAAAGTCGTGGCATAGTGAAGTCTTTTATGTTTTTCTCAACTTTATTGAGGTACGATTGACAAATAAATATTATATATAATTAAGGTATACAACATATTTTGATATATGTATGCCTTGTGAAATGATGACCACAATCAGACTGATTAACACATCTATCACCTCACATAGTTACTGTGTGTGTGAGGGGCTTGAGTAAGGACATTTAAGATCTACTCTCCTAGCAAATGTCAAGTATACTTGTTTTATTATTATTGAGTATAGTCACCATGCCATACATTAAATCTCCAGAATTTATTCATCTTATAAATAAAAAATGGTACCCTTTGATCAACATCTCCTCATTTCCCCCACCCTCACTGAGAACCATTGGTATAAGCATTTTCTGCAGGTACTGCTGAGTGGCCAACATATATGTGTGTGTGTATGTGAATATGCATGTGCGTGTATGTTTCAAGTTAGTATGTTTCAATAATTTATTCTTAAATAAGCATTGTATTTTATGTGTAAGCAAATTTGGGGAACACTCAGCTATGCCACCAGCCCACACACATGGACATAGCTACACACCTTCCTTTTTAAAATAAGTTTGAATGGCTCAGAATCATTTGAGTTTGCTTTGTCTTCAGCTACTGTGTACTATACATTCCTGTTCTGAAAAAGCAGATTTAAAATAAACAATAAGAACACAGTGAATAAATAGAAGATGAAAAAACAGTATTTGAGTTACTTCAATTCTATCATTCTCCTTGACCACTCCAAGTTTGTGTGTCTGAAATTAACAAATTTAACTGAAGTGCAAATTTTAGATCATGTGTGAAATATTTTATAGACTTTGAATAATACATGTAAAACAGAAATGTATTCTTTGTAATTGTTGTTTATTATTAAACTCTAATATTATTTATTACTGTCATACACTGAATAAGATCTTTTTCTTAAGTTCAAAAAATACACTAGTGTAATTAAGATGCATTTAAAACTTATTTGCTTATTTGACATGATTATATATACACAGTTCAGTAATAGGACATTTTCACTGTCAGCATTTCCTTTCTGGCCATTGTTATTAGGTATTTCATTTCATGATTGCAATAGACTAAATATTTGTGTTTCCCCCAAATTCATATGTTGAAATTCTAATCCCAAAGGTGATGGTATTAGGAAGTTGGACCTTTGGGAGTTGCTGTGGTCCCAAGGGTTGAGCCTTCATTAGTGGGATTAGTACTCTTGTAAAAGAGACCCCAGAGAGTGGCCTCACCCCTCCCACCATGTGAGGACACAGCCAGAAGGCACCATCTATGAACCAGGAGGCCCTCACTAGACACTGAATCTGCCGGTGACTTGATATTGGACTTCCATCCTCCAGAACTGTGAGAAGGAAATTTCTGTTACTTATAAGCCCCCAAGTCTATGGTATTTCTGTTATAGCAGCACTAACAGTCTAAGACAATAATTATTCCTGAAAATAATTTTGTCTTAAAGAGCTGGGCATTGTTTAAAAAAAAAAAAAAAAAAAAAAAGGTCCTGCTCAGGTATGCAGCTGGGCAGCCAGCATTCTGTCTAAACACACTAATTCTGAAAATGATGGAAGAGGAGCACCCTTAAAAACACCAAACCTGGGAGAAATCTGACTAATCCCTCCTCCAAACAAGTCATTTAAAAAGGACCCATGATGTCTCAAACATGGCCGGCTCCAGACACAGGACAAGACTCGCCCCACAGTGCCACTGCATAGGCCAGCTGATGTCTAGGGGCTGAGCATGGACAGCACAGGGCACATGATGATGACAGCCACTGCATGGGCTTCCAATGACCCCAACGGTGACACTGTTCCTGAAGAACAATGAGACTAGAGACATGACCCACATGAAGAGAGGGCCTCTATGATCTCTCTGTTCACCCACAAACCTTGCCTGACACTCTGTTGAATACTGAGGGAGTTTCCTCTACATGACATATTAAATAAATGTAGAACTTTCCAGAATCCTGACATCTGTGAGCATTTCCATTCCTACAGGGTGAGTTAATTAGAACCTAATGAACAACTCATGGATTATTCTCCATATGACAGAGGTGAAACAGTTCAAGTGGTCTTTTTGCTAAAATAGACACGATCATGTAAGAAGGCTGAAGCAGAAAAACAAAGTATCAAAAATCAAAACAAAACAGAATGACACTGATGTATATTCTGATGTAGACATTAAAATGTCTACATTGGAGATTTTAGGAAGACTTTGGCTTCAGAAGCCAGTTTCAAATTCGTAAAATACCAACCTAGGTAAGTTTTACATTGACTACCAGATTAAAAAAATGTTTTTTTTTTTTTCTTATTGACTTGACTTCCATTTGGGGGCCAGCTGGTACAGTTTGAGAGGATCATGAAAAATGACCAATAAAGAAGATACTTTGATGCTAGATCTTTCTTAGATAGACACGTCCCTTGCCTCCCCCTAATTTCTTTGATACTCTGTTTTTTTGATACCCCTTAGTGTCATCAGGACAAAGTTATTCTCTCCAGAGTAATGTAATAAATGTTACTAGATGGTATCAATTGTTAGGGTATGCATAGGACATTCAGACAGAGAGATAAGCCCCGCACATATATACAACAACAGACCTCTGTGATAGAGAAACAGGGCCAATGGCAGTCAGAGATGGGCCAAATTGAGCACAAAGGGAACGTTTATCTATGTTCTCTTATAAACGCAAATTTGTACTACCCTTCTGGAGTAGATTTTTCCCAATATTCAGAAGAACCGCATGCACATTCACTCCTACTCCTAGCTTAGCATTCCCAGCTCTGGGAATCTGTCCCAAAGATACACGGCAAGAGTATACATATTTTGCATAAACATAAATCAAAATTAAATTTAAAAAACATTGCCTATGAACTGCAGGCAAAGTGAAATAAATAATGATATTAAACAACAATGCCAACACAACAACAATAGCTAAGCAGTCAATCATGAGGATGCTATGGGATCAGCTCACTATGTTTAAAGCTGGTGAGTAAAAGGGGAAAATGAATCACCTATCCTGCTTTTCCTATACAAACTGTATCTCAAGAAACCAAATAGTTAATCAGGGGAGAAGTCTCATATAACAGAAGTATTCCTGTCAATAAATAAAGAAGGGATGGAGAATGAGAATATCACAATTCTGCAGCCCTTCATGAATTGATGGGCCCATTTACTGGATGCCAGTGGTTGCCGACATCACAAAAAAAGTCGACCAGGCAATAAGCACCTCCACCTAGAAGCCTGACCACCCCTCATGAAGTAGTCTTGACAAAAAAGAAAATAAAATGAAATGTGATTTGACCAACCCTCCAGATATAACTACCTATTTACATAAAACACAGGGAACAGAAAAACACATTAAATGGCTCAAATCAGCAAAATCTAGACTATAGGAAATTCTACGAGGCAGATGAGTTGTTTCTGCAATGAATAAATGGCAAAGAGAAACAGAGGAAGAGAATCTCATTGATCAAAAGACACATCAAACAGTGACTAGATATACGCCCTATTTCAATCTATATTGAAACGAAGTATAAGAAAAATCAGATGCCAAATAGGGATGTTTGAATACTTATTGGATATTTGAAGATAATAAGGAGTTATTATTCATTATTTTTAGGCATGAATATTTACAGGTACAATTTTGTGATCTTGTGACTTGCATCAAAATAATTTGAAGTGGGGGGTGGGAAGAGCACAGACGAAATAAAAATTGCCCATGAGTTGACAACTGGCAGAGTGGGATGATAAGTATATGGGTTCTTTATAACTTTCCCTCCACTTTATGTTTGGAATTTTTCATAATTTTTTTAAATACAGCAAATCAAAATAAAGAAATCCCCCACAAATAATACAAAGATAAGTGACTAATTAATCAAATTATATAAAATACATTAAAACCCATGAGTTAATAATGGTACTTTTAAATTCTTTGGTCACCACTGAGGTTACTAGGGCATGAACTCATATTTCTGAAAATTTATAAATTGTAAGAGAAAAGAAAGGCTTTCCCAAATAAACTATATTTGGTGAGAGAAAATTATTCTTTATAAAAGAATGACAGCTGGTGGGATGTGATGGCTCACACCTGTAATCCCAGAACTTTTGGAGGCCTAGGTGGGTGGATCACTTGAGGTCAGGAGTTTGATACCAGCGTAGCCAACATGGTGAAACCCTGTCTCTAGTAAAATACATCTCCAGTAAAAATACAAAAATTAGTCTGGCTTGGTGGAGCGCACCTGCAATCCCAGCTACCCAGGTGTCTGAGGCAGGAGAATTGCTTGAATCCAGTAGGCAGAGGTTGCAGTGAGCCAAGATCTCACCACTGCACTCCAGCCTGGGCGACAGAGAGATTCTGTCTCAAAAAAACTAAAAAAGACAGCTGATAAAAGTAGGAGGAAAGATCTATACCTATTTTTCAAATGACATCTTCCCACCTCTAGTAGAATAATGAAATGGAGCAGCATGCATGGGAAAAACCACTGGGGGAAGACTGAGCAGAGCTCTACAAAGGGAGAAGCCAGCCCTCGACCCTTGTGCTTCATCTTAGTTTTAGTAACCTGGGACGACCTGGGACACGTGCTTCTATTCTGCTGGGTGGCAACAGGAAGCACCCACATCCCTTATCAAGTATGCTTACCCCAAAGCTGAACTGTCATCTAGTTAAGCCTCAATATCTGCCCATCAGTTTCGGAACATGCAGAGTGCAGGGGAGCATATATAACAAAACAAGGAAAAAGCAGAGAGTTAAATAAAAAATGTAATCGTCTCAGGACCACTGATACAATTTCTTCAACAAATAACATGGCAGAGAAAGGGAGTGGGAAATGTCTGGAAGGAAAGAGACCCAGGAGACCTCTCAATCAACCACACATGCAACGGACCCTGTGTGCATCCTGGTTCAAACAAACCAATTGTCAAAAGGCCTTTCCTGGAAACAATCAGGAAAGTCTGTGCACTGTCTGGATATTAGACAACGATGATAAGGAATTATTGTTACTTTTGTCAATAATGGTGTTGTGCTTATGTTATATAAACAAAAAATTCATTATCCTATAGAGATACCTACTCAAATATTTGCAGGTGAAGTAAAACGGAGTTTGCTGTAAAAGACACCAGTCTTTTGCACAGAAAAAGTGGTGGGAAACGGAGAAAATGGCAAAACTCAATAAATTCGGTGATAGAAGAAATGCAGAGTAGAAGTGGCTGTGGGAGCCACGGGCTGTGTTCCCAGGTGCTGGTCGTTGTTCTTTGTTTTCTGCTTTTACACGTTTGAAAATTTCCATCAAAAAAAGAAAGCTCCTTCCTCGTTACATACATCAGTTACCAACTTGTTACTAGAACAGAATCAATGTTACATATTTTGCTTTTGGAAAACAGACATAAGTCAAATTCTGAAATTATTTCTTCTCTTTTCTTCATCCTTATGGAGCTTAGAGTAACATTTTTATTTCAGTAAACAAGATTTTCAGAATTCCACGAAGCAAAGAATATTGGTTTCATCTGGTAGACAGCAACAAGCCTTACTTATAAGCACATGTTTAAGGGCCATTTAGGAACAGGCTGATATACCGGAAGCTAGCAAGCATAAATGTTGGAGCGATTAATGAAAACAGCCTTCAGGGTCTTTTTATATCTAAAAAAAAGCAAATGAGAAAGAAAAAGAAATCCCTCCCTCCAGGCTTTCAGTGCAGCGATGGAAACCCCTTGTGATGTGATTCATCGTGTGCTCAGATTACTGATTCACAGAAAAGTCCTTACACGAAATCCACCATGTGCCTGCGAACATGTGAATCACCAAATGCTCTCAGCCATCTCGGGTGCAGGCTTGGATCCAGACCTTACTTTGAGCAGGGGCTGTGCTTCCTAAAACTGAAAAAGACGAGCCTGTGTGAACTAAAGACTGACAAATCCCAATTTGCCCAGGACAAGTGTTTTGTAAGATGAAGACACTGATGGGCTAAACGAGGCACCAGTGGCCTCCCCACGGGCCAGAAGCAAAGAAGGAACAATCCTTGTGAGAGGTGACCGCATGCTGGCAGCCCTCGCTTGCTCTCGTTGCCTCCTTGGCCTCAGTGCCCACTCTGGCCGCGCTTGAGGAGCCCTTCAGCCTGCCGCTGCACTATGGGAACCCCGCTCTGGGCTGGCCGAGGTCGGAGCTGGCTTCCTCTGCTTGCAGGGAGGTGTGGAGGGAGAGGCGCGGGTGGGAACCGGGGCCGTGCAAGGCACTGACAGGCCAACACGAGTTCCGGGTGGGCGTGGGCTCGGTGGACCCTGCACTCAGAGCAGACAGCTGGCACCGCCGGCCCCGGGCAGTGAGGGGCTTAGCACCCGGGCCAGCAGCTGCAGAGGGTGCGCCGGGTCCCCCAGCAGTGCTGGCCTGGCGGCACTGCGCTGGAATTCTTGCCTGGCCTCAGCTGCCTCCCCACAGGGCAGGGCTCGGGACCTGCAGCCCGCCATGCCCGAGCCTCCCCTCCACAGTGGGCTGCTGCGCAGCCAAGCCTCCCCGACAAGCGCCGCCCCCTGCTCTGCAGCAGCCGGTACCATAAAACGCCCAAGGGCTGAGGAGTGCCAGCACACAGTGCGGGACCGCCTGCGGCCTGGCTGTGGGATCCACTAGGTGAAGCCAGCTGGGCTCATGAGTCTAGCTGGGACTTGGAGAACCTTTATGTCTAGCTAAGGGATTGTAGATACACCAATCAGCACTCTGTGTCTAGCTCAAGGTTTGTATATGCACCAATCAGCACTCTATGTCTAGCTCACAGTTTGTGAATGCACCAATCAGCACTCTGTATCTGGCTAATCTGGTCGGGACTTGGAGAATATTTATGTCTAGCTAGGGGATTGTAAATACACCAATCAGCACTCTGTGTCTAGCTCAAGGTTTGTAAATACACCAATCAGCACCCTGTGTCTAGCTCAAGGTTTGTAAATGTACCAATCAGCAACCTGTGTCTAGCTAATCTGGTGGGGACTTGGAGAATCTTTATGTCTAGCTAGGGGATTGTAAATACACCAATCAGCACTCTGTGTGTAGCTCAAGGTTTGTAAACATACCAATCAGCACCCTGTGTCTAGCTCAAGGTTTGTAAATGCACCAATCAGTGCTCTGTGGGGACTTGGAGAACTTTTGTGTCTAGCTCAGGGATTGTAAACACACCAATCAGCACCCTGTCAAAACGGACCAATCAGCTCTCTGCAAAACAGACCAATCAGCTCTCTGTAAAATGGACCAATCAGCAGGATGTGGGTGGGGCCAGATAAAGGAATAAAAGCAGGCTGCCTGAGCCACCAGTGGCAACCTGCGTGGGTCCTCTTCCGCATTGTGGAAGATTTGTTCTTTTGCTTTTTGCAATAAATTTGGTGCTGCTCAGTTTTTGGGTCTGTACTGCCTTTATGAGCTGAAACACTCACCACGAAGGTCTGTAGTTTCCCTTTTGAACCTAGTGAGACCATGAACCCACAGGGAGGAATGAACAACTCCAGACAGAAGGAACAGAGGTTGCCTTAAGAGCTATAACACTGTGAAGGTGTGCAGCTTCACGCCTGAAGCTAGCGAGATCATGAACCCACCAGAAAGAAGAAAACTCCAAACATGTCTGAACATCAGAAGGAACAAACTCTGGACACATCACCTCTAAGAACTGTTAACTCTCACTGTGAGGGTCCACGGCTTCATTCTTGAAGTCAATGAGACCAAGAATCCACCAATTCTGGACACACTTGGTTTGGGACTCTCAAGTCAAGGACCTGTCATCCCGGTTGCCGTTGCAAAAATGTGGGGTGCCTGACTCTGATAGCAATAGCGGAGACCAAACATTCAACTTTCGATCTCTGAGCCTCTTTTATTGTTGTTATTATCTGAAACTTACATAAAGTAGCGATGGACTGTTAAAGGTGTATAGTTCTATGAGTTTAGGCCCATGGATAGAGTTATGCAGTCAGCAGCACAGTTAGGATACAGAACAGCTCCACATTCCCAAAACTTCCCCCATGCTACAGCTTTTTCCTAAAACACTCCACTGGCAACCATGGATCTTGCCAAGTCTCTTTCAACTTTTATACTGAGGTTATGTTCCCCAAGATTGGAGGAATGCCACCTGCCTACTTTCAGTGGGCTTTGCTGAATATCCCTTTATCTTTTCTGGACAACTCTTCCTCTGTTTCCATTGCCGAGGATAAAAAGGGTTAATACACACTTTCAGGCCTCATTGTCATCACTGTTAAACTACCCCTGGCCTTTCCTCCAAATGCACTGCTGTCATCAGAGGGCCCGCATCATCTCACCCACAACGGGGTCCAGCTTTATTTTTTCACTAGGGAAGCCAGAAGAGAAACAAGAGCTGAGATGAATGTCTTCAAGTCATGCACAGTTATAACTGCTCAGGAGTGGCCCAGTTCCAAAGACTCAAACAGCAGCAGAAGCAGAAGAATTTGGGAGACAGTGGGAAAACACACACTTCCTCACCCCAGCCCCAGAAACTGGTCACCACTCAAGGACAGTAAAATGACACAAGTGAATGTTATCAAAGGCCACTTTAAAACAAGCAGCAAATTCAACTGGGATTTTGGCTTATCAGACACAGGCTTTAATTGCAAATTCATAAGAGTAGAAAGTGCTGGAAATTATAGAGAGACAGGAGATAAAATGTGTACCTAAGACATGCCAGGAACTTCTTTTTCCTGAACTTTTGTTATTTAAACAGAGTCTTCCAGGAAAGCAGGATTAAGTTCTGCTTTTTAGAGAAGCCAGATCTGAGGCCATGCAAGCTTAGCTAACATGCTGATGAATCCCACTAGGTCTCTTTGACTTCTAGCCTGTAAGGAACCAGGGAGGCCTTGCCAGGGGAATTTCTCTTTAAATGATTGCTTTCTTCCCTTTTGATGTGCCCATGTCTTAGAGTATAGGAAAATGAATTTCACAAATAGGTTTCTCGCAATTTGCTCTTCCTACAGCTGTATCTTGCTGGATAATCAATAATACCAAGGCTTCTGAGATAGATCCTTCTCCAATGCAATGAAGATAGCAGAAGGGATGGGCTCATGATGCAGAAGCAATTGGCACAGAGCCTACAAAACAGAACACACCAAGCTACAGACACATTGCTCCTTGGCAACTGAAATCAGCCTGATCCACTCTGGAGAAACCTGAGCCTCTGCAGTAATTTATCTACTCTACTCGCTTCCCTGTTTTTAATCAGTTCTGCAGAGCTGCTACAAAATGAGCACTGTAGAGCACTCACCTGCACCAAGCCCTGTGGCTGCGCCTGTTGGAAAATCTATTTTTCGCCTTTCAAAAGTAGCAAACAAAAACAACTGATCCAATGTATCAGAACGGAATTGTAATTAAAGGAGGAGGAGGGGGAAATTGACCAAGTTCCTCCTTCCCTGGTGTACTGCAGGACCAACAATAAGCAGGTATTTAAATGCGATTTAAATGCCCTGTAACTAACCTGGATCTTTTGTCCTTCAGTCTTGCTTGGTCTGTTCCTTGTCATTTGCAAAGATGCTGACAGCAGAGCCTCCAGGCAATTTTTCTTATACTTTAGAATCTCAAACCAACAAGCACACATTTCACTGAACTCCCGTAGTCCTATAGCACCTGATACTGGGGGAAATTTTCCTTCTTGAGGCTCATCCCTGCTCAGTGGCAACGGGAGCTTTTATGCTGCTGTGGCTCCCCAGTGCCTAGGAGGGTGCTTGGAAGAAAGCGGGTCATCAATAAAGGATGCTGAGTGTTATTTGCTGGGAGAACTACTTGGAATAAGTGGAGTAAGTGAAAGTGCAGGGATGACAGGGACCCAAAGAAAAACCCAAAGGAGCACAGCAGACAACACACACCTGCCTCCGGGGCAAGTCTCAAGGGGCTGGGAAAGTGTGGGGTCCACAGGGAAGGAGAAAGGTCAGAAGAAAATAGAATACCTGTCTTCGGGCAAGTTTACAATCATAAAGAAGAAATACACATATAACTACCTTTGAATTGGCATTTGTTTTTGACAACTTGCTCTATCAGCACAGGCTTTTGGGGCCAGGTGTTTCTGGGCCTGCCCGTGTTGTTTCAAAACACCCTGAACTCCAGCTGTCTTTCTCAGGACCTGGTCATGGTTATTTGGTGCCACAAAACAACACAGAGGAAGAAGCAACATTGAATGATTTCAGATTGAAACAACCACAGGCCCTTTGTAAAGCTGTCTGGCTGCACATTGAAACCTGCAGCCTTTACCTTGTCCACATGGCTGTCAAGCCCACAGCTCCAAGCACTGTCTCTGGAAGCATCCTTTAAACCTACTGCCTTGCCTGTCGCCTGCTCTTCACACCCTCTCCAGTGTGCTGGCCGCTGCCTGCAGGAGTCAGTAGGAGTCGGGAGAGAATGCCACAGAGGGAGGGATTCACCAGGGTGGAGACAGTGTCTGCAGAGCCCAGGGCACCCCCAGCTGGTGCAGGGAGAGCCAGCAGCCCTCTGGCATGCATGGTTTTGTGCTGCCAGCAGCCTGCTCCTGAGTCTCCTCTGGCCACAGGTCAAAAAGTCTATTTTCCCGTTTCAACAAATGGTCTCAGAGAGATTTGCCCTGTGTTCCAGAGACCCTGTAATGTTGCTGGCTTTTTGTGTTCCCACAGCTGTCTGCTTACCCTTGAGTTATTCTGGGAAGCCAAGTCCTGAGTCTGTGGCAGGACCTTCCCAGGTGGCGACTTCACCCAGCATGGCCATCCTGGGTGAATTGTGCAGTGCTTGATTCAGAGCTCCCCAAGTACCATCTGCCCGGTGCATCTGTTTCCCACCCACATCCCCAGCCACAGCCACTGGACCCTCACTGTCCTGGAAACTTGAGATGTGGTTATAAGAAAGAACTGGGCCTTATTTGGGACCCAAATGGGATTCTGTGTAACATCCCACCCTCCACTCCAGTGGCACCATCCAGGAAGATGCAGCAGAAGTCAGGCTGCCCCCATATCTCAGGGTCTCGTCAACATCCCTCCCTAAGCTCCCCTTGGGACTGCCAGCTGTCATGGGTTCCTGTTACAACACCATTGCCTCCTGTGCCTCAATGGCCCTCTGCAGCACTCTGCATGCCTGATGGTTAGGTTCAGTCCCTCAAAGATAGACTCTGTGTCTCCTCTATGCCAGACAGTCAAAGTCAGCAGAGACACAAAGGTAAATTTAACACGTTCCTTACCCTCCAGGCCACATACTTGATGGGGGCAGGAGAACAGAACATGTAAACCAAATCGCAGAACAATGTATAAAGAAACACACATAGAACAATGTATAAAGAAAACAGGAGCAGTGTGAAGTCGGACAGAGGTCTTGCAAGATGAATAAAACGTTGGTAAGTTGTATGAGTTCTGCCGGGACTTTCTATGTAGAGAGGGAAGGTAGGTATCATGCATTTGGACAAGTACAGAGACAACAGAATTAGCAGAGCATAAAATACTACAGAAGAGCGTGGGCATCGATTGGCAGGAGAGTTGCTTAGAACACAGGCAGGAGACAGACTGGGGTGCTTATTGATAACGGGGTTCTTTGCAGGATTTCAAGCAGAGGAATGACATGATCAGTGTTTTAGTCCATTTAGGCTGCTCTAATATCTCAGACTGGGTGGTTTATAAATGGCAGAACTTATTTCTCACAGTTCTGGAGACTGGCACCCCAAGATAAAGCAACAAGCAGACTGGTGTCTGGTGAGGGTGCATTTCCTGATTTCCTGATTCATAGACAGCACCTTGCTGTGTCCTCACATGCTGGAGAGGGCTGGTGGCCTCCCTGAGGCCCCTGTTATAAAGGCACTAATCCCATTCATGAGGGCTCCACCCTTGTGACCTCATCACCTCCCAATGCCCCCACCTGCTAGTACATTACTTTGGGGGTTAGGATTTCAGTGTTTGAATTTGGTGGGGAGGGGAGGAGGACACAAACACTTGGTCCATACCATCAAGTTTGCTTTTCCTAAAGTTCATTCTGAGAGTTTTGATCTCTCCTGTTGTCAACACTGTATCTCTGTTAGTGTTGCCTACAATCTAATCGTCTTTTTAAAAATCGTTACCATATTCTGATATTTACTCTAAATGACTTATAGTTAATACTGTTTGAGGTAGTGCCGATGTTCGCAGAGGTAGACATTAGATGGTAATCCCACCCAAATAACCCATCTTCATAAGGATTTATTTCTATTCTGTTTACACTGCAGTTGATGGGGATCCATACACTGCTCATTTGACTTCCATACAGGTTTGCCTCTTTGCTTTTTGCAGAGGAAGAGGAAAAGTAAATGAATAATTAATCCTCCCAACACCTCTGTCAGGCAGGTATCAGTATGCATGGGAATTATTTTAAAAACTCTGGATGGAATTCAGCAATGAGTCCTTGTTCCACCTTAATCATTAGCTTCCATAGACAGTGGCTGTTGGGGGTGGTGCATCTGGGGTTTCTGAGGCTGAGTGTGACAGGCCTTGGCATTTGGCTGTGCCTGCTGAGAACAGCAGCAGACAAGATGGGGAAGCTGGTGGCACCTGAATGGCAGTGTCGAAGGAGTGCAGCAGGGCGTGCTGGGCCTGCCCTTCACCCGAGACCCTTTCCTAGGGCCATGAACAGGCCATTCTGCCTGGTCTCTCACTCGCTAGCTGCAATTACACAGTATTTTGCTGAAACCACAGTCATCCCAATTGAAATGACAGATCACCTTTCAATTTTCCCTTTTCCTTACCCCCCAGTGACTGGTTCAGGACAGTTTTCTATGGAAACTGACTCTCAGACCAGTTGCTTCTGAGATGTTTACTCATTTTTGACAGGTACATAAATTCATGCATTCATCCATTGAATGAACAGTCATTAAATTTTCTGGAGCATGCATCAGGCACTAGATGTACACGATGAGTAAGACATGGTGTTTGTGGCCAAGAAATTGTTGAAGAAGAAGCTGGGTGAAGGTGTAAATAGATTCGCACACTGTGACACCTGTCACAGAGATACTTCCAGCGTGCTGTTGGAATCTGGCGATGGGGATATCACCTTTTCCTGGGGCATCAGGAGATTTTTCTGTGGATGGGTGATGTCCAATCAGAGTGTTCCTGCTGAACAGGAAATTATCATGGAAAGAGGAAATAGGGGAGTGGGCACCTGGCCAGAGGACACAGGATGAACAAAAGCCTAGACTAGAGGCATGTGGTCAGTGGTCAGAGTACAAGGAAAGCAGAGGTTAGCAGGACAGGGGTCTGCAAACGGGGACAGGAGGAAGATCCTGAAGGACCAAATGCACACCAAGAAGTAGAAGCTGTATCCTGAGACTAGTGGGAACCTATTAAATGCTTTTAGAGAAACAGCACGGACAGTTTTAGGTTACATATGTGGTGAATTCATTAACATTTCCATGTGTGTATTGTTTGTATTATAACACGCTTCCAAGACACCTCTATGGCTTCCATTCTTCCTTGGACATTTCTTCCATTAAAAAAAATCATAAATATAAAATGGGTGACGGAAACTGAAAGTCAAAATACAAATTATAAAATGGATTTTTTTTCTCCCGTGTCAGATGGTCTTTGCATGGTAAATTACTGTTTTTAAAAAATGTTCATTTTCAATATATATTACAAATCAGATTCTGAAATATGAGGTAATGAATTTCAACGTTTCTAGCTACTATCATGATGGTTTTTAATGAATGAATGCAACTGCAGTATAAGAGATCATTTCCCAGAAGTAAATTTACAATGCCATGGGCACTCCCCGCTCCTCTCACTTTGTAGACCCCTGGACTTGGTTCTTTGGGCAACAGAGCACAGTGTAAAGAGTAGGTGCCTGCAATTAGGTTGGCTGGGGTTGACGTGCTGCTCTGTCCCTCTCTAAATGAAGAACGTGGACAAGTTACCTCTCTCAGCTTCTACTTCTGTAAAATGCAGACAATAGCATCACTGATATTATGAACTTACTGTGAGAAGTAAGTGAGCTAATGAAAGTATTATGGAAACACCAGGGGTTTGGTTTGCTGTAGGTCCTGCTGCTCGCCACGCAGGAAGCCAATGACTGAGATGACAATGAGTATTGCTACAGAAGAAGGTTTCTTTTTTTTTTTCTTTTTTTTTTTTGAGACGAGTCTCGCTCTGTCGTGCAGGCTGGACTGCAGTGGCACAATCTCGGCTCACTGCAAGCCCCACCTGCCGGGTTCACACCATTCTCCTGCCTCAGCCTCCCGAGTAGCTGGGACTAACGGCGCCTGCCACCACACCCAGCTAATTTTTGGTATTTTTAGTAGAGACGGGGTTTCACCGTGTTAGCCAGGATGGTCTCAATCTCCTGACCTTGTGATGCACCCACCTCGGCCTCCCAAAGTGCTGGGATTACAGGCATGAGCCACTGCACCCGGCCCAGAAGAAGGTTTTAATCGGGTGCTGTAGCCAAGGAGATGGGAGCTCAGTTTCATATCCATCTCCTTGACTGACTAAGAATTGGGGAAGAAATGTAACAATGTGTAAGAAAACAGGAACTAGGGAGGGGCAAGGAAGCAATCATGATGAATGAGAGGTCTGGCATCTCACTGTCTGGATGGGGTGAGTTTCAGTTCTTTGATACTTTGAGCTTCAGTTCTTCAATACTTTGAGAGGCCTGAAGGTCATTTTTTGAGGAAGGTACTTAGATAAAACAAATGTAAGTTTCAAGCTTTAAGACCAGAGGGTCAATTTTTATGTTTTTAAGAAAAAAATCTGTCTCTGGGACTAATGGGTCAGTTGCAAAATGATAGGACTTCTGGAATGGAGGTGTGAGGAGCTTGGCGGACTCTCCCCAGTGAAACAATTACAAAAATTTAACTGGTGAAAATTATTTGAAAAAAAAATTAAAAGTCTCTGGAAATTTTCCTCAGTAAATACAGAAAGTAGAGAAATAATCATTCAAACAAATCTGTTAAATCTTGGTAAGAACAGTGAGAGATGGTGGCATTTGAGCCACTCTGTGTTCCTATCCACCCCATGTAATGTGGGTCTTACTCTAGACCCTCTTTTCAGGGTGGGTGCAACCAAGAAGACAAGGGTTTTCCTCTGTCCCCAGCCCCAGATGTTGGGCTAGGCTACAGTTGCATCCCACAAGGGGCAGGCTTCCGGCATCTGTCATCCTTCCGAGCCCCACGCTGTGAAAGTGCTATTCTGGGTAAGTGCAGCCAGAAGAACTGGGGCTCCTTTCCCTCATTCAGCCCCCATTCACAGGGCAAGGACTCTGCTCTAAGTGTAGAGGCTGAGAACACTGGACTCAACTGCTCCCTCTCCAGCTTGCACATAGAGGTTCCAGGCCAGAAAAGAAAAGTCAAGAAACAAGGGGCCACTCTCCCCAGAGCTCACTCATAGAGCACAAGTGCTACTCCAAAAAAATAAGGCAACTGTTTCCAACCCCACATTCAGGATAGGGTTTACCCAAGGTAAGAGTAGGTCATAAGGACGGATACCTTCAAAGTACTGCCTGAAGGGACAGACTTTATTGAAACAGAGCTGGAGAAGTTTATATCTGAATAAATTATGGAAAACAATGGAGACCTTAGTGGCAAGCAATTAAATGAGTTGGTAGCTCCATGATGCTAATAGCAAAAAGCAAAATAGACCTTCCAGAAGTTTAAAAGAGTATCAGAGCAAGAGACAGCCAAAAAGAGTCCTTCAGGGAATCACATTCATCTTTGGAGGTCTGGAAGACTGTGTCCATGTGCTGGATTGCACCACTTATGAGCAATCAGAGCAAGACATGGAACAGACTTGAAAACCTTCCCCAGCCATGCAGAGATCCATCAGTAGAGGGCCTGGAGCTTTGGATCACAGACTGGCTGGACAATAAGCTACTCTGACCTAAGGGAACACCTAGTGAATTATGCGCAAAAGCAAAATACCTCTCATCCTCAGCCGTCTGGAAAACTGTGCAGATGCCCAAGGCTGTGCTCTCTCAGGAATGAACAGAGACTCTGAATCCTTGGACAAACATGGAACAAAAGAGTAAATTCCTTGAACAGTGAAGTAAGTCTCTAAGGCACACATGCCTGCAGTGGTAAAGGTTATGTGGCTAAGGAAACTGAGGTACAACCCTTAACTAATAAGTTGTTTGTGAAGATCCAGAGATGTTTCCTAGAATTCCAGGCTGAAGAAACAGAACAAAAAAGAAAAATCTAAGCAGGGATATCAGAGGCTGCATAATACAGGGGAAATAAATACACAGAATCAGTCCAGTCAAGTCACTAAACAACCCACAAGAAGGGGAGATCAGTATCCACAGTTGCTACATATCTAAAATGTACAGTTTAAACACCAACAAAAGAAACAGAAGAGAGTGGCCCATAGAGAGGAAAAAATATCAGGCAGTGGAAATTACCTGTGAGGAGGTACATTAGTGTAACTTAGCAGACAAAAACTTAAAAGCAGATGTTACAAATATGGTAACAGAACTAAAGAAAACCATGCTTAAGGAATTAAAGAAAGTGTGCTAACAATGACTCATTAAATAGATACTATCAATAAAGAGTTAGAAATTATTTTTTAAAAGAACCAAGAGGAAATGTTGGTGTAAACAAATATAAAAACTTAAATAATATCACTAAAGAGGCTCAACTGTCTAGATTTTAGCCAACAGAAGAAAAAATCAGCAAATTTGAAGATAGATAAATAGAAATTATACAGACTGAAAAACACAATGGCAAAAAAAGAAAAATGATCAGAGCCTCAGAAGAAATATGAAATGACATAATCACACCAACATAAACATAATGGGCAAATCAGAATGAGATGAGAGGGAGAAAAGAGCAGAAAAAAAATATCCAAAGAAACAAGGGCTGAAAACTTCTAAAATTTAAGTAAAAACACCAACCAACATATCAAAGAAGTTAACTCCAAATTAGAGTAAACTTTTGTTTTTCAATGGAAAGGGATCCTTACCCAGAAAACATTTCAAAGTCAAAATGTTGAAGTCAAAGATGAAGTAAAAATCTTGAAAGCAGCAAGTCTCATGTACATGACTTTATGTTCAAGACTTATGTACAAGATTCATGTGTTATGACTTACTGTGTACAGAGAAATTGCAATAAGATTAACAGCTGACTTCTCATCAGACATTGTGGATAATAAAAGACAATGGAATTAAGTATTCAACAAGGTAAAAGGAAAAAAAGGCCTCTTTCAAAAATAAAGGTGATATAAAGACATTTTCAGATAAACAAAAACTAAGAGACTTCATTGCTAGCATATCTTCCTTAAAAGATGTACTAAAGGAAGTTCTTCAGACTGAAACAGAGTGACACCAGAAAATAACTTGAAACCACATGAAACAAAACAGAGTTCTGGTAAAGATAATTTATGTAAGTGATAATAAAATACACTATAATTATATATATTTTTTCTCTCATCTCTTAACTTATTTAAAAGGCACTTGCATAAAACATTATGTATAAATTGGATTGTTTTACTTTTTATGTATAAAAATGAAATACATATTTGAGAATGAGAAGGCAAAAGAGAGGGGTGGGAATGAAGCTATATTACAGTAACTAAGTAACAGCAGAAGGTAACCGGAATCCACAACAAAAAAAAAAAATGAAGCAAATTCAAAATAGTAAATAAAAGACAGACAGATATTTAAACTCTATATATTTCTGCTCTTGTTTCTTCTTTTAGCTTCTTTAAAACATATGATTCTGTAAGGCAATAATGGTAACAATGTAGTGCTGCTGGCTTTGTAATATACACAGATGTACTTTCTAGAATAATAGCACATAAAGGGAGAATAAATGGAGTCTGTAGAAGTATAATTTGTATAAATTATTGTAATAAATTAGCATAAATCTGATTTGGATTCTGAAAATTTATGGTAAACCCTAGAGCAATGCTAAAGAATATAACTTTAAAAAGTACAAAGTTAATTAAAGGAGTTAAAATAATGCATGTGAAAATATCTACTTAAGACAAAACGAGGCAATAAAGAAGGAATAAAGAAACCAAGTAATAATGGGACATAGAGAAGAAAAGGCATCCTGGCCAACATGAATCAATTACATCCATCATAATTAAATATGAATGGATTAAACAATCCTATTGAATGAGATGGTCAAATATAGTAAAACAAACAAGGAGACGCACTTCAGAAATAAAGTTAACATTTGTTGAAAGTGAAAGTATAAAAAAAGATACATCATACAAACAGTAATCACAACAGAATTATACTGTTAAAATAGACTTCAATATAAAAATAATTACGAGAGATAAAGAGAGACACTTTCTAATGATTAAAAGGCCAATATGTCAAGAATACCTAAAAATTATAGACATATTTCACTCAACAATAGAGCCCCATAATAAAAGAAACAAAAAGTAACAGACTTGAAAGAAGAGACAGACAACTCTGCAATAATAGTTAGGGGCTTAAATATCTAAATTTCAGTTATGAATAGAACAACTATTTTGTTTTTTAAAAAAAGAGGTATACAAGACTTGAACAACACTCTAAACCAACAAGTCCTAATCAACATCTACAGAACATTCAACCCAACAACAAAGGTGTACACATTCTTTTCAAGTGCACAAAAGCCATTCTCCAGAATGGACAATGTGCTAGGCCATAAAAATGCCTCACTAGATTGAAAAGGATTGAAATTATACAAAGTATATTATTTAACAGTAATGGAATGAAATTAGAAATCAATAACCAAAGAAAATGTGGGCTATTCAGAAAAAATGTGGAATTTAAACAAAGCCCCCCTAAATAACCAATGGGTCAAGAAAGAAATCACCTAAGGTAAGTTATAAAATACTTTGAGATAAATAAAAATGAGATGATGCCATACAAGAATTTATGGAATGCAACTGAAACAGTTATTAGAGAAAAATTTATAGCTATTTAAACACCTATATCAAGAAGATCTCAGATAAATAATCTAACCAGCCCTCTAGAAAACTATGAAAAAAGAACAAAATAAAGCCAAGCCAGTTGAAGAAAGAAATAAAGATTAGACCTGAAATAAATGAAATAGAAAACAGAAAAATAATAGAGAAAAATAAATTAAACCAAATATGATTATTTGAAAAGATCAACAAAAACGGACCAAGTCTTTTACATGACAGACCATGAAAAAAAAAGAGAGAAGAATCAAATTATTAACTTCGAGGAAAAAGAGAGGACATTACTACTAAACTCACAGCAATAAGAAGGATCACAAGAGTACAAACAGCTACATGCTGTAACAACTGAGAAAACTAAGTAAGATGGGCAAATCCCTAGAGACAAACATTACTGATTTGATAGAAGAAATAGGAAACCTGAATGGAATTTTAGCAAGTAAGAACATTGAATTAGTAATTTTAACACTTCCCACATAGAAAATCCCCAGCAGACACAACTTCATTGGTGAATTCTTCTAAACATTTGAAGAATTAATACGAATCCTTCAGAAATTCTTCCAGAATTTAGGCTCTTCCAGAAAATAGAAGAGAAGGGAATATTACTCAGCTTATTCTATGAGGACAATCTTACTCTTATACCAAAACCAGAGACATCACACAAAAGTAAATCACAGACATGGCTCTTATAAATATGTATCCAAAAATGCTCAGCAAAAAAACTAAATCCAGCAACATATAAATAAGATTATACACCATGGCCACATTGTATTTAGCCCAGGAATTAAGGGTTGGTTTAGCATCCAAAAATAATCAGTGTAATGCACATTAGTGAACACATTACTAAGATATAAGGAAAAAAGTATGTGGTCATTTCAATATATGCAGAAGGAAAAATATGACAAAATCCAACACTGTTTTATGATAAAGACATTTTACACAGTAGGAGTAAAAGGAAGCTTTCTCAACCTGATAAAGGTCATCTACAAAAATTCTAGAGTTAACATTCTACTGAATGGTAAAAGTCTGAATATTTTCTTTCTAAAAGTATGAGAAATGTATTCTCTCATCATTTACATTTATTTACTGGAGGTTATATCTCAGGCAATTAGGCAAAAAAATAAAAAAGAGAAATCCAGTGGGAAAGAAAGAAGTAAAATTATCTCCATTTGCCAATGACATATATAAAATATCATTAAGAATCCACAAAAAACTAATAGAGCTAATAAAGACATTCAACAAGATTGTAGGATACACTATCAGTATACCAACATCACCTACATTTGTATGCACTACCAAGAAACAATTTGAAAATGAAATTAAAAATACAATTTAAATCACACTAAAAGCTCAGACTACAAAAGTAAAACTAAATAAATTGGACTATATCAAACTAAACAGCTTCTGCACAGCAAAGAAAATAATCAACAAAATAAAATGGCCACCTATGGGTTAGGAAAAAAATATTTGCAAATCATATATCTGATAAGGAGTTAATATCCAAAGTTTATAGACAAACCATACAACTCAATAGCAGGAAAACAAATAAACTATCTAAAAATGGGCAAAGGACCTCAATAGACATTTCTAAAAAAAACCAACCAAACAAAAATGGTCAACAGGTATATGAAAAAGTTCTGGACATACACTTATTAATTAGTTCCAGATTGATCTACGCTGGTATAATCAGAGTGAATTTCAGAACTTCGGAAAGAGCTGTGAATAGAGAGTGACTTTCCTGCTGAGTCTCTGGGTAGCTGCGAGGCTGAACAGCAGTATCTACTTTATTACCATATTATTGTCATTCAAAGAAGGCAGAGCTGAATGCTAAAGAAAAACAGTACTAGCAACAGTTTTTGAGCCCTGAATATTGTCATAACTGAAGCTAGAATTATCCCTGGACTTGTTTGCACTAAAATTTCCTTGTTTTGCTTACCCTGGTTTCAGCTGCCATCTTGATCACTTGAACATAATTGATATACCGTCCTTTGTCTTTCATTCCTTCCTCTTCTCCGCCTTTGACAATTTTAAATTAGAACTCTACCTGCCTTTAATCTCTTTAATTTTCTCATTTATTTACTGCTGCCTATTTTCCAAAACACTCTTGAATATTCCTGGCTCAAAAATCATCTATGTCTTCATGACATATGAAACCCCTAGAATCCAGACTTTCCCCAGCTTTTAATATCTCCTAATTGATCTCTCAGTTCCAATGAAATGATTCCATTTATTTTTTTTCCCAAACACATCACAAATATTCCTAACTCTTGTGAGGTAATTTTCTCTTATTGTTCTCAACTTACCTAATTTCCAACTTTTTAAATGATCTAGCTCAAGTTCTGTCTTGTCATATTCTGAGTTCCTTTTTTTGGCATTGTATTATTATTTATCTTTCCATGTACACACGTGTGCATTATCTCCCTGATAAAACTAACTGGCTAGAGGATAGGAGTAAAGACTCAATTCTAATATCCTTGTAACCTAATAATACACAAATGTGACACATGTTTGAATAAATCACTGTTAAATAAAAAAAAGTGCTGGACATCATTAATCATCAGGCAAATGTAAATTAAAATCACTGTGAATTATCACCTCGTACCTGTTAGAATGGCTGTTACAAAAAAAAGCAACAGGCCAGGCGCAGTGGCTCACACCTCTAATCCCAGCACTTTGGGAGGCTGAGGAGGGTGGATCACCTGATGTCAGGAGTTCAAGACCAGCCTGGCCAGCATGGTAAAACCCCGTCTCTACTAAAAATACAAAAAATTAGCCCGGCGTAGTGGTGGATGCCTGTAATTCCAGCTACTCAGGAGGCTGAGGCAGGAGAATCGCTTGAACCTGGGAGGTGGAGGTTGCAGTGAGCCAACATCGCGTCACTGCACTCCAGCCTGGGCAAAGAGCGAAACTCCGTCACCAAAAAAAAAAAAGGCAATGATAACAAATGTGTTGGTGGAATGTAGAGAAAAGGGAACCCAAGTACATTATTGATGGAAATGTAGATTGAGGCAGATTATGGAAAACAGTATGGAGGTTCTTAAAGAAATTAAAAATACAACTAACATATGGCCCAGCAATCCCTCTTCTGGGTATATACCAAAAGGAAATGAAATCATCACCTCGTAAAGGTATCTGCAGCCCCATGCTCATCGAAGCACTATTCACAACAGCCAGGATGTGGAAACAACCTAAGTGTCTGTTGATGGATGAATGGATAAAGAAACTGGTACAGGTTGGCCTGGCGCGCTGGCTCACACCTGTAATCCCAGCATTTAGGGAGGCCGAGGTGGGCAGATCACGGGGTCAGGAGATCGAGACCATCCTGGCTAACACGGTGAAACCCCGTCTCTATTTAAAAAATACAAAAAATTAGCTGGGTGTTATGGCAGGTGCCTGTAGTCCCAGCTAGTTGGGAGGTTGAGGCAGAAGAATGGCGTGAACTCAGGTGGTGGAACTTGCAGTGAGCCTAGATCGTGCCACTGCACTCCACCCTCGGCAACAGAGCGAGACTCTGTCTCAAAAAAAAAAAAAAGAAAAGAAAAAAGAAAAAAGAAACTGGTACAGGTTGAGTATCCCTTATCCAAAATACTTGAGACCAGGGGTGTTTCAGATTTTGGACTTTTTCAGATTTTTGGAATATTTGCATTATAGTTAAAAGCTGAGCATCCCGAATCTGAACATCCAAAAATCTGAAATGCTCCAACTAGCATTTCTTTTCAGTGTCGTGTCAGTGCTCAAAAAGTTTTGGATTTGGGATTATTTTGATTCTCAGATTTTTGAATTTAGGATGCTCCACATGTAGATATATACACAATGAAATATTATTCAGCCTTAAAAAAGGAGATCCTGCCATTTGCCATCATACAGATGAACTTGAAGGACATTATGCTAAGTAAAATAAGGCAGACACAGTAAGACAAATATTGTGGAATACAAAAAATAAGTCAAATATTCAGAGATAGAGAGTAAAACAGTAATACCAGGAGTGGGAGTTGGGGAGAGGAGAGGAAATTAGGACATTTAGGTCAGAGGATACATAGTAGAAATGTAGTATGAACAAGTCTAAGGATCGAATGTACAATATAAAGACTATTGTGAACAAATTGTATGGGATTAAGGAGTTCTGCTAAATGAGAAGATGATAGCTACTCTTGCAAAACAAAAAGGGTAACTATGTGAGATGATGGATATGTTAATTTCCTTCACTACAGCAACCATTTCACTGTCTATATGCATTCCATAATATCATGTTGTATTCCTTAAGTATATATAATTTTTAAAAAATACAATTTCATTCACAACAGCATCAAAAACAGTAAAATACATAAAAGTAAACTTATCAATAAAGCCAGGAGCAATGGCTCATGCCTATAATTCCAGCACTTTGGGAGGCTGAGGCAGGAGAATCTCTTGAGCTCAGGAGTTTGAGACGAGCCTGGAAAACATGGCAAACCCCATTCTACAAAAAAAAACAAAAATTAGCTGGGTATGGTGGCTCACACCTGCAGTCCCAGCTACCTGGGAGGCTGAGATGGGAGGATTGCTTGAGCCTAGGAGGTCAAAGCTGCATGAAGTGAGCTAAGATCATGCCACTGCACTCCAGCCTGAGCAACAGAGTGAGACCCTGTCACAAAAAAGAAAATAAAATTATCAAAAGAAGTCTAAGACTTGCACTCAGAAAATTATGAGATGTTGTTGAAAGAAATTAAAGAAAATCTAAATAAATAGAAAGTAGCCTATGTTTACGGATCATAACACAATATAATGAAGATGCAGTACTCTCCAAATTGATTCAGATTTATCAGGATCTATATCAAAATTCTTCCATGTGTTTTTTTGCAGAAATTGATAAGCTGACTCTAAAATTTATATGAAAATGCAAGAGACCCAGAATAACTAAACAATCTTTTTAAAAAAGTGCAAAGTTGGTGGATTTATAATTTATTATTTGAAGAATTACTATAAAGCTATAGTCATTAAGACAATGTGGTACTGGCAGAAAAACAGACACATAGATAAATGGAATAGAATTGAGTGCTCCAAAATAAACCCCAAAACTTATGGTCAGTTGATTATTGATCAAGGGTCCAAGACGATTCAATAGGAAAAGAACAATCTGTTCAACAAACAGCTTTGGGAAAACTGGATGTCCACATGCAAAAGATAGAAGATATGACCCTAATTATCATCATACACAAAAGTTAACAAAGTGGTGTATATTCTTAAAACATTATCTGAAACCATAAAACTCTTAGAAGAAAACTCAAAAGCATGTCTTCATGATCTTGGGGTAGGCCATGATTTCTTAGATATGACGTCAGAAGCACAAGCAATAAAGAGAAGTTTAATAAGTTGGACTTCATAAAAATTAAACACTTTGTGCTTTAAAGGAAACCATCATGAGGTGAAAAAAGCCAATAGAAGAGGAGAAAGTATTTGCAAGTGATACATACATTTGATGAGTGACATATTCAGAATATATACAAACTCTGACAACTCAATAACAAAAAGAGTAGCTCAATTTAAAAATGAGAAAATAATATGAATACACATTTCTCCAAAGAAGATGTATGAATAACTAATAAGCATGTGAATAGATGCTCAACATCATTAGTAATTAGGGAAAAGCAAATCAGATGACTTAATTGCAAGCCATATGTAGAAGAATAAAATTGGATCCTCATCTCTCATCTTATACAAAAATCAACCCAAGATAAATTAAAGACTTAAATCTAAAACTAGAAACCATAAAAATTCTACAAGACAACATCAGAAAAACTCTTGTAGACATTGGCTTAGGCAAAGAGTTCGTGACCAAGAACCCAGAAGCAAGTGAAACAAAAACAAAGACAAATAGAAGGGACTAAATGAAACTAAAAAACTTCTGCACAGCAAAAGAAATAACCAGCAGAGTAAACAGACAACCCACAGAATAGGAGAAAATATTCGCAATCTATGCATCTGACAAAGGACTAATACCTAGAATCTACAAGGAACTCGAACAAATCAGCAAGAAAAAATCAAATGATCCCATCCAAAAGTGGGCTAAGGCCATGAATAGACAATTCTCAAAAGAAGATAAACAGATGGCCAACGAACATACGAAAAAAATGCTAAACATCACTAATTATCAGGGAAATGCAAATCAAAACCACTTTACTCCTCCAAGAATGGCCATAATTAAGAAATAAAAAAATAATAGATGCTGGCATGAATGTGGTCAAAATGGAACACTTTTACACTGCTGGTGGGAATGTAAACTAGTAAAATCACTATGGAAAACAGTATGGAGACTCTTTAAGGAACTAAAAGTAGAACTACAATTTGATCCAGCAATCCCATGACTGGGTATCTACCCAGAGGAAAGAAGTCATTCTATGAAAAAGACACTTGCACATGCATGTTTATAGTAGCACAATTTGCAACTGCAAAAATATGGAACCAGCGTAAATGCCCATCAACCAATGAGTGGATAAAGAAAATGTGATAGATAGATAGATAGATAGATAGGCAGGCAGACAGATAGACAGATAGATAGATGCAACAAAAACAAAGATAAATAGATGGAACTTAACGAAACTAAAAAGCTTCATTACTCAGCTATAATAAGGAAGGAAATAATGGCATTCACAGCAACCTGGATGGAGTTGGATACCATTATTCTAAGTGAAGTAACTCAGGAATGGAAAACCAAACATTATATGTTCTCACTTATAAGTGGGAGCTAAGCTATGAGAACGCAAAGGCATAACAATTATATAATGGATTCTGGGGATTCGTGGGGAGGGGTGGGAAGTGGAGGAGGGTTAAAAGACTACACATTGGGTCCAGTGTACACTTCTCGGGTGACAGATGCACCAAAATCCCAGAAATCACCATAAAAAACTTATCCATGTAACCAAACAACACCTGTTCCTCAAAAACTATTGACATAAAAAAAATCAAAATCACAGTGAGATGCCACTTCACACTTACTAAGATAAATTAAAAAGACAGGCAATAGCGATTGTTGACAAGGATGTGGAGAAAATGGAAACCTCACACATTGTTGGTGGGACATTAACCTTTGTGGTGACTGTGGAAATAGTTTGACAGCTCCTCCAAAGCTAAACATAGACTCATTATTTGGCCTAGCAATATAGTCAAGAGAATTAAAAACATATGTACACATTAAAACTGGTACCTCAATTTTCATAGCAGTATTATTAATAATAGCCAAAAAGTAGAAACAACCCAAATGTCCATCAACTGAGGAATGGAAAAACAAAATGTGGTATGTCCTTATCATGGAATATTTTTTAGCCATTGAAAAGAATGAAGTACTGATAAATGCTACAATATGGTTGAACTTCAAAACATTATTCTAGGGGTCAGAAGCCGTGCACAAAAGTTCACATATAGTGTGATCCCAGTTACATAAAATGTCCAGAATTTAAAATCTATATAGAGAAAAAGTAACTAGTGGTTTCCAGGGCTGGAGGAAGGGGAGAAGGGGGAATGACTACTAATGGATACAGGGTTTCTTTTTGGAATGATCAAATGTTCTAAAAGTAGTTTATAGTAATGGTTGCACAATTTTTGTAAATATGCTAAAAATATTGAATTGTAGGTCGGGCCTGGTAGCTTACACCTATAATTCCAGTACTTCGGGAGGCCAAAGTGGGTGGATCCCTTGAGGTCAGGAGTTTGAGACTAGCCTGGCCAACATGGTGAAACCCCATCTCCACTAAAAAAAAAAAAAAAAAAAAAATTAGCTGGGTGTGGTGGCACATGCCTGTAATCCAGCTACTTGGGAGGCCGATGCATGAGAAACATTTGAGCCCGGGAGGCAGAGGTTGCAGGGAGCCGAGATCACTCTACTGCACTACAGCCTGGGTGACTGAGCAAGACTCCCTCCAAAAAAAAAAAAAAAAAAAAAATTGAATAGTATACTCTAAATGAATGAACTTTTGTGTATGAAAATTATATCTCAATAAACCTATTTAAAACTGAGTTAACAAAGTGCTTAGATGACCAAGAACTGGCAATTTCTTGAAATGGTAGCTTTAACTACCAGGGCATTATTATAATTCATATCACTATCTGGAAGAAACAAGGTGCTTGTCGTGGAGTTTTTATTTTCTTTTTTCTGAGGCTTTTGCCTGGCAATGCTCCTTCCCTACCACTGTTTTGCAGTCTATACATGCAGGAGGAGCAGCTCTGAGGCACTGACACCCAAGATTACAGACTGATTAAAAGCAGGTGAATTTACAAATCAGTATCACGCAGAGAGAAGGAAGACATGGCATATGCCAGTCTTCCATCTCAAATCCCATCTTACGCAGGGGTGAAGGAGTCCAAGAAGCTCAAGAAGCGGGACTTGAAATACTCAGTTGTCATACTGGAGAATGACATCGGTTCTTCAATGAATGCAAAAACAAGATTTCTTCTAGCATTGGTAAATGGATTGAGACCCAGTTAAAGCTGTTGGCTTATATATAGATGCAACCGAAATTGCATATCTATAAACGTTAAAACTGTTGCCAGCATGATGTTCTATGATGTTCACATCCCATGAGATGAGCCAAGAGAACTGCAGAGTATATAAGTGATAGAGAAAACAAAGTATTAAACAAAGTATTTAAACAAATACAAGATGATTTCTCTGTCAAATAAATGTCCAACCCTGGGTGGGCACTCTATGACAATCATATATTCCATATATATATATCTATATATCTATATATCTATATATATATATATATATATGCCTATATATATAATAGGCCTATATAGGCCATATGCCTATTTTATATATATAGGCATATATATATGGCCTATATAGGCCTATATATAGACATATATATTATATAATTATATTATATATATATAATTTTAGAACTCCTGAGGACTCCTCTCTCTTTCAGATGACAGCATGAGCCCTCCCTCCTCTACCTCTCCTTCCTGCGTCTACTCACACCTTCCAGGACATGCACTTTCCTTTACATTGGCAAGCTTATTCTTTTTTTTTTTTTTTTTTTTTAAGACAGGGTCTCACTCTGTGGCCCAGGCTGGAGTGCAAAGGCGTGATCATGGCTCACTGCAGCCTTGAGCTCTTGGGCTCAAAGGATCCTCCCAACTCCACCTCCTAAAGTGCTGGGATTACAGGTGTGAACCACCACACCTGGCAACAAGTGTCTTTACATAGTCGTTGTGTAAACGCAACCAAAAATTTCTGCTTTGATCTTAAATTGATGGCAAAAATGGGAAACAGAGTTTCCATATTATGATTATATAAATATTGTTCAACATAGAACCATATTCTAAGCTAGAATCATCTATTATTTCTGGGCTACTAGAACAATGTTCTTAGCACCAAAATCAATGGCTTCTCTCATCATACACTTCATAATTTCCTGAAAGCATGGACTCTATCTTTGTCTGTTTACAAGATCCAAAACAAAGAGAGGTAGTCTGAAGTCTGGAGTGGAGACATATGCTGGTACTGTAAACAGGAAGAACCAGTGCATTGATACAGGCAGCTCGGAAGCCCCTGGGCCAGAGCAGCGTGGTGTGAATGAAGATGGTGACGTTAACCCTAGTTCTCAGGGGAAATTTGAAATGCATATAAAATGTCCAGAGCGGAGTGTAGCTTCTGTGAGGACCCAGTTAATATTAATATTTCTAAAGTAGATAATTTCTCAGTTTTACCGATGAGAAACTTAACATTTAGAAAGCGTAGGAAATTGTTTCAGCTAGAAAGGGCCAGAAGTGAAATTTGAATCCGTCAAGACTGATTTCCCAGCTTCAAGTACATTTCTTGTTGCCTCCCACCAGCTCTCAGGTAAACATGAAAACTTCTGGCACAAATTTTACTGCTGGGAATTATTCTCATGAGAACATAAGGACTGGAAAAAGTTACTCTTTCTTTACGCTCTCTCTTTCTTTCTTCCTCCCTTCCTTCCCTCTTTCCTTTTAGTAAATAAATATTGATCTTTTCTAAATAAATATTTTTTAAATAAATATTGATCTTTAAAAAAAATCTTGTGGTGGAATAAATGTTATTGGCTTCATAGTCCAAAGCTGTTGGCCTAATATTTTTAGGAGTTTCAGGAATGGGTCTCAGTAATGCTGATCCATAGTCCCAATCTTTGATACAATTTGCACAGGAACATCAAATACCTGTTAGGAAATGCAAGTGGAAAATATACCTGTATTTTCTGAAGTGAGGCTTCACCATGTGGACATAAGCAAGAAACTGCAGTTAATGGAAAAAGATCCGCATTAGCCGAGCTGCCAGCCAGTAGCTCTGGTGGGTGTCCCAGTGCATCACTGCTGACCAGCGCTTCCCCTGACCAAGCTGCAGTCCTGACAAAATGGGATGATTTGGGTTGCGCTTTCCAAACTCAACACAGCAAGGGCAAGCGATTCTACAGAAAAGATTTATTTATTTATTTATTTTATACAGTCTCGCTTTGCCGCCAGGCTGAAGTGCAGTGATGCTATTTCGGCTCACTGAAACCTCTGCCTCCCGGGTTCAAGCGATTCTCCTGCCTCAACCTCTGAAGCAGCTAGGACTACAGGCGCCTGCCACTATGCCCGGCTAATTTTTGTATTTTTAGTAGAGACGGGGTTTCACCATGTTGGCCAGGATGGACTCGATCTCTTGACCTCATGATCCCCCCGCCTCAGCCTCCCAAAGTGCTGGGATTACAGGCGTGAGCCACCACACCTGGCTGAGAAATGATTTTAAATAAAGAAAAGAGAAGAGAAATAAGCAAACATGCAAAACTTATTATTTTAAAGCAGTTTTTTTAGGTGTGCTCCACAGTCTACACTTTCCTACAGTACAGTACAAATGAATGCTTGTGAGGATAGCTGTCATTCACTCTGGACAGCATAGCCAACACTTTCCCTGGACCTATCTTTAGCGATTTAACCAAGTTCACCACTTACAAGTTCTGTTTCCTACATAGTGGAAATTTCACCAATCTTTCTGTCATGAGGCATAACATGGGTTCCCTTTCCTTCAGTTTCCAATAATGCCCTCTTCACTGCCTTCAGAGCCCTCCCAGCAGAGTTCTTGAAGCCCAGATTTCTAACAGCAGTCTTTGCAAAGCAAAGATTCCTACCATCAGTCTTTGATTCAGTGAATGAAGGGATCTGGGAGTGTGAGGCTCTGGAGGAGGCTGGCATGGTGGGGACTGATGCTGGGGAACCCGAAGACACTGTAGAAATGGAGGAGGTTGTCTCAGTTACTGAAGATAGGCGACTTACAGAACGAAAAAGTCTCACAGAAGTGAAAGAACACAAATGAAGGAAGGGAGCATTTGTTAAAGAAACTTTATTCACTAGAGTAGCAAAAGATGATGGTGTAAGAGACTGAGAAGCCGTGTCAGCCTCTCATTTGCTCAGTGACTACTTTCTACTGCAGGTCTAGGAAACACCAACATACATCATCAGACAGAACCCATACCAAGTTTCTAGAGTAAGGTATGGAGAAAATGAAAATCAAAAACTTCTCTGGAGATGAGACAAACAAATGTAAACGCAACAGCAAAAACAAGCCATGAGACAAAAGAAATTGATAATGACACACTTCAAAATGAGTTAAATATCATTTAAAAATTAATTAGAGCTATAAAAAAGCATCTCAAATCAAAATTCAAAAAATTTAACATAGAAATGGACAAATAATAGAAACACTTAAGTAGGAACTGACCCAACTGAGGGAAACACAAGTGAAGAAAAGGCAAAATGGTTGTGGAAGTGAATAAATAGGAAGTGGGCAAAGGAGTACAGGTAAGAATCAAGAGACTGGGTACAGAGGATGGAAATGAAAATGAAACTGAAGAAGGGGGTCAAATGATAACAGGAGGAAGGGGAAGCTATGGAAGACTGGCAACTATGATCCACCATATTGCTAATTGGAAGCCCTACAGTAAAAACGAAACAATAAAATAGCACTAATCCTTAAAATTATAACTCAACAAAGTTTTTTAATAGGAGAAAAAGCAAAACATGACATCAAAAAGCGTCATTGTACTTGTGAAATTTGTCCAAGAAAAGCAAATTCAGAATTCTGTCAAAGTAAAAATCATACCAATAAAAAATAGAAAAAAAGGGGGAAGGAGAAAGAGATAGTATGATAAAAACATTGATTGCACATAAATGTTAAGCAGGAGACAGAGGGCATAATTTAGAGATGACAGTGGCAAAAGCCTGAGTAATAAAATAGGTGATGAGACATAAATAGAAAACTAATGTAAATATAACATCTGAAACAAAAATATAAATCATTTTATACACAGAAATAAATATTAAAACAGAACAAATGGAACTTCAAGACCAGCCTGGCCAACATGGTGAAATCTTGTCTCTACTAAAAATACAAAAATTAGCTGGGCATGGTGGTGTGCACCTGTAACCCCAGCTACTCGGGAGGCTGAGGCAGGAGAATTACTTGAACCCAGGAGGCAGAGGTTGCAGTGAGCCGAGATCACTCCACTGCACTCCAGCCTGGGTGACAGAGCAAGACTCCGTCTTAAAAACTAAAACAAACAAACAACAAAAAAAAAATGGAAAAAGGAAAGCGAAAAGACAACATAATAAAACACACAGTAAATATAGCATAATACATAATAAAAGATAAAAATAATATGTCCATATTAATATATCATTTGATTAATACATGTAAATGGATCTATCTCACATAATTCAGTAAACAACAAAAAACTTTTTCATATTATTTCACAAAGCAAAGCAAACTTCCATGTTGTATATAAAAGATGTGCTTAGAAGAAAGGAATTATAAGTTATAAAAATAAAAGGATAGGCCTAAAGGTATAGCAGGCAGAAGGCAGAGGCTATAACACAGATATATAAAACAATACAAAATTCGTATTTTATCATATTATATAATAATAAAAGCTATCAAAAATTTGAAGAGAAAAATATAGAAGTCAAATAATTAGATATTTTTTCACACTGTTGTTACTCTAAGACTAACCAAATGAATTAAAAAATATAAACCAGGCCGGGCGCGGTGGCTCACGCCTGTAATTCCAGCACTTTGGGAGGCCGAGGTGGGTGGATCACAAGGTCAGGAGATCGAGACCATCCTGGCTAACATGGTGAAACCCCGTATCTCCTAAAAATACAAGAAATTATCTGGGTGTGGTGGCACGCGCCTGTAGTCCCAGCTACTTGGGAGGCTGAGGCAGGAGAATTGCTTGAACCCGGGAGGCAGAGGTTGCAGTGAGCCGAGATCGTGCCACTGCACTCCAGCCTGGGCGACAGAACGAGACTCAGCCTCAAAAAAACACATACATATACATATATATATAATATTAATATATATAATATATATTAATATATATATTATATATACCTAAATATGTTTAAATAGGACACCAAACTACATGATTAATGTTGTAAATATTATGAATATAAACTTTCACTGAAAAAATAGCAAATACAAACATTCCTTTCAAATAAACATGGAGTATTCATAAAAACTAACCAAGGATATGAAGAAAATCTCTTAAAGTAGAAATAATGAAAAAAATTCTTATCACACTGCAATGACAAGTAAAAATGAATATTAAAAATTCTGTCTTGATAGTTTAAAATCTTATGTCAAAGAATTGGTTATAAAATATAAACACAGGAATCTATGGGATACCTTTAATATAGTGATAAGTAAAAAAAATGTAGCCTCAAATACTAACTAGAAAAAAAATTGGTGCATTGAACTTCTAACTAAAAAATGGGAAAAAAAGTAAACTAGAAGAAAGAAGGAACAGAAAATAATGAATTACATAACAGAAAAAGAGAATTGTGAAATCCATTTTTAAAAGAGACTTTTAAAGATCAACAAAATACTCATTTCTATATATCCCACAGTAGACAGAAAGAGAAAAGCAAAATACCAAAACTGAGATATAACTACAAGGAAATACACATTAAAACATAAGAAATTTAAAAAATTATGAGACTATTTTTGCTCAGTACTAGTCAATATGAAAAGGAATTTTATAGCTTTCTTTTCTAAAGGAATACTTTCCTAAAACTATTGTTTTCTAAAGCAATACTTTCCTAAAAATAAATTATCAAAATTGAATTTTTTTACATAATGATTTTAATTTGCTACTTTACATTTTCCTCTCATTTTTGTAGAAATATTAGAATTATCAAAGTTCAATTTTGAATAATTTCAATAATTGAACTTTGACAATAATTGAAATTTCAATAAATTGACAACACAATTTTGATGGACTGAATTTACCAAGATAGAGATTTTGCTATTTTTTTAAAGTCCTGCTGAGTCAAAAGGCGGTGCCTGGAAAGTTATAAATGTCCCAACATAAATTATAATTTATCAAAACTAAACCCAATTAGAAAGCTGGGTTTTTTTGTTTTGTGTTTTTTTTTTTTTTGTGAGACAGAGTTTCGCTCTTGTTGCCCAGGCTGGAGCGCAATGGTGCAATCTCAGCTTACTGCAACCTCTGCCTCCTGGGTTCAAGCAATTTTCCTGCCTCAGCCTCCCAAGTAGCTGGGATTACAGCATGCGCCACCACATCCGGCTAACTTTTGTATATTTAGTAGAGATGGGGTTTCATCATGTTGGCCAGGCTGGTCTCGAACTCCTGACCTCAGGCGATCTGCCCGCCTCGGCCTCCCAATGTACTGGGATTACAGGTGTGGGCCACTGCACCCAGCCCAGATAGGAAGTTTAATAGGCTAATTTTCATTGAGGAAACAGAGTAAGCATCCAAAAAGCTGCATGCTCCCCTGCACTGGGAAAGAAAAGGAAAAGGAAAAGGAAAACAAAAGGAAAAGAAAAGAAAAGAAAGGTTCCAAGTCAGGATGATGAATCAAAGGAATTCTATCGAATCTTTAACAATAAGATCTTAAGGTGTTTTAATTATTTGTGATCACAGAAAAGGAAAACTACATTGATCTATAACATGAATTCCAATCCTGTCAAATATTGAACCACAAGAAAAATACAGTCTAATCTCACTTATAATGCAAATGTAAACATTTTATATAAAATATTAACAAGAAAAATCCCACAGCACATTTTTAAAAGTATGCATTATGAAGAAGGAATTCTAGAAATATATAGAATTCCAGAATTTTAGGATGGTTCAATATGAGAAAATGTATTAATGCATTTCACCATATTAATAGATCTAAGAATAGAACTCATAATCAGATACTGCCATAGATATTAAAATGTTATTCTAAAATATTTGCTACTCAGTCACAATTTTAAAAAATGCTTAGTATTTTACCATGGTAATAGATCATATTCAGATACTTCTATAGATAGTAAAATGGTATTAGAAACAATTTGACACTTAGCCCTACTTTTTTAAAAAAGCTTAATAGGTCATCCAAAATTGGGCAGAATCCCTATGCAATCCTGAAACACAAAGTGGAACACATGGCAAGACGTCATATATTCTGGAGCAAATGATTCAGGAGCATACGCTTGTCAACTCTCCCTTAAGTTAATATAAAACTTTAATGTGATTCCAATAAAAATAACATTTTTTCCTCTGGCCCAGACTAATTGATTTTAACTTTTATGTAGAAAATTAAGCAATCAAGAATAGCAAGGACAACTGTGAAAAGGAATAATGATGAATAAGGTTAGTTCTACCAGATATTAAGACATATTATAAAGTGCTATAATTAAATCATATTAATAATGCATTAAAAGACACACAGGCCAGTAGAAATAAAGTCCAGAAATAATCCATAGCACATTTGGAATTTGGGGCTGACTAAATATGTGTATTATTTATCTATTCTGTATAACAAATTGTGACAAACTTAGCAGATTAAAACAACACTCAAACCTGCAGCCCTGTGGTTCAGAAGCCTAAGGCATGATTTAGCTGGGCTCTCTGCCTCGTCTCAGTAGGATAGAAGCCATGTGTCATCCGGGCCGTGGCCTTCTCAGGGAGTTAACTGGGGAAAAACCAACTAACTCCTGGCTCCTTCAGGTTGTTGACCAAATTCATTTCCTTGGGTCTGCAGGACTGCAGGTTTCAGTTCCTACCTGAAGGCTGCCCTCAGCTCTCGGATACCACCTGCAGTTCCTTCTCATGTGGGCCTCTCAAACATGGCAGCTTGTTTCTTCAAAGCCAGCAATGGAGAGACTGATTAGAGCATGAGATACTGCCAGCCATATGGACTCGTACAATGTAACAGAAGCACGAGAATGGCACCCCACCACCGCTGCCATATAATGTCATGTAATGCAATCACATGAATGACATCCTATCACTCTTGCCGTGTTCTATTGCTTAGAAGCAAAGTCCTGTCCACACTCCAGGGAGGGATATATGAATTTGTGAATACCAGAAAGTGAGGATCGCCTTTCGGCATCTCAAATCATCTCAAATCACAGAGAAGAATAAATAGTTAATAAAGGGTGTTGGAAAAAAATGGATAGCCCTGTGGAAAACAAAACCTGTGCATCTCTATTGAACATAGTGCACCAACATAACATCCAAATGGATTAGAAATACAAGTGCAGAATGAAATCATTCTAGTACTAGAAGAAAATACGGATGCGTGTCTCAGTAATTTGGGAACGGAAAAGCCTTTTAAATATAACTCAAAGATTGGTAATTTCACTATATTTTAAAATGTTGCAAAAAAAGAAACATAAGCAAAGTCAAAAGACAAATAAGATTAGAGAAAATATTTACAATTCATACCATAGACAAAAGGATTATTTTTCTTAAAGTATAAAGAACTCTTAAACTTTTGGTATTAAGACCAAAAAATTAATAACACAATCTGTGCGCAAAGCACAGAAACAGACACAAAACATGTAATCACACAAAAATACTTATGGTAATTTACTTGTACTCATAGTAAAAAGAAAGGCATGTTAAAACTATGCTGAGAGACCCATTCATCACCCACCAGGTTGGCACAAATCTAAAACTTAAGAACCCACTCTCTGCTGGCAAGGCTAAGGAGAATCATGCATTAAACAGGAGGGAATTTGGCAATATTCTACAAAATTGCACATGCATTTACCTCTTTACCCAGCTACTTCACTTTTGGGAATCTCACTTCAAGATTCACATCAACAAATACAAAACAACATATTTCCATAGTTATTCACTAGGGCATTAAGATAAAAATAACGCGAAGTGGCTGGGTGTGGTGGCTCACGCCTATAATCTCAGCACTTCAGGAGGCCAAGGAGGGTGGATTACGAAGTCAAGAGATCGAGACCAGCCTGGCCAACATGGTGAAACCCCGTCTCTACTAAAAATATGAAAATTAGCTGGGCGTGGTGGCGCGCATGTAGTCCCAGCTACTGGGGAGGCTGAGGCAGGAGAATCGCTTGAACCCAGGGGGTGGAGGTTGTGGTGAGCCAAGATTGCACCACTGCACTCTAGCCTGGCTACAGAGCAAGACTCTGTCTCAAATAAATAAATAATCCTAAGTCCAATAACAGAGTTAAATAAACTATGCTAACAAACTGGCTAAATAAACTTTAAAATAAATTTTTTAAAAAATTTCTGGCACAGATTTTAAGTAACCTTCAGATTATACTACGTACAAAAAGCAAGGGCAGAATAGTGTGCATATAATGTACTTCCTTTAGGGTTCAGAAAAAGGCCATTTTTGCAGAAATTACCCATTGTGTAATAGTTTTGGTTTATATTCAAGTAAGGCTCTGTGAAGCAGAGGTTTTCTTTTTTGTTGTTGTTGTTAGATATAATTTTTATTTGACATGTGAACTAGACAAAGTTACTTCCCCTTGACACATTATTTTGTTTTTTTTTTTTATTATTATACTTTAAGTTCTAGGGTACATGTGCACAACGTGCAGGTTTGTTACATATGTATACACGTGCCATGTTGGTGTGCTGCACCCATTAACTCATCATTTACATTAGCTATATCTCCTAATGCTATCCTTCCCCCCTCCCCCCACCCCATGACAGGCCCCGGTGTGTGATGTTCCCCTTCCTGTGTCCAAGTGTTCTCATTGTTCAATTCCCACCTATGAGTGAGAACATGTGGTGTTTGGTTTTTTGCCCTTGCGATAGTTTGCTGAGAATGACGGTTTCCAGATTCATCCATGTCCCTATGAAGGACATGAACTCATCCTTTTTTATGGCTGCATAGTATTCCATGGTGTATATGTGCCACATTTTCTTAATCCAGTCTATCACTGATGGACATTTGGGTTGGTTCCAAGTCTTTGCTATTGTGAATAGTGCTGCAATAAACATACGTGTGCATGTGTCTTTATAGCAGCATGATTTATAATCCTTTGGGTATATACCCAGTAATGGGATGGCTGGGTCAAATGGTATTTCTAGTTCTAGATCCTTGAGGAATCGCCACACTGTCTTCCACAATGGTTGAACTAGTTTACAGTCCCAACAACAGTGTAAAAGTGTTCCTATTTCTCCACATCCTCTCCAGCACCTGTTGTTTCCTGACTTTTTAATGATCGCCATTCTAACTGGTGTGAGATGGTATCTCATTGTGGTTTTGATTTGCATTTCTCGAAGCAGAGGTTTTCTTATTTGTTTTTGGTTGGTTTGGTTTTGTCCCCAGGGCCCAGGGTACACTGAATTGTTGAGGTAGACATAAACAAGCTGTTACCTATCTGTCTCTTTCTCCTCTTTCACAAGTTTTACACCGACTTTTTAGGGCTCATTCTCTGATTGTCTTTTATAACAGAATTGTACTCCATATCTGATGATTCGGGCTCCAAGTATCCCAACTTAGTTACTTCTGGGTCTGCAACTCCTGGACACTGGTTGAAGGACCTCCTGTTTTCCTTGGGTTGCTTGGTAACAACAGTGAATGATCAGTGTTTTTGAAGTGAATTATGTATTACTGCTCTAATCAACACCTAAAAGAATGCCTAAACCTTCCAGGCACTCTGGAGAAATAGTCAATACTTTCTACTTATCCTTTGGAAGGAATTCCTCCTCTTGTCCTTGAATATTTATAATGATGGTTAGTATTTTATTACATATTCTACATGTAATAGTGAATATATCACAGCATTCAGAGAAATGTTGTTTCAATTTACCTCCAGCCTTGAAGGGTTTTGCTTTGTTTTGTTATTTTATTTTAGTTTTTGAGATGGAGTCTCACTCTGTCGCCCAGGCTGGAGTACAATGGCATGATCTTGGCTCACTGCAACCTCTGCCTCCCATGTTCAAGAAATTCTCCTGCCTCAGCCTCCCAAGTAGCTGGGACTACAGGCATGTGCCACCACATCCAGCTAATTTTTGTATTTTTTAGTAGAGACAGGGTTTCACCAAGTTGGCCAGGCTGGTCTCGAACTCCTGACCTCAAGTGATCCACCTGCCTCGGCCTCCCAAAGTGCTGGAATTACAGGCGTGAGCCACCACGCTAGGCCTGAAGGTTTTTTTTTCTCTACTTTTGCAAGAGATTAGATACAATTCAAAAGTAATGCAGCAGAAATTCGATAACTCGTTTGGGCCAAAACATTGCTTTATTTGTGGGTCTGCACCTTTATGGAAATTGTTGTAATGTAAAAAAGTATTCAACCCACCCATCTGTTGCTACCAAGTCAATTTTCATAACTGTGTACTAAAGGGTATTTATTGTCTTTGTGTATTTAATTTTCTTTATTATATTTGTACTTATTTTTCTTTATTACATTTTCTTCTGAACTATATATTTCCTTTATCTATGATGATCTGTTTAGTTTTATAATTATAATTTTATAATTGCCTAGGTGATTTGTAAGCATGTTCAAGGATGCAGAGATCTTCTTTCCCTAAGGTCAACTGCAAAGAAAGGAAACCAGGCAATAATAATAACAACAGAGGAAGGTATGAGAAGAATCAGTGAAGTAATTAGAAAACAAATTTGCTTATTATTGCAAAAAAAGAATTATTGCTAAGATACATGAGATCAATAACAATGGTTACAAAAGGGATTGAGATGGAAGCAAGATTTCTTTTTCTTGTGGTTGTGAGGTTGACAACTTATTTTCAAATGAGTCAAAACAAACATTGAGATGGATAGGTAGATGAGAGGTGACTGGCAGATAGGCAATAGATTCATAGAGTATAGATAACAGATAGATGGAGATAGATGTTTACTAAACAAACAGAAGAGTGATAGATGGTGGCTATATAAAGCCAGTGTGGCAACATTCATAACAGTGAGGTAACACTTGACATGAGAAAAAGGCAAAACATCAGATGAAATAGACTATCTTAAACCTCGTATCATAAATTTCTAAACCATAAACGTTTCTTCAGAGAGACTTCAAGTTTATGTGGTGTGTATAAAGTATTTCTAACACACTCTTTTCTTAAAAAAAAACAACAACAACAAAAAAAACACTGTAAATAACAGAAAGAATAACAACCAGCATAGAAACCATGACTTCATGTTCAATGAGCGGAGACAAATATTAGGTGAGAAAGGCTAAATTCCTAAGAGGGTGAAGGAGGAAGTCTTCAAAGTAGTGGTCACACAGAGGCTGGGGTCTACAGCGACTGTGCAAATCCCCCAGCGGGTAAGGGAGGAGGAAGGTGGCTGGCTGGTGGTACAATGCAGGGATGCAGTGCGGATGTGAAAGGTATGGTGTGTTTGGGGCTACGATCAGACATGGAGGGCTGTAAGTCATGATGGGTTAAGGTTGTACATTTTCTGTCAGTGATGAAAAACTGCTGTGTATTAGATGGTAAGGGCATGACTGCACTTATCTCTGGAGAGAGCTCACTGGCTGCAGGAGAAAGCTGAGTTAGAAGATGTTGAAAGAGGCCATCCACATGGTGTCCATCCACACGGTGGTCAACATGCAGGGCTCTGGGGGCCCTGACTCAGTGATGGTTTGGCCTCAGAGTCAGGCCTTGAGGACAGAAGCGGCTTGTCTTGCCAGCCACCAAATTCCCCATGCCCAGCACTCTGCCCGGCATGAATTTCCAAAATCTCTTGTTTCGGTGACTGGAATGACCGGAGTGCCCTTTTCCAAAGCAGGAAATAGATGAGAAAGTGCCCTGAGGTAGAAAATACAGAAGTGAGATTGATTTAGGGGTGAAAAACAGAGTCAGGTCTCGGAGAAAAGGCTCGTCATGCTTGGTAACGCTGGTGAGAACCTGGAATTGTTTGTTAGTGTTGTTGTGTGTGTGTTTTGGTCACGTAAATGTCTATAATCAGAATGTCTACACTGATATTGTGTCTTTTAAGATAAATAGTTCATACCCCCAATGGTAATGGTACCCAAAAGTTAATGCCCAATGGGGGTATTAACTTTTAATTTTGTACTGAACCTAATTGCTGTGCTTCAGAAGATCAAGGAGGAAAAGAAGAATCACTAGATCAGTGGTTCTCCATGTGAGCTGCTCCTTTGAATTATCTGAGGCTCTTCACAAATAATAATGGTGCCCAGCACACACCTCCAGGCCCCGGTTATAGCAGAATGTCTGGGGTTGGGGGGATCCTGGAGTCAAGCTCCCCAGGTGATTACAATTGCAACCAAGAGAATGAGCCTTTGTACAACAGTAAAAACAGGGGCTATTCAAAAGTAGAAACATTTTTTTAACTTTCATTAATGTAATCATTTCATTAATTCTTCTAGTAAAATATAGAGCCTTAATTTGGAGGCATTCCTGATAATTTAAAAATTATTGTTCTTCATACATTTATGTTAACTCAAAAATTAAATGAAATCCATTGCTTGAGTTTGACTCCTACGAGCCACATTGGGAAATGACTGAGTTGGAGTAAAAGCAATGAACCTTGGTTGAACTGAAGGGAGTCCACCTGTCTCTAGTAATCAACTGTATATAATATGAATAGGTGCTGCTACTAAGTTCTCTAAATACTTAGTGTTTTTTACAAATTCTCTAAGTACTTTTTGCTAGACCTCAGATTCACTGTCTGAAAAATAAGGTAGCTGGACATTAAGATTTCTAGATGAAATCTAGAAATAGATTTTATTTTATTTCTTTGTCATCTCTTAATTTTAAAGAAAACGTGTAATATATTTTTCATTCATTCTATTCATATTTGAATTTCTGAGTAAAGCTGCCATATATATGTATAACAAAAATAGTCATATTGAAATATTCATTTCAAAAGCTATCCTTAATTTAAGGCCTAGTGCCATTTTGATACCATTTTATACATCATTCTTAGAAAATACATTTCTGTATGACCTACATATGTATCTATATTGATATATTCATTATATTTTACATATGCACACACATACACACACACATATATATGTGCTTATCCAAGCATTGGATGTGCTTATCTTTGACAAAATCAATAATTCCTATTTGTTTACATGTCAAGCTTGGGGAATTATGAAGCACTGGAGCTTATACTTGGAACTCAACTTGTGTAGAACTAAGTTCTGCATATTCAGCTTTCTAAAGCCCTCATTTGGCACCTCCACCTCCTTTCAGGTCTCCACCCCCTTTCTAATGTTGTAACTTGTGCATTGATCTCCATCTGTCTTCATCTGAGAGACCTGCAGATATACGAGGGCTAGAGGAAAGGAGTCATCAATATCAGCTGTGGGTCAACATCTCCATCATCAACTTAAAACTGATTGGATGAATACATCAGGATAAGGCAGCGAGTTCTAGACACACCACAGACAGAAAAAGGTTGACCCAAGTCTTCTTGTATGAAGGGTTCTGCTCCTAAGTGTAAACCATGCCCTGGAGGACGTCAGGGCCAGCTGGTACCATCCACCTCTCCCTCCCACCAGACACTGCCCCTCCATCCTGCTGTGGGAGTCTGCAGAGGGACTCCCAAAGTGACAGTGCTTCAGCAGCCTCAAGCAGCAGGACCCTGAATTACAGCTTAGAGAAGACAGCCTTAGGGAGAACACTTCGGGCCCCATCAACGACGCCCTTGGGGAATCTGTGGGTGATTCCTCCACAGGCCCTGACCCGAAGGCTTCTGTGCTGACTTCCTTTCCTATACACATACGTCAACTTTCAACCTATTCCACACCCACTGCTTTTAAGAATAGACAACTAATGGAAGGTGAATTCCCATTGCAATCCATACGTGTATTGAATTTTCATGATTCAAATACACACTTTATCTTTGCAATTTCTCTTATTTCTCTACAATAATGTCATTAGTCCTAAAAACTACTAATGATACAATGCCTATAAATGAACTTAAAATTCAGAGTATAATTATGACTAGAAAGCAAACAATATAGAACACGATTGCAAGAATATTTCCAGCCCAGTGTAAGAGTTATTTTGATGTGCTGTTTCATTTTATTACATTAGCTATTTCCCTACTATCGAGCCTTTGTCTTTTCCCAACAATTGATGCTGAACCTTAATCCCACTGAAGTAAATGGAATAGTGTCCCCGCAAGTTCATGTTTTCCCAGAACCTCAAAATGTGACTTTATTGGAATAGAGCCTTGCAGATGTAATTATTTAAGATGTATTTATCTCAAGATGAAATCATCTTGGATTTAGAGTACATTCTAAATCCTGTGGTGTCTTTGTAAAAGGATACGGAGGTTTGAGAGACACACAGAGAAGGCTGTGTGAACACAGTAACAGAGACAGAGGTAAGAATGCCACGTCGACAGCCAGGGGTGTCCAAGGACTGCCAGCAGCCAGCGGATGCCAGCAAAGAGGCATGGAACTGATTGTCCTGCAGAGCCTCCAGAAGGAGCCAACCCTGACACCACCTTGATTTTGGACTTACGACCTCCTGAACTGTGAGAGAATAAATATGTGTTGTTTGAAGCCATCCAGTTGGTTATAATGTGTACAGCAGCCACAGGAAATTATGCACTTACCTTTCGGAATCAGTGTCATCAGACAGGCAGGGTGCTGGCATGCGGGTCCTGTCTGCCTTGCTGCACTGACTGCTAGGTGCCCCTCCCGCCACCCTTTGAGTGGCACGCTGACACTCAAAAATTCCCAGAGATGCCCTTTGAGATCGTCAAAGTTCAGATACTGGAAAGAGACAGACAGTTCTACAAGTGGCTGTAAACTGTTCATTCTTGTCTAGGACTTCCACTCTCCATAACCATCCTTCCGCTCCTCTGCTTAGCTGTGGGTCATGCTGAACCTAGAGGAGCTAGCACCAGCCCCAGAGTTCTCAGATTCCCCAGAGCCTGACTGATGTTTTCATCTCTGCACAGGCCCACTGTGTCTGCACCTCCCTCCTCGTGTGACATCTCACACCACCGTCCCCGCCAGCTCGGCATTCCTCTCATAGCCTGGATCTGTTATACTCATGGGTCATAGCAAAGCTCTCTTCTCAGATCTCCAAATTTGGCTCTGGACACATGAAGGCCAGGATTTTGCCATTATGGCCTCTGAAAAGGGTGATTGAAACTAAAAATTGAGCAATGGATTTTTTGTTTCTATAGGTGGTATCTGCCCTCTCTTAGAAGTGATAAATGCTGTTGATATGGTGGGTGGGAGGCTGCAGGGTGACCTGCTTTACTGTAAATTGAAAATACACTAGCTAATCATTTTTCAAGACATTATCTAACTACACAGCCTTCCATCATTCACTGATTCTGTTTTCAAGTAACTACTGTGTACCAGACCCTAGAGGTGATGGGAGCATTCTTGACTTCAGGAACCTCATGGTAAACAAATGTCATGAGCATGGCAATAGTGATTACAATGCACGGTAACAAGGTCTTCACAGGTATATGCACTGGCTCTGCTACAAGCTTTTTGGGGAGCAAAAGTCCTCCAGCTTTCTGCAGCCCCGCTGCCAGCCTGTCCCCATCACTTTTATAGCGCGAGCTTTTATAACCAGGGGTAGTATATAACAATTTAACCAGGGACATGAGCACGAGTATCCACAAAGCGATGACCAGTCAGCGTGGAAACGGCCGTAAACAACCCATGCTCGCCCTGCCCCACCCTGGCTGTTTTCTCACTTGGACTATTTGGAGACCTCTTTAGCAGTCATTGCAGGGCGGGGGTGGGGGTGCTGGTCATTACTCCCTGAAACCCCTCTTTCTCCGTAGGAGGTGAAGGACAGCGATGCTCTGCCCAACACAAGGCCTGTTGCGCTTCGTGACCTCCAGGGGGAGCCCAAGGCTCTTCCCCAGAGAAGAACTGCACTTGAAGACAGCTCTGGTGTTCAGGAGGAGGGGGTCCTCCTGGCCTTCTTATGGGAAGTTGCGTGTTTCAGGGAAGACAAATAGAGGCTCTCTCTGTGCCCACCACGTTTGGCAGCCAAGGAGGCCCCTTCTCTTTGGACCATTTCCCTTCCTGCAGCAGTTGGTCTCTGAGGCCACTGCCCTTGCTGCCCGTGGTGGAACGCATGCTCTCAGGCAGCTTTTCTGGACCTCACTTCTGCTGCTCCTGGGAAGTGCCCTCTCATAGGGTTGCCAGATAAAATATGGGATGCCCAATTGAATCTGAATTCAAGATAAGTAGCAATAACGCTTTGGTATCAGTGGGTCCCAGATGTTGCATGGGCGATACCACCTCTGGGTGCCTACACAGTGGGGCTGGGCCCCCCCATTGACTTCGCCCAACACTTGGGATCCTGCCTGGCGCTGGGAGCCAGAGCTTGTCTAGATGCACTGTCTATCATGACCAAGTCAGTACTAGGATGTTTCTGGACCCCAGCTTGGTCCTGGTGAAGCTCCATGATGACAACCTGCCTTCTGCTAACCACTCTGCTCACTTTGCAATCTCTAATCCGTTTTGTGGATCCAGTCTCAAGCCACGCCACTGGGCCTGAGGGAAAGAGTGGAGTGGTGGTCTCAAGATGAACACACAACAGACCCGAGACTTAGTTCCATCTTGTGAAAGCCTGTTCTAGAGGGGTTGAGAAATAGAGTTGTCGTGGTTGTTTTTAATGCCTGGAATGCATCAGGTTTAATTTAAAGATCAAAAATACAGTTATATTTTACATTCTTAAATCCTGAAGAAAAATGTGCTCTACCCAATTGCTTTCAGCTATGACTGCAAGTGGTGACATTCTGCTGGTGGCATTCAGAGTTCTATCTTTGAATGCCATGGTAATCACTTGCTTCCCTTCAAGTCTGTCGTGTCTGGCATGAAATTTAAGAATTTAAAATACCAGATCAGCAGGCTCACACCCAACAGACATGGCACATCTAAATATGCAGTTAATGACTACCCAAGGGGGCTATTTCAATGTAAAAAGTGAGGCAAGTAGTGACTGACAGTAAGACAAAAACAAAAACAAATTAAAAATCTAAACTAGATAAACTAGAAATAAGTACTTTAACAGAATGGTACTAGTGTTCAAGGTTATAGATCAGAAATTTGATCACCATTGTTCTACTCTTTGCTTCTAGGATATCAACTTTAAGAATTTTTTTTTTTTTAGATTCTACATATAAGTGAGATCCTGCAGTATTTGTCTTTCTGTGACTGGGAAGGGGGATGGGGAGGACAGAGAGAGGTTGACAAATGGATACAAAGTTACAGTTAGGAGGAAGAAGTTCTGGTATCTTATTGCATAGTTGGATGAGAATGATTAACAGTAAGATACCATAGATTACAAAATAGCTGAAGAGAGACTTTTGAATGTTCCCACCACCAAGAAATGACAAATGCAGGCCGGGCGCCGTGGCTCACGCCTGTAATCCCAGCACTTTGGGAGGCCAAGGTGGGTGGATCACGAGGTCAGGAGATCGAGACCATCCTGGCTAACACGGTGAAACCTCGTCTCTACTAAAAACACAAAAATTAGCTGGGTGTGGTGGCACATGCCTGTAATCCCAGCTACTCAGCAGGCTGAGGCAGGAGAATCGTTTGAACCAGGGAGTCAGAGGTTTCAGTGAGCTGAGATCACGCCACAGCACTCCAGCCTGGTGACGGAGTGAGACTCTGTCTCAAAAAAAAAAAAAAAAAAAAAAAAAGGACAAATGCATGAAGCGATGGACATGCTAAATACTCTGATTTAATCCTTATACAACGTATATATGTATTGGAACATCAAATTAGAGCCCATAAATATGTACAATAACAATGTATCAATTAAACAATTAATCAATTAATTAAGAAACAAATTTGAGATTCCCCTACTTATGATGTGCACAGGTTGGATAAATTCAGCTCTCTCTGGCTTGCTCAGGGAAGATGCCCAACCAGATCAAGAATCTTCAGGCAGCCCTCAGCTCCAAGGATGTGAAGCATCGGGCAAGCTCTGGGAGAAGGAGTTCTGCTGCCTTGATTGTTTTGCACCATCCCCAGTATGCACATGGCACAGAGTAGATGCTCAATTAGTGTTTGTTGAATTAATCCATTGACTTAAATTTAAAAGTGGAAGGCTGGGCATGGTGGCTCACGCCTGTACTCCCAGCACTTTGTGAGGCCGAGATGGGCGGATCATGAGGTCAGGAGATCGAGACCATCCTGGCTAACATGGTGAAACCCCATCTCTACTAAAAATACCAAAAATTAGCCAGGCGTGGTGGTGGGCGCCTGTAGTCCCAGCTACTCAGGAGGCTGAGGCAGGAGAATGGCATGAACCCAGGAGGCGGAGCTTGCAGTGAGCCGAGATCATACCACTGCACTCCAGCCTGGGTGACAGAGTGAGACTCCATCTCAAAAAAAAAAAAAAAGTGGAAGATTATACACACAAACACACACACACACATATATATATGGAAAAATCTTCCCCCCAGTGTTGATTACAAAATCAACTCTAATAAATAGGTGAATTTGGCATCTCTCCTTTCTGCAACTTCCTTCTATCCATTGACTTCATGCATATTGAGTAAAATATAATAATATGCCTCTAATGTAGACATGGCCAGAAATCCGTTCTGGAAAATTGCTGGTACTTTCAACATTTTGCACAATCATTATGAGCTTGAGAATCAGGGTACACCTGCATTCTAACGATGTTCCAACCCTCACTCATAGCTAAATGTACAAATATTAAGTCATTCTCTAATTTGGAAAGAGCAAAGTCTCATATTTAGCAGGTCTATTTCTGATACTGCACACATAGAGTAGTTTCAGGTATAGCCAGTGATTAAATAGAATCTGGGAAGTAATTTAGCAATGCTGCAGGAAAGTGGCAGATGAAAAATAATGTGAGCAAGAGCAAAATAACACATCTAGAAAAAGAAAAAGAAGCTTAAGCTATTTTCGTAAGATTCTGAGCTTTATGAACTTTCAGCTAGGATCCAAGAAATGGACCTATCATTCACTATAAACCATTTACTGAAGACATTATTTAAATGTGTTGCTGCTGCTACCAGAAAGGTCAGCCAAAATGTTCTAATTCAATAGGAAGGACTGGAAACAATCCAGAAAGGATTACTTCCCTATGTGCAAAATCATGGCATGTCTTACACCCCAGTTGTGCCGTTGCCTGAAGTTCTAGTTGCTGGAGAACAAGAATGTTCTAGCAGGACCAGAATCAGCTCGAATAAAGGAAGCTGAAATAATTTTTATGATGGAGACACTTGTTAGAGGACAGAAACAATCTCTTTTACATTGTGTGATAAATAATAATAAGAGGTTGGCCAGGTGCAGCGGCTCATGCTTGCAATCTCAACATATTGGGAGGCTCGGGTGGGAGGATAGCTTGAGGCCAGGAGTTTGAGAATAGCCTGGGCAACATAGTGAGACTTCTTCTCTACAAAAAAAAAAAAAAAAAAAAAATTAGCCAGGCTGCTAGCCTGTGCCTGTGGTCTTAGCTACTCAGGAGGCTGAGGCAGAAAGACTGCTTGAGCCAAGGAATTGGAGGCTGCAGTGAGCTATGATCATGCCACTGAATTCCACCCTGGGCAACTGAGCGAGATGCTGTCTTTAAAAAAAAAAAAGAAAGAAAGAAAGGAAAAAAGAAGAAATAAAACTGAAATTTAGAAAAGTAAAAATTGGACCTCAACCATGCCTTTGGAGTTCCATGTACATGTTTAGGAGAGATGAATAATGATATTAATTTACAAAACAAAAGAAAAATTATCTTATTAACTTAAGTAGTGGTAAAGTTGGAAAATCTAAAGTTCTAAAAGACTTGAGAGAAATACACCTCTTATAATTTGAGTTTATTGAAAACAAATACTATTTGGAAAGATATTTTGAATGAAACAACATTCCTGCAAAATGCTTCACCCCGGAGGCAATAAGCAAACCCAGTGCCCAGACACTGGTTCCTTACACCATACTTCAATACACGGAATCAGGGTGCCATGAAGAAATGGCTGATTCTAGGGTTGGGGCAGGGAATATACAATATGAGCCTAGAGCATCTTATAGTATCAGAAAGCAAACAAGTGCTCAAAAATCAAACGATGGGCTTATGAAGGGGACACAAGAGCCAACTGAAAGAGCTCCCAATGGCCAAAGCTGGAACAATTTGAGAAATAAAATAAGTAACATTGTACTGGATTATAACCTGGAGCATAAAATAAATATCCATGAGTGCATACTGGTATAAATACATGATTGCATACACAAATAAGTAGGGGAGAATAGGCAATTCTCCATGTAAAAGAATTCCAAATAATTTTATGTAGCTATTATTTCCTCCAAGAGGTGAAGCATAGCTCCACAGCCTTAAGTGTGGGCTTCTTTCCAAAGTGATTTCCAAAATAATTTCCTTCCAAAGAGCACAGCATAGGAAGAGGGAAAACAAAGTAATTTTACAGTGGAGAAATCTGATGTCTACTGCTTCAGCCAGATGATCAAAGTGAGCATCCGCAGTGATGTTGATTGTATGCACCTCTGATATGATATAATTAATATGGCACTTTCCCTCCATGGTCTTCTTCCCAAGAACCCATAAACTCAATGGGAAAAATACCTGACAAACTCAAACTAAGGAAAATTCTACAAAATAGCCAATACATCTCAAAACTGTCAAGCCCATCAAAAGCAAGACACTGTAGCCAAGAGGAGCCTGAGAAAACGACTAAATGCAATGTAGGATCCTGGATGGAATCCTGGAACAGAAAAAGATGTTAAGGAGAAACTAAAGAAATCTGAATAATGTATGGACTCAAATTAATTACAAAATGATTTATAGTGCCATGATAAGACCCAGATTTCTGGAGTGGGCATTATTGCAATTACTTTTAAAATGGGAGAAAATATGGCTGGGGGCAGTGGCTCATGCCTTGTAATCCCAGCACTTTGGGAGGCTGATGCAGGTAGATCACCTGAGGTCAGGATTTCGAGACCAGCCTGGCCAATATGGCAAAACCCTTCGTCTACTAAAAATACAAAAATTATGGGGGCATGATGGCGGTTGCCTATAATCCCAGCACTACGGAGGCTGAGGCATGAGAACTGCTTGAACCCGGGAGGCAGAGGTTGCAGTGAGCCAAGAGTGCACCATTGCCGTCAAGCATGGGCAACAAGAGTGCAACTCCATCTCAAAAAATAAAATAAATAAAATAAAATAAAGTAAGAGAAAATATGAAAATAAATATATAAGAAGAGGCAGGCTGAGGCAGGGGGAGCCCATAATCAACTGATGCACTTGAAAATACAGATCCTCTGTGTCCTGAAATTCCTTTTGGAGGTAAAATTAGAGAAATTGTTTGCTCTCAACATAGCAAATGAATCAGCATTTTGGACACACAGTATCAAGCAACCAGGAATATTTTTTATTTTTTTAGCTAGTAATCACATTTCATAAGAAGGCGAAGCATAGACATGAGCCCAGGGTAAATGCTGTGTTTATAAGCATGGCCTTATGTTAAACTATGCTTCTCAATGGGTAACTTTGAAGCCAGGAGGCTGTGCCCTTCCCTGGCCATTAGAGAGCATGGTTTTGTGAAAGTGCCTGTAGACATGGTTCCCAGACCCCTCCCATTCACACTGCAGAGTTGAAGAGGATATTTTTTTGAATGGATAAAATAAGAGCTGCTTCCTTTATTTTAAGGAGCGATAGCTAGTCCCTCCAACACAATACTTTGTTCACTTATTACAGTCAGTCGACAGTGTGCACTGAGTATCATCTCTGTGCCTGGCACTGTGTTTATACTTGGGGACATAAAGATGCATAAAGTGGGGAAGGATTCTGGGAAGATGGTGGAGCAGGAAGAACTGACTCTGTCTCCCACTGAGACAACTGCACTGACAGAATGTGTCTTATGTAACTATTTTGGAACTCTGGAGTCTACTGAAGACTCGCACCTTCCACATAAATGTGTTTAATTTTGGCCAATTTCAGCTTTTAGTACGGTAGCTACCCAAGCCCCCTACCATCCCCGTGGCAGTTGGCTGTATTGTGTTCCTGGAACAATGGCACATAGTGGTGGGAGCCAGGGTGAGCAAAATGTACCCTGTCCTCTAAATATCAGTAAATCTACGCTCTGGTTGCTGATTGCTGCCTCTCATCACAGAGGTGCAAAGAGGTGTGTGGCTGCTATTGTTGCACCTCCTTCAATCCATGCAAGCCCCTCCTCTTTCACAGCCATTGTTGCAGTCCCCTCCTCCTATGGCCAAAGTGACTGCCAAGAGAATTAAAGGGATTGCATACTTCCCTCTCCCCTTTAAAGGGCCCGTACTAATCCCCACCCCAGCACCCCCACCCTGCCTTTTTAGGAGCCAGACATTAAATGCTAGGTAATTCAAAAGCAATTGCATATATGGGGAAAGTAAGAAAGTGGCCATACATGCCCAAAGAAAGGCACAGGCTCAAAAAAGATCTAAGAAGACCTTAAGTTTACACCTCAGGCTGTTCTTTGGCACAAAGACTACAATGATCAAAAACAGTTTGAGGCTGTTTATGAAAACACCTGACCAACATGGTGAAACCCTGACTCTACTAAATACTAAAAATTAGCTGGGTGGGTGGTGCATGCCTGTAATCCCAGTTCTTTGGGAGGCTGAGGCAGGCGGATCATGAGGTCAGGAGATCGAGACCATCCTGGCTAACACGGTGAAACCCTGTCTCTACTAAAAATACAAAAAAATTAGCAGGGCGTGGTGGTGGGCACCTGTAGTCCCAGCTATTTGGGAGGCTGAGGCAGAAGAATGGCCTGAACCTGGGAGGTGGAGCTTGTAGTGAGCCAAGATCGCGCCACTGCACTCCAGCCTGGGCGACAGAGCGAGACTCTGTCTCAAAAAAAAAAAAAAAAAAAATTATGTGGTGCCAGGCACAGTGGCTCATGCCTGTAATCCCAGCACTTCGGGAGTCTGAGGTGGGGGTATCACTTGAGGTCAGGAGTTTGAGACCAACCTGGCCAACATGGTGAAATCCCCTCTCTATTAAAGATATAAAAAATTAGCCAGGCATGGCTAATTTAATGTAATCCCAGCTACTCAGGAGGCTGAGGCAGAAGAATCGCTTGAATCCGGGGGGTGGAGGTTGCAGTGAGCGGAGATTGCATCAGTGCCCTCCAGCCTGGGCCTGGTCAACAGAGTGAGACCCCGTCTCCAAAAAAAAAAAAAAAAAAACCTAATGGCAGATGTACTAGATAAAGACTTTAAAACAACTTAAAGATCCTTAAAAAACTAAAGGAAGATGTGTAGGAAGTAAAGAAAATGATGTATGAACAAAATAGAAATATCTGTATGGAGACAGAAATTCTAAAAAGAAACCCAAAAGAAATGCTGGCACTGAAAAGTACAAGAAATGCAGTGAAAAATTTACTAAAAGAATTCAAAGCCAGATTTGAGTAGGCAAAAGAAGGAATTAGTGAATTTGAAGATAGGACATTGGAAATTATTGAGTCTGAGAAGCAGAACAAAAAAGATCGCAAAAAAGTAAACGAATCTTCAGGGAGCTGCAGGACACTATCAAGCAGACCAACATATACATTGTGGGAGTTCCTGAAGGAGAAGAAACAGAGAAAGACGAGAGGGAAACTTGAAGAAATAATGGAATAATAATTTTTCCAAATTTGATGAAAGACAAAAGTATAAATATCCAGGAAGCTCAATAAAAACCAAATAAGATGAACTCAAAGAGTCCCACATTGAGAGACATTATAATCAAAATTTCAAAAGCCAAAGTAACAGAAAAAATTTTGAGAGCAGCAAGAAAGAAGTGACTTATCATATGCTGGGGATCTTGAATAAAACTATCAGCAGATTTCTCACCAGAAACTTGGAGGCAGTGGGCTGATACATGAAGGGCTAAAAGGAAGAAAGAAAAAAAAAAAACCTGTCAACCAAGAATTCTATATCTAGCAAAACTATCATTTAAAAGTGAGGGAGAAATTAAGATGTTCTCAGATAAACAAAAGCTAACAAAGTTAATTACCACTAAACCCACCCCATAAGAAATGCTCAAGGGAGGCATGCAGGGTAAAATGAAAGAATACTAGATAGTAACTCAAATACATATGAAGAAATAAAGATTTAAATAAAAATACATAGGCTATTATAAAATCAAGTATTGTTACAACAATGGTTTGTAACTCTACGTTTTTGTGTTCTACAGGATTTAAGAGACTATTCTTTTTAAAAATATTAGTGTAAAAGCACATATTATTGTAATTGGTTCATAACTCAAGATTTTATGTTTTACATAATTTAAGAAACTAATGCATTTTTTAAATTATCAGTTTGTGATTTGGGGCACACAATGTATACAGATATAATTTTGAGACATCAACAATTGAAAAGGGTAGGGATAGAAATGTTAAGAAGCTATTAAAGAGATTTTATATGTTAATGAAGTTAAGCTGATAGAAATTCAAATTAGAGTGTTATAACTTTAGGATGTGAAATGTAATCCCCATGGTAACCACAAAGAAAATAGCTATAGATTATATACAAAGAGAAATGAGAGACTTAAATGTTCCACTACAAAAAAAAAAAAATCAACTGAACACAAAAGAAGATAGTAATACAAGAAATCAGGGGCAAAAAAGCTATTAGTCATAAAGAAAACAAATAGCAAAATGAAAAAAGTAAGTCCCTCCTTATCAGTAATTAATTTAAATGTAAGTGGATTAAATCCTCTAATTGAAAGACAGAGATTGGCAGAATGGATATTTTTAAATCCATATTTAAAAAATATGGATTTTTAAAATCCATATTTAAACTATATGCTATCTACAAAAGACACATTTTAGATCCAAAGACACAAATAGATTGAAATGGAAAGGATGCAAAAAGATATTCTATTCAAATAGTAACCAAGGAAGAGCAGAAGTGGCTATATTAATATCAGGCAAAATAGATTTTCAATTAAAAAGGATGACAAGAGAGATTATATATTAATAGAAAGGGACATTATATATTAATAAAAGTTTTAATACTATAAGACTATATAAATATTACAAACATTAACACACCTAATAAAAGGCTGTCAAAAATACGAAGCAAAAAACTGACAGAATTGAAGGGAGAAATCGTTCTACAATAATACTTGGAAAGGGCTGGGGGCTGTGGCTTATGCCTGTAATCCCAGCACTTTGGGAGACTGAGGTGGGGGGATCACAAGGTCAGGAGATTGAGACCATCCTGGCCAACATGGTGAAACCCCATCTCTACTAAAAATACAAAAATTAGCTGGGTGTGGTGGCACATGACTGTAATCCCAGATACTCAGGAGGCTGAGGCAAGAGAATTGCTTGAACCCAGGAGGTGGTGGCTGCAGTGAGCCGAGATCACGCCACTGCACTCCAGCCTGGCAACAGAGTGAGACTTTGTCTCAAAAAATAATAATAATAAATAATAATAATAGTTGGAGACTGCAATACCCCACTCTCAATAATGGCTGGAATAATCAGACAGACAATAAGCAAGGAAATAGAGGACCTAAACAACACAATCAACAAACTAGATCTAACAGACACGTAAAGAACACTCTACCCAGCAACAATAGCACACACAATTATTATTATTATTATTTGAGGTGGAGTCTCACTCTGTCACCCAGCTGGAGTGCGGCGGTGCAATCTTGGCTCACCGCAACCTCTGCCTCCCAGGTTCAAGTGATTCTCCTGCCTCAGCCTCCCAAGTAGCTAGGATTATAGGTGTGTGCCACCACATCTGGTTTTTTTTTTTTTTTGTACTTTTAGTAGAGATGGGGTTTCACCATGTTAGCCAGGATGGTCTCGATCTCCTGACCTTGTGATCCACCTGCCTCAGCCTCCCAAAGTGCTGGGATTAAAGGCATGAGCCACAGCACCTAGCCCGCACACAAATTTTTAATTGCACACAAGATATTTTCCAGGATAGGACATGTTTTAGGCCACAAATTAACTCTCAACAGATTTAAGAGGCTAGGTGTTATATAGAGTATCTTCTGTGACCACAATGGGATGAAGTTAGACCAACAGCAAAAGTAAAATGAGAAGATTCACAAATTTGTGGAAATTACACAACACACTCTTAAACAACCAATGAATCAAAGAAGAAATCACAAGGGAAATTTGAAAATAATTAGAGATGAATAAAAATAAAAACACGGTGGGGCACAGGGGCTCATCCCTGTAATCCCAGAACTTTGGGAGGCCGAGGCTCGTGGATCACGTCAAGAGATTGAGACCATCCCGGCCAACGTGGTGAAACCCTGTCTCTACTAAAAATACAAAAATTAGCTGGGTGTGGTGGCACACGCCTATAGTCCCAGCTACTCGGGAGGCTGAGGCTGAGGAGAATTGCTTGAACCCGGGAGGCAGAGGTTGCAGTGAGCCAAGATCACACCACTGCACTCCAGGCTGGCCAAAGAGCAAGACTCCATATCAAAAAAAAAAAAAAAAAAAAGAAGGAAGGAAAGAAAAAGAAAAACACAATGTACCAAAATTTCAGGGAAACAGTGAAAGCAGTACTAAGAGCAAAATCTACGGCCATGAACACTTACATTCAAAATAAGAAAGATCTCAAATCAACTACCTAACTTTACAACACAAGGAACTAGAAAAAGAACAAACTAAACCCACAGCTAGCAGATGGACGACAACAATAAAAATGAGAGCAAAATGAGGTAGATAAAAAAAAAAGAATAGAGAAACAATAGAGTTAAACAACAGTTGTTTCTTTGATAAGTTCAACAAAATTGACAAATCTTTAGCTAGATGGACTAAAACAAAAAAAAGAGAATACTCAAATTACTAAAGTCATGAATGAAAGTGAGGACATTACTACTGATTCTACAGAAATAAAAAAAAAGTTTGTAAGAGAATACTATGAACAGTTGTATGTCAAAAAATTGGGTAAGCTAGATAAAATGGGCAAATTCCGAGAAACAGAAAACCTACGAAGATTAAATCACAATTGAAGAGAAAATCTGAATAGACCTATAGCTGGTAAAAAGATTGCTTATTAATCAGAACTCTCCTGACAAAGAAAATCCTCGGACCTGACAGCTTCACTGATGAATTCTATCATTTTTTTTTTTTTTTTCTGAGACGGATTCTCGCTCTGTCTCCCAGGCCGGAGTGCAGTGGTGCGATCTCCGCTCACTGCAAGCTCTGCCTCCCAGGTTCACGCCATTCTCCTGCTTCAGCCTCCGGAGTAGCTGGGACTGCAGTCGCCTGCCACAGCCGGCTAATTATTTGCATTTTTAGTAGAGACGGGGTTTCACCGTGTTAGCCAGGATGGTCTCCATCTCCTGATCTCGGGATCTGCCTACCTCAGCTTCCCAAAGTGCTGGGATTATAGGCATGAGCCACCGCGCCCGGCCGAATTCTATCATAATTTAAAGAACAAACACCAATCCTTCTCAAATTTTTCTAAACAGATGAAAAAGAGGGAATACTTCCTAACTTATTCTATCAGGCCAGGTTACCGTGATAACAAAGCCAGACAAAGACACTGCAAAAGAAAACCACAGACCAATATCCCTTATGCAGAAAACCCATGACAAAATATGAGCAAACCAAATTCAACAGCACATTAAAAAGTCAATTTACCATTATCAAGTGGGATTTATTACTGGAATCCAAAGATAATTCAACATACCAAAATTGAACAAGAAAGAAAATACAACACATTAAAAGAAAGAAGAAAAAAAATCATTATCTCAATCAATGCGGAAAAACCGTTTGACAAAATTCAACATCATTTTATGAGAAAAACATTCAGCAAACTAGAAGTAGAACAAAACTACCTCAACATAATAAAAGCCACATGTGAAAAACCCATAGTGAACATCATACTCAATAGTGAAAGACTGAAACTTTTCCTCTAAGATTGAGAATAAGATAATCATGTCTGCCTTCATGATTTCTATTTAACATAGTACTAGAAGTTCTAGCTAGAGCAATTAGGTGGAATAAATAAATAAAATCCAGATTAGAAAAAAATAAGTTAAAGTGTCTTTGTTCACAGACGATATATTCTTACATGCAGAAAATCCTAAGGATTGAAAAAAAAAAACTGCTGGAACTAATGAATGAATTTGGCAAATTATCAGAATAGAAAGTCAAAATACAAAAATCAGTTGCATTTATATATATCTATAATAAACAACCCAAAAAGAATATTATGGAAACATTTCCATTTATAACAGCATTAAAAAGAAAATATACACTCAGGAATTAAATTAACCAAGGAAATCAAAGATTTGTTCAGCGAAAACTATGGAACATTATGGAAAAAAGTTAAGGAAGACATAGATAAATAGAAACATATTCCATGGTCATGGATGGGAAAACAATATTGTTAAGATGTCAATACTACCCAAAATGATCTACAGATGAAATACAATTTCTATTAAAATGCCAAAGACATTTTTTACAGAAAAATTTTAAAAACCATCTTAAAATTCATATGGAATTTCAAAGGACCCAAAATAGCCAAAACAATTTTGAAAAAGAACAAAGCTGGAGGACTCACACTTTCTGATTTCAAAACTTACTACAAAGCTACTTAAAATGGTGTGGAACTGGGATAAAAATAGACATATAGGTTAATGGAATAGAACACAAAGCCCAGAAGTAAACCCTCACATGTATGATCAAATGATATTTGACAAGTGCGTAGACTATTCAATGGAGAAAGCGCAGTCTTTGCAACAAATGATACTGGGAATACTGGATGTTCACCTGTAAAGGAATGAAGGTGGACCCCTACCTAACACTATGTACAAAAATAAACTTAAAATGGATCAAAGATCTAAATATGAAAACTAAAAGTAAAAACTTAGAAGAAAACATAGGGTGAAAACCACTACATTGAAGATGGCAGTGATTTCTTGGATAAGACATCAAGATAAAGAACAGACAACCAAAGAAAAAATAAACAAATGAGACTTCATGAATTTTTTTTAACTTGTGCATTAACGTATAACATCAAGAGAATAATCAGGCAACCCACAGAATGGGGGAAGATATTTGCAAAGCATATATCTAGTAAGAAATCAATATCCAGAATGTATACAGAACTCCTAAAATTCAACCACAAAAAACCAACCAACCAACCAACTCAATTTAAAAATTAACAAAGGAGGCTGGGTGTGGTGGCTCACGCCTGTAATCCCAGCGCTTTGGAAGGGTGAGGCGGGTGGATCACGAGGTCAGGAGATCGAGACCATCCTGGCTAACACGGTGAAACCCTGTCTCTATTAAAAATACAAAAAAATTAGCCAGGCGTGGTGGCGGGTGCCTGTAGTCCCAGCTACTCGGGAGGCTGAGGCAGGAGAATTGCGTGAACCCGGGAGGTGGAGCTTACAGTGAGCTGAGATCGTACCACTGTACTCCAGCCTGGGCAACAGAGCGAGACTCCGTCTCAAAAAAAAAAAAAAAAAAAATTGACAAAGGACTTGAATAGACATTTCTCCCAAGAAGAGATACAAATGGCCAATAAACACATGAGAAGATGTTCAACATCACTAATAATTAAAGATATGCAAATCAAAACTACAACTAGATACCACCACACACCACTTGGGATGGCTCCTATCAAGAAACAGAAAATAAATGATGATGAAGATGTGGAGAAATTGCAACCTTTGTGCACTGTTGGTGGGAATGTAAAATGATACAGCCACCATGGAAAACAGTATGTCAGTGCATCAAAAATTTGAAGAACTACTATATGATCCAGTAATTCCACTATCATATATATACACAAAAGAATTGAAAGCAGAATCTTAAAGACATTTGTATACCAATATTCATAGAAGTATTATTCATAGTAGCCATAACACGGAAGCAACCCAAGTGATTATGACAGATGAATGGATAGGCAATGTGGTATATATGTATAATGAAATATTATTCAGCCTTAATATGTAAAGAATTTCTGGTATACACTACAGCATGGATGAAGCTTGAAGACATTTTGCAAAGTGAAATAAGCTAGTCACAAAAAGACAAACATTATATGATTCCACTTATATGAGGTACCTAAGCAAAATCATAGAGACAAAAAGTAGAATGCACTTTGATAGGGGATGTGGGGAGGGAGGAAATGAGGAGTTACTGTCCATTGGGTATAGAATGTCAGTTTTACAAGATGAAGAGTAATGGAGATGGATGGTAGTAATGGTTGCACAACATTTTGAATGTACTTAATGCCACTGAACTGGTTAAATACACTTAAAATGGGTAAGAATACATTTTACATTGTGTGTATTTTACCACAATAAACAAAATTGGGGTGAAAAGTTTGTGTGGAGGGATGCTCTTGCCCTCAGGCTATCAGGGAAGCAAGCTAGCAAATGAATCCCTCCAAGGCAGTGGTTAAATGTCCCCAGAAGTGTAGGGGCACAGGAAAGGGTCTCTGAGCAGGCTTTGAGGACTGGTGATGTCATTGTGGAGAAGATGATGCCTGAAGACATAGGAAAGGGTAACCAATGTGAGACCAAAGCTGAGAACTTGGAGTGTGCACCGCGACCCACTGTTGCCTGAACACAGGGTGCAAAAGAACACCCAGACAGGACAGTAGCCAAACATCCTTTGCTATGCCAAAGAGTGGTTTTTTATTATCAAAAAATTTTATCAGAGGAATGACAATCATTTTTGTACTTTGGATCAATGGAACTGTGTGAAAAATGGTCTGGATGATGGAATGATCGAAGATATAAAACCAGATCTATCTGCCTGATGCAAAAACCAGAAAGGCCTGACCCAAAGGCCTGAAACAGTGGTATGCTGGCAACAGGTTAGCACCAGTTCTGGGAAAAAAGAGAAGATTAAAGACCCCAAATTGTAGCATTTGCCAATTCTCATAGTGTAAATACTCCCACCTCAGCCAATTTCAAACTGCCAATGTGACATACAATGGCAAGCAAAATTACTGAATATGTAATCATTGAGTCTCCAGAGCTGGAAAGAGACTGAACCTGCCTTGGTGCACTGTGACCTCAAGGAGATGAGGACGAGGAGAAAAACCAAGAGAGAATGGTCCCTTGGGAAGTGAGAGAGGAGAGGATCTTAAAAAAGAGACAGTGTTGAAAGGCCACAATGCTGCAGAGAAGTTAAGTAACGAGTAAGGACTAAACAGAACTTTTGGATTTTGCGATTTAGGATGTCACTTCCTGCCCCTCGTGTGGAGTACCGGGGGCTGAAGTCTGTCGACAAGCAGTAAAGTGCTGGCAGAGGAAGAAAGAAACTGTGTGAGCCTTCCAGGAAGAGCCGACAGATAGTCACACTGTGTCTTGCTTATAAAACCCCTGATTCGAAGGAAAGCCAAGGAGGTAACAGTCTGAAGGTCTACACTGAAAGAAACCCTTCGTCTTCTGCTTTTATAATATTTACAGTTCTTAGAAATATTCCACCTACCTTCCTGTTGAGACGTGAAGCCAGCTGAACTTCCTGGGTCGAGTGGGGACTTGGGAAACTTTCCTGTTTCACAAGAGGTTTGTAAAACGCACCCATCAGGAACTTTCCTGCCTTACAAGAGGTTTGTAAAACGCACCAATCAGTACTCTGTAAAATGCACCAATCAGTGCTCTGTAAAATGCACCAGTCAGCACTCTGTAAAATGCACCAATCAGCAGGATTCTAAAAGTAGCCAATCGCAGGAGGATTGAAAAAAGGGCACTCTGATACGACGGAAATCGAACATGGGGGAGAGGATAAATAAAGGAGTAAAAGCTGGCCATGGCAGCCAGCAGCGGCAACCCGCTCAGGTCCCCTTCCACGCTGTGGAAGCTTTGTTCTTTCCCTCTTCACAATAAACCTTGCCACCGCTCACTCTTTGAGAGCTGTTAAACTCACCACGAAGGTCCGCGGCTTCATTCTTGAAGTCAGCCAAGACCGCTAACCCACCGGCAGGAACCAACTCCGGAAGCAATGTGATGCATGACAAGGTACGTTAAAAAAAAAAAAAAAGTACGTGAAACAAACCAAAAGCCTTTAGCTCAGGAGTCATGCAGCCTTTACCAGCAGTTCTTTCCTTAACATGTCATGACCTCAGAGAAGTTTCCTTAGCTCCGCTGGATGGGCAGGGAGAAACCGCCTGAGATGCGCGGGAAGCAGCCTCTGGGGATCAGAGTTGCTCTCGTGTGTGTGTTGCCCTCGTGTGGACGGGTGGGCTTCACCCCACCCTGAGGACAGAGGGAACCAGAGCTTGAAGAGGGTGAGGGATTCCTGCAAGTCACACGTAAAAAGCAAAAAAGGCTCCGAGGCGGGTGGGTTCTCTGAGCTCAGGAGTTCAAGACCAGCCTGACCAATATGGTGAAACCCTGTCTCTACTAAAAATACAAAGATTAGCTGGGTGTGGTGGCTCATGCCTGTAATCCCAGCACTTCAGGAGGCCGAGGTGGGTGGATCATCTGAGGTCAGGAGTCCGAGACCAGCCAGACCAACATAGTGAAACCCCGTCTCTACTACAAATACAACAAATAGCTGGGCGTGGTGGCATGTGGCTGTAGTCCCAACTACTCAGGAGGCTGAGACAGGAGAATCGCTTGAACCTGGGAGGCGGAGGTTGCAGAGCTGAGATCATGCCACTGCACTCCCGCCTGGATGACAGAGTGAGATTCCATCCCCACCCCCCACCCCCCACCCCCCGCAAAAAAAAATCAAAAGGCAGCACGGAGGCTTCGTTCCAAGATTTTTGACCCATGCCCAGGGTGCCTCCACTTTACTGCCATCAAAACAATGAAAATCAAGTGAGACAAAAGGATAGCGATTTGGAGGAAAATGCTTTAAAATTTTACAAAGCAATGTTACATTATTTGGTACCCAGTTTTTTAAAGATGAATAACCTAATGCTAAAAGAGTTAAAGCCACAACCTGCTCAGATCTGAATGGTTGTGTTCCCTCAGAATTCCTGTGTTGAAACCTAACCCCCAAGGTAATGGAATCAGGAGGTGAGGCCTTTGGGAGGTGCTTAGGTCCTGAGGGTGGAGCCCTGTGAATGGGACTAGTGTCCTTACAAGGAGGCTTCAGAGAGCTCCCTCCCTCTGTGAGGACACAATGAGAAGCTGCTGTGTTATCAACCAAGAAGTGGGCCCTCACCAGGCACCAAATCTTCCCACACCTCAAAGTTAGACTTCCCAGCTTTCAGAGCTGTGAGAAATAAATTTCTGCTGTTTATACGCCTCTAGGTTTATGGCATTTTGTTACAGCAGCTGGAACAGACTGAAACATTCCAGGCAGTACTGCGAGTGAACGATGGGGAACCATGTTATTCACATTACCACCGAAGAGGACTGAACTAGTTCATTTCCACTGGTGCCTCTTCAACCCAGCAACACTTATTTTATGGGAGGGAAAGTATAGCCACATAAAAATCGACAGATGGGCTTTGATTTTAGCAGTAGGAAGGTGGGTCTCCTAAGTTTTCACTTTTGTTTCACGCAGCTTTATTTTCACATCTGAGAGCCATTTAATTTGATTGCAGTTAAGCTAATTTCAAATTACAGACATGAGCAGGGTCTCACTTATTTTCGACTAAATAGGAGACTCGATTACAAGAAGCATTGTGGGCATCTGGTCGTGTGGCTGGTTTTCCTCAGCAAATGCGGAAAAACCATAGCAACCATCAGCACACAGTGAAACAGCGTCACCAAGTAGCTCGGCCAGTTGGTGGAAAGGCACTGTGTTGGGGTCAGGGCCCTGGAAGGGTGCATGGGGGAGGCCGGAGGGAGTAGCCATTGCCCTCCAGGCTTTGTCAGGTGGGGCAATGTATTAGTTCTCCATGGCTGCATAACAAATGCCACCAAATTAGCAACTGAAAACAACAGCCAATCACCATGTCCCAGTTTGCAAATCAGAAGCTCAAGCAGGCTCTGGATCTCACAAACCTCAATCTAGGCATCCCCGGGACTGGGCTCTGACCTGGAAGCTCTGAGCAGAATCTGCTTCTGAGCTCATTCAAGTCGGTGACAGAACTTCATTCCTTGAGTTTGCAGAACAGAGACCTGTGCTTCCTTATGGGCTGCCAGAGGTGGCCTAGAGGCCACCCTCATTCCTTGATATGTCCCACCCTCTCCTCAACCCCCTCTGAATCCCTCCTATACTTGGATTCTTACTTCCTCTTCTGCTACCAGCTGGAGAAAACTTTCTGTTTGCAAAGGGCTTACCTGATTGGGTCAGGACCACCCACATATATCCCACATCACATTGTTAAGTTCAACTGATGTGGGATAATAATTACAACCAGGAAATCCTTCGTGGCAGCCCCAAATTAGTGCCCGATTGAATAACCAGGGATGGAATCCTAGGGGTCATCTTTAGAATTATGCTGATTAGAAAGAGTTCAGACAGCCCCTGGGAGACTATGATGAACACAAAAGGGTATAAGACTGGGAGCTACAATCTACATGCTAATCATTTCTCTTCCAGGAAACCAAGGAAGCCATCCTGGGGGAGGAGGCTCTGATGTGGGCCTGCAAGAACCAGGGCACTTGAGGTACAGGTGAGGAACATGGCAGGTGTATCAGGTGAGAGGAGGAAAAGGAGGTATCGAGGCCAGGGAGCACTGTACGTGGTGGCCGGTGGACAAGAAAGTTATGATAGGCCTGTGAGGGAGCAAACTCACACTAGTCAAGCCAATTGAGGGAAGAGGTGACCACGTAAGTAACAGTTAAGTAATAATGAGTAATGCTTCCTCTACTACTTGTCATGTAAAAGGTCCATGCACCCTTGCTCCTCACACTGAACTTCTAATTAACAAAACGAGGCAGGAAGCTTCCAGATCTCATTTTCATGGGCGAATTTTGTGATAGTGTTATAGCGTTAAAATGCATTATCCTGGCCGGGCATGATGGCTGACGCCTGTAATCCCAGCATTTTGGGAGGCCAAAGCGGATGGAACAAGAAGTCAGGAGTTCAAGACCAGCCTGGCCAAGATGGTGAAACCCTGTCTCTACTAAAAATACAAAAAAATTAGCTGGGTGTGGTGGTGGGCGCCTGTAATCCCAGCTACTCCAGAGGCCAAGACACAGAATTGCTTGAACCCAGGAGGCAGAGGTTGCAGTGAGCTAAGATCACACCACTGCACTCCAGCCTGAGTGACAGAGGGAGAGTCTGTCTCAAAAAAAAAAATGCATTATCCTTGTGTTAGTCTGCTTGGCTGCCATAAGAAAGGAACACAGACTGGGGGCTTACACAATAGATGTGTATTCTGTCAGGATTCTGGAGGCTGGAAGGCTGAGATCAAGGGTGGTTCCTTCTGAGGCTGTGAGGGAGAAGCTGCTCCAGGGCTCTGCCTGGCTTCTGGATTTTGCTGGTATCTTTGGTGTTCTTGGCTGGTAGAGGTGTCACGCTGATCTCTGCCATCATCTTCACATCGCATTCTCCCTGTGTGTGTGTCTGTCCCCATATCTTTCCTCTTTTTTTTTTTTTTTTTGATACGGAGTCTCGCTGTGTCGCCCAGGCTGGAATGCAGTGGCACAATCTTGGCTCACTGCAACCTCCGCCTCCTGGGTTCAAGCGATTCTCCTGCCTCAGCCTCCCAAGTAGCTGGGACCACAGGCGCCCGCCACCATGCCCAGCTAATTTTGGTATTTTTAGAAGGGATGGGGTTTCACCATCTTGGCCAGGATCGTCTCTAACTCCTGACTTCATGATCCACCCGCCTTGGCCTCCGAAAGTGCTGGGATTACAGGCGTGAGCCACCGCGCCCAGCCAAATCTTTCCTTTTTATAAGGACATCAGTCACACTGTATTAGGGGCCACCCTGCCCCAGTATGACCTCATCTTAACAAGTTACATTTGCGACGGCCCTGTTTCCAAATAAGGCCACATTCTGAGGTCCTGGAGTTTAAGCCTTCAATGTATGACTTTGTGGAGGACACAATTCCCCCCATGACAGTCTTCTGTGCTCTACTCTAGAGACAGCCCTCATCTTTTGAGGGTAAGGATGAGATAACTTATACTTTATTTGTATAAATAACGTGAGGCAAATTCTAGGTAGAGCCTGACCTCTTTCTTCTCAAAGCGTGGTCCTCAGACAAGCGGCATCGGATCACCTAGCAGCTTGTTGGAAATGCAGAGTCTCAGGCCCCACACCAGGCCCACGGAGTCAGAATCTTCATTTTAACAAAATTCCCAGAAAATTTTTTTTGTGCATACAAATTTGAAAGGCAGTATTTAGTACACTTTCTCAGAAATGGTTGGAAAATTCTTCAGGGCAAAACCATAATGTCAACCTCACACCACCATTTAAAGAATTTAAAATAAGTTTTTGAACTAGTACAGCCACTCTAGAGAACAGTATGGAGGTTCCTCAAAAAACTACAAATAGAACTACCATATGATCCACCAATCCCACTGCTGGGCGTTTATCCAGAGGAAAGGAAATCACGATATCGAAGATACATCTGCACCCCATGTCTATCTCAGCACTGTTCACCACAGCCAAGGTATGTAATCAACCCAGGTGTCCAACCCCAGATGAATGGGGAAAGAAAATGGGGCATATGCATTATGAAATACTATTCAGCCATAAAAAAGAATAAAATCCTGTCATTTGCAGCAATATGGATAGGACTAGAGGACATTATGTTAAGCGAAATAAGCCAGGAACAGAAAGTAAAACATTGCATGTTCTCACTCATCTGTGGAAGCTAAAAAAAGTTGATCTCATAGAAGTAAAAAGTAGAACAGAAGATGCTAGAGGCTGAGAAGGGTAGGGAAAAAGGAGGAAAGGAAAAGATTTGTTAAAGGATAAACATTTACAGCTAGTTGGAAGGAATCAGTTCTAGTGTCCTACAGCACTAAGGGTTGACTGGAGTTAACAATAATATATTACAGAGTTTCCAATAGCTAGAAGGAGGGTGTTGAATGTTCCCAATACAAATGGTAAATGTTTGAGACAATGGAAGTGCTAATTATCCTGATCTGATCACCATATATTATATGTATTGAAACATCACCATGTACCCCTTAAATATGTATAATTATTATATGTCAATAATCTTTTTGTTTTAAATAACTGTTTTTATAAGTAAAAAATGAAAAGAAAAAATTTTAATACATTCTTGAGAGAGGTGGCTCAAAAACTTCTACTTAGTATACTTCTGTAAAAGAGATAGGTGGGACTCTGAAATAAACTAAAATCGTTGGTTATTTTTTTAAAGATAACAACCAATTGAAGATAGAAGAGAGTTTTTGTTTCATTTTGTTTTTTGAGACGGAGTTTCCCTCTTGTTGACCAGGTTGGAATGCAGTAGTGTGATCTCGGCTCACTGCAACCTCCGCCTCCCAGGTTCAAGCGATTCTCCTGCCTCAGCCTCCCTAGTAGCTGGGATTACAGGCAGGCACCACCACCATGCCCGGCTAATTTTGTATTTTTAGTAGAGACAGGATTTCTCCATGTTGGTCAGTCTGGTCTCGAACTCCTGACCTCAGGTGATCCGCCCACCTCGGCCTCCCAAAGTGTTGGGATTGGCGTGAGCCACCGCGCCTGGCCCCAAGAAGAGAGTTTTGCAAGTTTATTTAAGTTGTGTAGATTGGAAGCTAGACAACATTCATTCACTTGACAAACCTTCATGGAGCCGCACGGTGTACCAGGTTCTCCAGTGAGCAGAACACCCACTGGAATCCTGACCAGACTACTTCCTGGGGTTATTAACCTCTTCAAGCCTCAGCTTTCTTTTCCGTAAAATGGCTGCAGTAATTGAGCTGCCCTCAGAGGTTTCAGGGATTCAACAAGGTCATTGGGGGGGCTTATCATAGTGCCTGGTGCAGGTCGAGTGCCAAATAAATGCTATCCTCATGCTGTTCCTGCAGGTTGCTCTTTGAGTCCCTCTGTCTCGACTTGGAGGTGGGGGGGTAGGGAATAAGTGACATGCACACAGAAGTGGACATCAGGTGGGATCCGTCCAGGGAAGGTGGGCTCTTCCTGAGTCAGTGTGAGCATCTGGGCAGGTCCCTGACTTTACTGCACAATCCCAGGGAATGGCAGCCCTGCCCTAGGCCACCAGTGAGGAGTGCCATACATCCTGCAAACCTGCAGTCTTATGCTGAAACCTGCAGCAGGCTGGGCTCCACCCCTCCTTCCTGGCCTCGCTGTGGGAAGTTGGAGTTCGGGAGGCAATGTAAGGAGATAGAGGCATGGTGCGCTTTTTTCTTTGCCTCCTCTATTTGGTTTTTGATGATTGGTCTTTTTCATTTAATTTTGAGCCCAAATTGCGGTTTTAAATTAGTGTGTTTCTTTGTATAAGAGAGGATTGTGAGAAGGAAAAGGCCAGCCTAGGCCAGGCCATCTGCCCTCCTGGCTAGCCAACCAGCTAGAAACACGGCCGTCTTGCCTACCTGAGGACCTACAGATGATGGAAGCTAACTCCTAACTTCCAGGACCTTTTGTGGGTTCTTAGATTCCAATCCCTGGGGACTTCTTTCATTGCAATTCACGATTGTGTTCCACAGGTATCCCCATGGTGACCCCTCCCAGTGGTTCCCAGAGCTGCTCCTGCTCCCACCTCAGGTCCAGGAGACATGTCAGCATTGTCAACATCCTGCTTGTCCCCAGTAACTGGAGGGTAGGGCTGGGCCAGGTGCCACTCACCTCCTGCTTCTGCCACCACAGCCTTTAGCCATTCTTGCTGCCTCTAGGATTCTCAGGCAGAGGTGTCTCCAGCCCCAACCTTCCAGAGAGGACTTGGAAGGCCTCTTCCTAGCTCTACAACAGGAGGTAGGCAGGCACAGACACCTTCCAGGTGAGTGTATGGGAAGAGGTGGGATTGAGCCACTCCACAGCCTCAAGGTTACCCCTCCAGTCCTCTTGGTTGGCTTCTCTCTCCCTTCCTTTCTCATTCTCCTGTGTTTTGTTCTCCAAGTGATGAGAGTGGAAAATGTGTAAGGATAATTTTCTTTTGTAAATTCTTCATGAAATGATCCGTCACATCCCTTTGCACTCACACCTTGACTGTATTTGGTGCTTAGAGGAAAATTCCATTTCAGCACCCTATTCCAAGCATTTTTGTGTAAGCAAACCCAACCAAGACAACTTTGAACAGAGGGAAGGCAGACACTGAGCCACATAGAGGGAAACTGAGGTTGCAGGTTAGCCTGCACTGGACAGTATCCAAAGGGCTACAGCAAACTGACACACTAGGACCCGAGTGGGAGAACACAGCTCACAGTGGTGGGCAGGACTCTGCAAGTCCAGGAACCAGGGAGGCAGGGCATCAGGCCCCACCTGCAAGATCAAGTTAAAGGGAGAACATGCACCTCAACAGGTGAGGAGGAAGACCCCAGTCATGGTGACATGGAACTGCCAGGGCTTTGTTAAAGGCTGTTCCTGGAAGACACGCACCTCTGAAGACCCATCCACACATCTCATTCCAGGCCCGGGGTGTGTGCAGCCCATCCTAAACTTTTTGCAGCCACTTGAGTTGCCTTTGGGCAGCAGTTCTCCATCCTGGCTGAGTCATGGAATCCCCTGGGCAGCTTTTTAAAAATGCTACCACTTCCCTTTCCCCACACCTAAGGATTTTTATTTTATTGGTTTGTGTCTTAATCAGTTCCAGCTGATATAGCAAAATATCTGAGACTGGGTAACTTATAAACAATAGAAATTTATTTCTCACAGTTCTGGACTCTGGGAAGTCCAGGATTTAAGGCAGCTGCAGTTTCAATTGTTTGGTGAAGGCCCACTTTCTGGTTCATAGACAGCACCTTCTTTCCATCATCTCACATAGTAGAAAGGGCAAGAGAACTCTCTGGGTGCTCTTTTATAAGGGCAGTAATCCCATTCCTGAGGGCCTAATTTATGAGATGACATAATCATCTCCCAAAGGCACCATCTCCTAATGCAGGTTGAGTATCCCTTATCTGAAATGCTTGGGACCAAAAGTGTTTTGAATTTCAGATTTTTGAATAATTGCATTGTATATACTTACTTGTCAAGCAGCCCAAATTTGAAAATCCAAAATCCGAAATTCTCCAATGACTTCCAGTTCCATCCATGTTGCTGCACTTGAGAGAATTTCATTCTTCTTTTTTTTTAATGGCTGAGTACTTTTTCATTGTATATGTGTACCACATTAAAAAAATTCCTTCCTCTGTTGATTGACACTTAGGTTGCTTCCACATCTTGGCTGTTGTGAATGGAACATTCCATTCCAGTGGAACCATGGAAGTGCAGAGATCTTTTTGATATATGGATTTCTTTTCCTTTGGATATACACCTAGCCTTGGGAGTGCTGGATCATATGGTATTCCAGTGAGCATTTCCTATGAGTTTCATGTCAGTGCTCATAAAGTTTCAGACTTTAGAGCATTTTAGATTTCAGATTTTCAGATTTGGGATGCTCAACCTATACCATCACCTTGGGGATTCAATTTCAACATAAGAATTTGGGAGGTGGGGACACAAGCATTGAAACCACAGCAGTCTGGATGCAGGTTTTGCTTCTGTCTCTAAGGCACCTGGGGTGACTGTGTGAGCATGCCGCAGGTGAAAGTGCTGATTAGGGGAACCTGAGCCACGACATGTCTCTCAGTGGGAAGGACTGTGGAAGTCAGGGGCTGACAAGAGGCCAGGAATCCGGGCTTGAGTCCCTTTAGAGAAAGCCTGCAGGGCCAGGTGGAGGGGGTCTGGACTATAGTTTACATGCTGCATGGGGATCATGCTGACAAATTTGGGGTAAGAAAATTATGTGATTGGAACTGTGTTTTAAGGAGATGAATTTGGCTGTTTTGTGCAAGATGGGTTGGCTGGAAATCAGAGACCAGTGAGGAAGCTATTGTGGAAGGAGATGTGTAATGAAGGCATCAAATGCAAGGTTAGTGCCGGGGGGAAATTCCAGATCCTAAAAATCCTTCAGCTCAGAAGCGCAGGTGCTGCAGCCTGAGTTCCAGTGTGCAGGAGGCAGCAGGGTTGTAATTAGTCTGCACCGGCTCCCTGGTCGCCTGAGATCAGGGTGGCTGCTGGCTAATTAGTGCTTCCTGGAGGACGAAAGCAGCTGGTATTTCCCTTTCTAATTCAAGTAATGACGTCCTATTTTAACATAATAAAAGGATTCTCTGGTAGAGAAATGGGGCTGATGGGATGGAAAGCAGAGGTGACCCAGAGGCCCCTGCCAGTTGCTCAGGGAGTGTGCAGGGCCAGTGTAAGCACTGCGGGAATCAGGGACCCCTCCCCCCATCCCTGGCTGCTGTAGTGCCTGTATCTCAGGCTATATTTCCGTGGCTGGAAGCGCACAGGGATCATCGGAAATGGCCCTCTTACCTTTGCTCTTTGGCATCCTAAATATTGCTGTTTATATGTAAGAAGCATAGAAACACATGTGCCCAGCCGCTGGGCTGGGACAAATTGTGTGGTTCCTTTATATAATGCTGTTGAAATGACACAATTTTAGAAATGGTGAACAGATTAGTGACTGTCAGGCGTAAGGGCAGGATAGAGGGGGCAGTGGTGGGAGGGAGGCGGGGTGGCAATGAAAGGGCAGCAGGAGGAATCCCCGTGGGGATGGAAATGTCTGCATCTTGAGTGTGGTGGTGGAGATACGAACTTATGCATGGGATAAAATGTGTGGAAATAAATATACATACACACGGAGATATCTGAGTGAGATTGGTGGGTTGTTGCAATGTCAATATCCTGGCTGTGACATCATACCATACCTTTGCAAGTGTTACCATTTGGGGAAACTGGATAAGGGGCACAGAGGATCTCCCTATATTCTTTCTCACAACTGCATGTGAATCTACAATTATCTCAATAAAATGTTTCTATTTGAAAATGTATCAGAGATGGGGGAAAGAGCATCAGGAGGGTGCTATAGGCAGGTTACACAGTCAGTGCAAAGGCCCTCAGGGGAGAGAAGAATGATGTGTCCATTGTGAGAACTGTGTCTTTAATCCTAAAGGAGATAGGAAGCTATTGGAGGGTGTGGCAGAAATATTTAATGCTGACCAAATGTACTCACCTATATTTCCAGCCCCCTTGAGTGGGCAGGCCCCAGAGATTCGCTGTGGCCAGTAGACCGGATGAAACACAGCAGGGCAGAGGATGCGTGAGTTCCCTGTGCTCTGTCTTCCACTGACATTGCCCAATGAAAGACATGGCTACAGGAGAAAAGCAGCCTGCATCTTTGAGTTGCCACTGGTTGGGAACTTTGCTGGAGTCTCGAGTCCCAGAGGGCTACACGTGAGTGGCAAGTTAAACTTCTTGTGTTAATCACCTGAGATCTCAGGGTTTGCTCGTTAGTTCAGCATACCTAAGTTAAGCTGACTGCTTACTATGGGAGGTTTTGAGAAGAGAAGTTAAACTTACCTGATTTCCATTTCAGCAGGATCTCCTGGGCTCCCATGTTGAAAATAGGCTGAATGAGGAAGCAGAGAGTCCAGTAAGGAAGCTGTTGCAATAGCCCAGATGAGATGATAAAGCTGGTACCATTACAGTAGGATTGGAGCTGGTGCTTTCTGAACATATTTTGAAGGCATATTTGACAGGATTTTCTGATGGATTAGATGTGTGAGCATAAAAGATGAGCCAAAAAATCACTCCAAGAATTTTTTCCTGAGCAATAGTAAAAATGAAGTTTCCATTAACTGAATAGAGTGAGACCATGGAAAGTGCTGGTTTGGGAAGGTGGAAGGAGAGGATTTAGGAGACACAAGTTCTGTTTTCGAGCTGTTAAGTTTGAAATGCCTATGGGACGTCCAGGTTCTCTGATCTATGTTGGAATCATTGGGTGGGTTGAGGATGGAAGCTATACCCTTCAATCACTGATTTTCCAATAATAGACAAATGGATAAAGAAATATGGTATATATGCACCATGAAATGCTGTTCAGCCATATCAAAGAATAAAACTCTGTTGGCTGGGCCCTGTGGCTCATGCATGTAATCCTAACACTTTGGGAGGATGAAGCAGGCAGGTCACTCGAGCCCAGAAGTTAGAGGTCAGCCTGAGCAACATGGCAAAACCCCATCTCTACAAAAAATACCAAAAAAATTAGCTGGACTTGGTGGCACACGCCTCTAGTCCCAGCTACTCAGGAGGCTGAAGTGGGAGGATCACTTGAACTCAGAAGGCTGAGGTTACGATGAGCCCTGATTGGACCACTGCACTCCAGCCTGGATGACAGAGTGGGACTCCTTCTCAAAAAAATAATAAATACATAAATAACCTCTGTCATTTGCAGCAATATGGATATAACTGGAGGACATTATGTTAAGTGAAATAAGCCAGGAACAAGAAGTTAAATGCCCCATGTATTCCCACTTATAGGTGGACGCTATAAAAAAAAAAAATTGGTCTCATAGAGGCAAAAAGTAGAACACATGCACCGGTAGTCCCAGCTAGTCGGGAGGCTGAGGTGGGAGGATGGTTTGAGTCTTGGAGATGGAGGTTGTAGTGAGCCGAGATCATGCTGCTGCACTCCAGCCTGTTGAAAAAAAAAAAGTAAAACATAGGATACTAGAGGCTGGGAAGGGCAGTGGGAAGTGAGGAGAGAGATAAATTTATTAAAGGATACAGATTTACAGCTAGATGGGAGGAATAATTTCTAGTGTTCTATAGCACTGTAGGATGAATACAGTTAACAATTACACAGAGTTTCCAGTAGCTAGAAAAAGGATTCTGAATGTTCCCAACACAAAGAAGTAACAAATATTTGAGATGCTAATTATGTGGCAGGCCAGGTCTCACTAAAGTAGGCTTCCATAGCAACTGTTTCAGTACTGACTGAGTGCTTAAGTTAAACATTAAAAGCCAATGCCCTTATACAAAGGCTGGGATGTAACAAAAACCCACCAACAGTTTTGCCTAGGCCTTTCCTGGGCATTAAAGCATGACAAAATAATGAAGGAATTCTTAACCAGACCCATTTAGGATTAAACAAGTTTTATTGGGGATCTGAAGAAACTCCCCAAGGCCTCTACAAACAAGTTTGTTGGGGGTCTGAAGGAGCTCCCCAAACCTCCATGATTTGGCAGGAGACAAGATAAGGGTAATCACCCCAGCACCTGGACCCACTTACATTAAGTAAATTTACTGAGGATCCAGAGGAAGATCTTCAGGACTCAGATCTTAGTTATAGATTAAAATAAGTTAATCACTTGTCTTTAGATGAATGCACACTTAACACATAGACATATAGCTTAGAAGGTATATAAGCTCTGGAAAACACTGTAATTTTGAGTTGGTCTGGTGATAATTTCCAGGCCTTCTCCCTGTAGCCAGTTACAGAAATAAAAACTCTTCTTCCTCCCCAGTTCATCTGCATCTCATTATTGGGCCATGAGAAATAGCAGCCCAATCCTCAGTTTGGTCCGGGAACAATTACACTGCTAATTACCCTGATCTGATCACTATACATTATATGTATCAAAACATCACTATGTATCCCATGAATATTTACAATTATTGTTTGTCAGTTAAAATTTTTTTAATAAATGAAGAGTTTGTTACTGAAGGATCAGGAAGATTCCGAAGCTTGTCCCCTACTTTCACCTTCAGAAGATTTCTAGAAGGAAGAGATTTTTCCCCCAACTTAATAGTCTTGTTCTTGAAAATTTGAACCCCTTGGGCTGTAGCTGTAGGGCCACAAATGATTTCCCTGTGCCACCACGTGGTGCCTTGACTGCCTGTAGATCTCCCGGCGTGGGAACTGCAGCTGTTGAAAACTAAGCATAAACTGAAAAGCCAGCACATATCACCAAGATGTGCTTTATCACAGAAACAAAGAATATTCTCATAAGAGAGACTATTGCTTCTGTGAGGGCAACCTTGACTTTCCTCTGTAATGAAAGTGTATACCCCAACCTTTTGTGGCAATTCACGTTTTGCTGCCTCCTGAGTTGCAAGAGGCACTGGATGTCAGTGGGTTTCCCTTTGCCATGCAGAAGAGAAATACATTCAGATCCAATTAAATAATTTTGTGGTTCAAATTTTCCTCTTTGGTTGAAGGTTGGTGGGGGCCGGGGTAGGGGGAGTATTCCTGATGCCTCCTACTGTGGATATATGGATACGGAATTCAGAAGAGTGGTCTGAGCCACAAATGTGCATATTGGGACTTTTGGGCCTTTCCTGGGGGGAAAATGTTATTTTTCCTCTTGGCAGCTCCTCTCCACCTTCTTTTCTATAGCATCCACCTCTCCACTGCCAGAAAAAAGGGGTCTTTAATCCGATTGGGTCATCAGTGACACGTCTGATTGTTAGAAAGTTCACACTGAGCTTACTATTCTTTTCCTCTTCTTTTATCCAGGTAGCTGATCAGCAAACTGGCCTCGGGCTTTTCACCCACCCGAGCACTTGTCCAGCCATCTGCCTGTCTTGCTCTCCGGTGCTTCCTGACGTTTTCTTTTTGTGCCTAAATTAGGATTACAATAAGGTGGGAGGAAGCACAGCCATTTAGCTTTCTTTTTCTTTAATGTTTCTCACAAGCATATGTGAGCATCTCATCTTCTCAAACTAGGGCAGCAGCTGCCAGCAGAATTTTGAGTTTGGGCTTTGTACTGAAAGGGTTCTAGCTGGACCTAGTGCCTCTCTCTTGTGCTTCAATCCAGTTTGCCAGTATTAAGCACTGGAATTTTGAGGATAAACTCAATTAAAATGTAGTAGAGGTTTGATTTTCTATCTGCCCTGGCCTTTGCCCGCATCTCTCCCTGAGGGAACTTTGAGGGAGTGGGATGTTTGAAGCAGGTTTGAGGTATTGCCTGCTCCCTTTGTCTTAATGGTGTCGGACTACCATGAAATCTTACATTGTCCCTTAACAAAGGAAATGTCAGCAGTGATGTGTGTGTGTGTGTGTGTGTGTGTGTGTGTGTGTGTGTGCGCGCGCGCGCGCGCATATTGTGTGCATGTGTGTGTGTTGAGGGAAATAGAGTGGTGGGTTTGTGGAACCAGACTCAACCCAATAGCCTCAGTTTCTTCATTTGTAAGATGGAAATAATAAGAGTTTATAAACTTGTATGAGTTAAATGTGTTAAGAAATGTAAACTACTTAGGTAAATATAACCCTATCTGAAGGACCTTTAATACCCTTTCTAACTTTGAGCGTTTTTAATGCCTTGATACTTTTTTAGGGCTGAGATGCATTTCTCTACCCACATTTTACAGCTGTCACACATGGTGGTGGGGCAAAGCGCTACTCTATGGGTCCGGGTTTCTCAGGACCACAAGTGGCACAGAAATCAGGGCCAGTGAGCAGGGCTGAAGAACCTGCATCCTTAGATGGAAGAACACACCCGGAGCTCAGGGACTGAGAGGAAGACACCTCCCATGCAGAAGCAGAAGCAGAAGTGCTTAGGTAATAGCAAAAGCAGAGTCATGAGATGAGGAATATTGAGCATGATTTTTTTTTAAATGCAGGGGGATGGGGGCTTATGCATTGCCTGAACAACGTGCTGGACAAAACAGAAAAGAAAAGTACCACTAAATCACCTGAATGTTATTCCAGTGACATAAGAGCAAGGCAGGCCAGTGAACTGGGTATGTGTGTGAGAGAGGGGTGACCACTGAGTTTTGGATTTCTAATGGAGATTCCTGACTCTCAACACATCTTAGGCATAAATATAAGGGATAATCTCTGATATGGTTTGGCTGTATCCCCACCCAAATCTCATCTTGAGTTGTTGCTCCCATAATTCTCACTTGTCATGGGAGGGACCCAGTGAGAGATAATTGAATCATGGGGGTGGGTCTTTCCTGTGCTGTTCTCATGATAGTGAATAAGTCTCATGAAATCTGATGGTTTTATAAATGGGAGTTCCCCTGCACACGCTCTCTTGCCTACCGCCATGTAAGACGTGACTTTACTCCTTCTTTGCCTCCTGCCATGATTGTGAGGCCTCCCCAGCCATGTGGAACCATGAGTTCATTAAGCCTCTTTCCTTTATAAATTACCAGTCTGAAGTATGTCTTTATTGGCAGTCAGAGAACAGACTAATACAATCTGCTTGAAGACCAAAGCTAGAGGTGAGTAGTCCTGCCCATGCCTGGCCTCGGTAGTGTCTTGCTTCTGAATGGAGCCCTATCTTTCAGCACACTCATCCCACAGAACTAGTCACTCATTCTGATTCTGACAGGACAAAGGTAGAAAGGAACAAAAAGGTAGGAGGAAGGATTGGGCATCTTGTCATAACATATTTATTTTCTTTCTTCTGATTATGTTGGATCAAACTTGCTTTTCTGTTTCTAGCTTTATAAAGTAGACACTAAAGTCATTGATTTGAGATGTTTCTTCTTCTTTTTTTAAATACATATGTTGAGTGCTATAAATTTCCCTCAAGTCATTACATGAACTACATCTTGCAATGTATAATATTCTACATTTTAAATTTTATTCAACTCAAAATGCATTCTAATTTCACTTTTGATTTCTTCCTTGATCCATGGGTTATTTAGAAATGTGTTAGTGTTTTAGTATTGGAGGATTTTTTTGGATATCTATTTTAGTTCCATTGTAGTCAGAGAATATTCTTTGAGTGGCTTGAAAACTTCTAAATTCACTAAGAGTGCTTTTATAGTCCATCATGGTAAATACTATCAATACACTTGAAAAGTATATATTGTGCTCTTGCTTGTCTACTTGTTCTACAAATTGTTGAAAGGACAGTTGAAAATTCTAATTACAATTAAAGATTTGTCTGTTTCTTCTTAAAAATCTATTGGATTTTGCTTCATGTACTTGGAAGTTTTGTTATTGAGCATATTGAAACTTTTAAGCTTGTTATCTTCTGATGAATAGACCACTTTGTCATCATAAAATGATCCACTTTATCCCTGGTGGTATTCTTTTCACTGAAATCTACTTTGCCTGATATTGAAATATGCACTCATGGCAGTAATGATGTATCTTTTCTCATTTTTAAAATTTTTAACCTCTTTGTATCTATATATTTAAAGAAATTTTAAAAATTTGTCATAGGTAACAAATATCTGGGTCTTGCTTTTGATAGTGGCAGGAGGCAGTCAAATGCCTAGGCAGATAGGGGCAGGCACCCCACTGAAACCCCACCTTTAAGCCAAGGACAGTTTAAAGCTTGAAAGCCAAGCTACAAGTCAAATCTATGGACCAGATTGAGAACGTCTCTTCCCATTTGGTGCACTTTCCTCTGACTGATCCTCATCCTTCACCTATTTTACATATACCTACCCTTCCCTAATTGGTTTTTTACACTGTTGTGCCCACCTTTGAGTTGTGTCTTTGTTTCAGCTTATTTGCATATTCACAAACCAATCAGCACACACTCCCCCATTCTGAGCCCATAAAAGCCCCAGACCCAGCCACACCAAGAGAGAAACCACCCAACTTCAGATGGGGGACCACACTCATGTCCCCTCTGCACTGAGAGCCATTCCACCATTTAATAAAATTATTCTCTGCCCTCCTCACCCTTCAGTTGTCAGCGTAACCTCATTCTTCTTGAATGCTGGCAAGAACTCAGGACCCACTGAACGTGAACGCCGGTACCAGCTGTAACACAGGTGGACTAGGGCATGCTCAGCCCAGTCACAGGCTGAATGTGGATCCTACAGCAAGTGTGGGGTCCACACTGGCACACAAGTCAGGCTGCAGAAGTCCCTGGCTGACAAAGTGACCGAGAAAAATCCTGCATCATTTTTATATACAACCTGAGAAATATTCCTTTTCAGCCAGGTTGTTTAGAATCATGTTTAATGTGATTCTTGATGTGGTTGGGTTTAAGTGTACGATTTTGCTATTTTCTATTTGTTCTGTCTGTTCTTCGTTTCTTTTTTCTTATTTTTCTACATTCCTTTGGATTGAGTTAGATTGTTGGTTGTTTTTATCCATGATTCTGTTTCCTTCTTTTGTTAGCTTTTTAGGTGTAACTTTTTAAAAGTAGTTGCCTTAGGACTAATAGCATATGCCTAGCTTGCTGTGGTCCATCTTCTTGTAATATTGCACTTCACACTTCCTTTGCCCCTGCTAAGCCTTTGTGCTATTGTTGTCCTTACTTCCATAATACACTATTATTTTAGCTTCAAACAGCCAATTATCTTTTAAAAAGGTGAAAACCAGGAAAAATCCGTCTTCCATATTTACCATTTCTGTTACTCTTCTGTCCTTTTATGGATGCAGAGTTCTGTCTGGGATCCTTTTCCTTCTGCTTTAGCATCTTTTGTAGTGAAGGTCTGCTGGTGATCAATTATTGCAGCGTTTGTAAGTCAGAAGTAGTGATTGCTTCCTCTGCTCCACAGCATTGGTTCTGTCCTTGGTCTCACAGCTTCCTCATAGACCTGTGCTGACTAGCACTCGGCTGAAGCCTTGTGGGATGCACTTCAGACCTTCAGAGCTCCTTTCTGTGCTCTTTCTCTCTTCTTCTCTCTTTCTCTCTCCTGAGAACTCTGACTGCCTTGGCCGCCTTGCGCTCCCAATTCCATCATCTCAACTCAGGGAGACCACAGGATGTGGTCTGGGCTTCCCTGCCCTGCACTGCCACCTGCAAGCATTCTCCAGGCAGCATGCTGAGTGCCACGATGAGGATCACTTTTAGGGGCCACTGCATGGCACTTCCTGATGTCTGATATCTGGAAACCATACATTTTATGTATTTTTTTTGGTTAATTGTTTCTAGTAGGAAGTTAAATCCACTCCAGTTACTCCACCTTGATCAGAAATGGAAGCCAATAATTCATTTAATGTAGAAAATAATGTGTGTATTTTAATAATACATTTAACATTGATAATTAACTGGGATTTAAAATAGGCCAAATGTCCAGAAATAATAACCAGTTAGTGCCATCCTATACCGAGATTTTATTCCTAGGCATCTAAGATAATTTCTAGGTGATTTTTCCCCCCAGATTATCCTATGAGTCTTCTTTTACTCTTGTGTTCTCACATTTCCCCCCTGAAGATCAAAACAAGGTGATTCACCACCATGGGTTTTGTTCTTCATCAGTAAAATGAGATAATGATATCAATTTTTCAAAGCTGTTGTAAATATCAGTGAGCTAATACTGATACAATGTTTAGTGGCTAACACAACAATAAACCTTAGTAAATAAGAACCCTTAGAAGGGAATCTTTTCCTGTAATCCTAGCACTTTGAGAGGCCAAGGTGGGCGGATCACGAGGTCAGGAGTTCAAGACCATCCTGGCCAACATGGTGAAACCCTGTCTCTACTAAAAATACAAAAAAATTAGCCAGGCGTGGTGGCACGTGCCTGTAGTCCCAGCTACTCAGGAGGCTGAGGCAGGAGAATTGCTTGAACCTGGGAGGTGGAGGCTGCAGAGAGCCGAGATTGTGCCACTGCACTCCAGCCTGGGCAACAGAGCGAGACTCCATCTAAAAAAAAAAAGAAAAAAGAAAAAGAAAAAACGGAATCTTTTGTCTCTTGATGGAAAGTATCTGTGAAGAAAAAAAAAACTAGTTGTTGGTCTTAACTTTGTGGAGTGAAGACACTGGGAGAAACTCTCCTGGTTTATAGGTGTTACAAGGTAGTGCTGCCGACTGGGAGGAAGCTCGAAGTGTGGAAACAGCATGGTCTTCCTGCTTTCCTCTGGGCTCCCATGTGCAATTGAGCTGGGCCTGTATCCCAGAAGATGAGCTCTAATTTTTGAGCCAACTTTCTTAAATTCCCTGTACTGTACCACTATTTTTTATTACCAATCTATAGCTTTTATAAACATCTTTCAAAATTTTCCAGCGTATTTTAGCATTCAGCATTGCTAAACTAAAATGCTTGTGGACTGGTCATGAGAAAGATACCATCAGAATAAGTTCAGGTGGGCAGAGATGGAGACCACTCATCTTCAGCCACCCAGAGGACCCTGTGCATATGTTCTGGCCACTATGGTATTATGATTAACAGCTTGACATTGTGTCGGGAGCCTGACACGGTAAAATCCTGGATCAGCCACATACTAGCTGAGTGTCCTTGGACAAGTTATTTAACTGCTGTGTTCCTGTATTTGGGGTAAATAATAGCACCTGTTGTGGACGCAATGTGTGTGTCCCCTCCCCTGACAAAGTCATGTGGAAGCTTGCTGCCCACTGTGATGGCATTTGGAGGTGGGGCCTTTGGCAGGTGATGAGAAGTAGAATGCCCTTTAGAGTCATGAGAGAGCTTGCTTCCCTGCTCACTCTGCGCTCTGCTATGTGTGAAGACAATGAGAGGCCCACAGTTTGCAACCCAGAAGAGAGCCCTCACCAGGACATAACCATGTTGGCACCAAATCTCAGACGTCCAGCCTTCAGAATTGCAGGAAATAAATTCCTGTTCTTTAAAAGTCACCCCGGTCTATGGTAATTCCTTATAGCCTCTAGAACCAACCAAGGCAGCACCTAACTCATAGAGCTGCGAAAGGTTAAATGAATGTAATACATGTAAAGTACTTGAAACTGTGCATCATACATAATGACCAAATTCATGTCTATTAGTATTACTTTCTTAAGGAAAATAGCATTTTCTTACAAGAGACATTACATATACCCGCCTCTGATTCTTCAGAATGAAGGAATAACATCAAGCACCTTCCTTGCATGAGGGACAGGGCTACCAGTAGCCCAGAAGTCAAATCTACCAGTAATGTCTTCAGGTGGACCTAACCCACCCGAGGGCTATGCTGGCAGCACCTGACTCTCCTCTGAGATGAGCCATGCTCAGGTCTGCATGTGGTGGGCTGTGACTCGGGGCTCTGGAGTTTGCCTCTCCATTTCTTCCTATTGCTAACAGGGATAACCTGTTTCTGAAGGGTAAGAAGTCTTCCAGAGGGTGGAGAAAGGGTCAGCAGGCAGTGTGGCTGGTGGTGGTGGTTTGGTTGCAGTACACTGGGGATAAGGCCACTCAACCGAAAGAAGAGAAATCCTACAAATATAATCCAAGTTCCAAGTTGTAGGGCAATACATGTTCCAAGTAGCCATCTTATGAGAAATCATGAGAGCCCAGTTTAATTGGGGGTGGTCCGCATATGGCGATGACATCCATGACAGGAATGTGGTCCATGGGCATCTGTTGGCTGCGTGCTGGGTGGCAGGGGGATGGAGGCTTTCACAGTCTCTCCACTTCTGTTGCTGGCCTCCCATGACCTCCATATCCCAGTCAGGGCTAGAGTATTTATCTTGATTGTTAAAAATGCAAGTTCTTTCCTGGCAGTTCCTGGTCACAGGCTGGAAATATTCCCGCTTGGTCACTTGACCCCTGTCAATGCCAGCCCAAGCCCCTTCCCACACAGATCCCTCATCATGAACTTCCCTTTGCCTAGGCACTCAGCCAATGGGGCCAACTCTCTTAGCAGCTCTTACCTTTAAAGATTTGTGTCAGTTGCATGTGAAAACCCAGGGGTCTACATGCTTCATCTTTTCCAAGGGATTGTTTTCAGTGCCTGGATTTCTACCAAATGCTGAGTCTAACCCTAAGCACCATAGTTTTGGGCTTCCAACATCTTGGTCAGGGTTCCCAGGTGGGTCTTCTTCTGGCCCTCTGTTGTGTTCAGTCCAGTATCAGCAGAGGGTATTAGTATGACTACAACTCAATTGCACATTAATTTCATCCAAGGGTGGGATGGGCTCTGAAACCGCACTGTAATGGCAGGGATAAGAAACCACATTGTTGCTTCCAATCCACAGCCCTTAGTTCTGCTGCCTCCTGCTGCTGTGCCTCTGAGTTTATACCTCTTTCCTCACTCATTCTGAGGTTATTGCTGCTTACTCAACAGGGGAGAAGGGAAATACTGATATTTATGCTATAATACACTTTCAAGGCCGAAAACTGTAATTGTAGGCTTTACAGATGGTATTTTCTTAGTGAGCCTTTAAATAGAGAGGGTACCTGTGAGCTAGGAGGATTCTCTGTGAAATGGATGAAGGATATTGAAAGGGAAGGGATTCAATGGCTGTTGAAGAGATAAAATTCTTCATGGTTACTCTTCCTTCCTAAACACTTTCACATTCTATTGTATTTACTGTGTAGTAGAGTTTGCCAATTGTAGAAGAACAATGATCTAAAAAACAATGCACATTGTATATTCAGATGTCAAATTTTACATGAAAAAAATACATCAAGACCATATGGTCTAGCCAAGACTAGACCAAGTCAACTTCACCTCCAGTGAATTGCCATCTCAAGGTACTTGGACAGAAATCCTCTCTCTGCTAAGAGTTTGGGTGCTTCTATGGATTTCCAGAGTTAGTTGAAAGGTTCTGTTTATGAGAAACATGTAAAGCAATTCCTGCAGGGAATGCTGCGTTTCCTGAAGAATTAAAAAATTGTTTTAAATAGAGACAGAAATTGAGAGTAGGCTGCCAACATCTCAGGAGCCCAGCAGCTCAGCAGCCCACGGCCAGGGATTTGCAAGAAGAGAATTTTCATCTATGGGCAGCTTGGGAGATTCGCAGTTTGACTTTTCTGAAAGAATTACTGCCTGAAGCAAGCAGCTCTATTCTCATCTGTCTTCCTGTTTATGTTCTTCTTTACCCTTGGCCTTTCTGAGCCAGATCTGTGTCAGGGGCCTAGAGATTTCTCTTTACAGCTATTGATTTGGGTCTTGAAAAACCCACGTACAGCAGAAAAACCTACCTGTAATGATTTCAGGTGAACCCAATCCCCCTGAGGGCTGTGCTGGCAGCACGTGGCTCTCCTCTGAGGTGAGCCATGCTTGGGTCTGCATGTTGTGGGCTGTGACTCGGGGCTCTGGAGTTTGCCTCTCCCTTTCTTCCTGTTACTAACAGGGAAAACCTGTTTCTGAAGGGTAAGAAGTCCTTCCAGAGGGTGGCTCATGAGAGGACCTGAGGGAGTTTGAAGAGAAAGGGGTGGAGGGATTGTGCAGTGTTGCAAAGAAACCCAGGATGCAGACTTATTGATGGAAGGCCGTGTGAAGTCCGGGGACCAAATGCCCTATATTTATCATCAATTAGCTGGAATCTCAGACTAGACCTCTGAAACCCAGCAAGCCAATGGCATTCAAATCCCTTTAGACCCCTCCGTAGGTAAAAGGAAATTGCATTTTCTTACCACCTTTCCGACAAACAGGATCCAGAATGTGGGAAGATTAAGCAACGAAGGAGGCTACACTTTGTGGTGTCGAAATGCTTGCAACACGATGGGACACCCAGCTGTAGGAGAGTGTTTATGGAGCTTTAGGATATCAGAGCTTTCACTTTAAAGGAAACAAGGATCTCTGTCACTCCAAATTCTTACCTCAGGATTGCTTGAACAACACATTCACAGACACAGATGTGGCCATTACATTTGCTCCAGTTAAGACGGGCAGAACTGCCCAGCAAATGATACATCTCCAGCAGCCACTGCCAAGGTCCAGTGCTGCCATTGTGTGCACTTGGAATGGCAGCCACTCCATAGCTACTGCTTGTTATTACAGCACCGCAATACTTAGGAAATTCTCCTGAGTGTATAGACAAATGCCATACTTCTAGGTATGAGTGTCATATTATGGAGACCTGTATTAATAAATATGACTGTCCTAGTAAACATTCTCTCTAAAACATTGTCTTTTGATGACAAAAGAAATGCCTCACTTGGTGGTTCTTTGCATTCATGCACTTCCTGGTGGGTGTCCTTCATTAGAGGAAAGTAATCTTGGGTCTTCCAGGGTAATTAATGTCTCTGGTTCACATGCTCTGCTCTTCTTTCTACATGTGACTTACGGTAAGGGCATAACAAATGTTTATTGAACCAAGTATGAACATTGGAGGAGAATGTTGTTTCCCTTGACAGTCTTTGTTTTTAAAGCTTTTAATAGTTATTTTATAAATTAAACATATTTTTCTGGCCAGGTGTGGTGGTCCATGCCTGTAATCCCAGCACTTTGGGAGGCTGAGGTGGGCAGATCATGAGATCAGGAGATCGAGACCCTCCTGGCTAATACGGTGAAACCCTGTCTCTACTAAAAATACAAAAAATTAGCCAGGTGTGGTGGCAGGCACCTCTAGTCCCAGCTATTCAGGAGGCTGAGGCAGGGGAATTACTTGAACCCGGGAGGCAGAGGTTGCAGTGACCCAAGATCGTGAAGCATTTGTTGTGAATTGCCAGACAGACAAGTTTTCAGGACAGCCTTTGAGGCAATAGAAGGTCTGTTGTAATAGTCTGTGGATGGAGCCCACCCAGCCCACCAAATCAGAGAGCAATCAAGGAATCATTGGGAGTGGTGGATCCATCCTATCAGTGAGAGATGTATGCCATTTTCCATAGTTTAAAAAGTGTTGTTGTAGTTTTAGATATTTTATAGTAGGGTTTTAATATTAATTTCTACTTTTCTTATTGAAAGTAGTAGAAACAACAACAAAAAGTCTATTAACTAAGTGTAGTGTGGGAATCCTCTCTCCTGGAACTGGGTTTACCATCTTATCATTGGTTTCTGTGGATAGTCTCTGCCACCCCACACTGCTCATGTCTTCCAGAATACTCTTCAAACTGGGTGCAGCCAGTTGGTTGGTACTTTTCTATCTACAGGACTTGGTGGTGTAACATTTCTGGCTCTTTCCAGATGCTCTCTGCTGGAGGGGCTGAGCTTTAAGGTCCAGTTTCAGCTTATATGGCTTTGACACTTCAAGGATTTGGGGTTATCAATGGTTTGGCTATATTGGTGGCCTAGTCAAAAGGTCAGCACCCCTGAAAGAGATGAGTGCCCGTGAGACACCACGTCCCTAGGAACCACATTTTTTTCATAAGCACAGCAAGTCCAGTGAAGAATACAGTCACCTTTCCCTCGTCAGCAGTCCTTGACACCTGCTGCCACAAGACCCTTCTCTCTCAAGCTCTCCCGTGCTGCAAAGGATTCCTGAGCACAGATAAAGAAAACAAAATTCTCCAGAAATGCAACAACACCTCTTAACCATGGAGAAAGGAGGTTCTTGGGCAAAGACCTTGGCATCATACTCAAATTGCCAGACACTTTCAGCCTATGTTTTCCATGTAAAGGTGTATGAAAGGCCTGGGTCACTTTGTGAAGGTGCTGAGCAGTTGAGGAAGAGGACATCGCCTGAGTATTGCATGCACTCACTGGGGTTTTCCCTCCCTCACTTTTTCTTTTGTTCTCCCACTCTCTCCTTCCCACATGTAGGTTATTAGTAAATGACAGCATCTTTATGGGAGGCCAAGGTGGGCGGATCACGAGGTCAGGAGTTTGAGACCAGCCTGACCCACATGGTGAAACCCTGTTTACTAAAAATACAAAAATTAGCCAGGCGTGGTGGCATGCGCCTGTAATCCCAGCTACTCAGGAGGCTGAGGCAGGACAATTGCTTGAATCTGAGAGGCAGAGGTTGCAGTGAGCCGAGATTGCACCACAGCACTCCAGAGAGAGACTCTGTCTCAAAAAAAAAAAAAAGTTTGGGTCCATGTTCACATTTTGAGAGACTTTTAAGCTGTATTAGTCTATTCTCACGCTTCTAATAAAGACAAATCCAAGACTGGGTAATTTATAAAGGAAGAAGATTTTATTGACTCACAGTGCCGCAGAACTGGGAAGGCCTCAGGAAACTTGCAATCATGGTGGAAGGGGAAACAAACACATCCTTCTTCACATGGTGGCAGCAAGGAGAAGTGCAGAGTGACGGGGGTGAGAGCCCCTTATAAAACCATCAGATCTCATGAGAACTCACCATCATGAGAACAGCATGGAGGAAACCACCCCCATGATTCAATTACCTCCCACTGGGTCCCTCCCACAACATGTGGGGATTATAGGAACTACAGTTCAAGATGAGATTTGGGTGGGGACACACCCAAACCATATCAGGAGTAAAGTTCTGAAATGGTAAATTTAAGGAAAACACATAAAGTACTGGTTTTCACAATAAAGTGACACTGTTTTAAAGCCTAGGCTGGTGTGCCTGAAGGCCTTCCTGGGAGATGCAGTCAGGGATTCTAGCTCTACAGTAGTCTAGTATACAAAGACACTGCAGAAACAAATGCACAGGAATGTGCCATCAGCTAAATCAGCAATGTAGCTCAACCAGATTGTGGGAAACACCTAGTAATGCTAGAGGCACCAACTCCAATCCTGAACCAACAGGGTCTATTACCCAGAGTTCCTATGGAGTTCCATGGTGGAGAGACCTCTACAGACCCAGAAACTCTTCTCATTAGGCAACAGTGAAGAGCTAGGCTAAGCAAACCACCTTTACCCTTCATCAGCCTGCCCACCCCTTCATCAGCCTGCCCACCAGAGCAGTCATTTCGTGATGAACACCTTGGCAGGTTTCTTGACTTGCTGTTCTCTAACACTTTCCTGCTTGCTTCTTTGCCTTTTCAGTGGTCTGTTTGAGCTCCTTGAAGGAAGGGGTCAACACTTAAAATTCCTTTATTGCTCTCATTGTATGTAATATGGTGTCTTTTCTAATGCTCAATTATTATTTCTCAAATCTATAGAAAGAGAATTAAAACATGAGTGTGATCACCCAGTCCATATCCATATGCGAGACTCACCGTATGACCCGGTTCAACACCATTGCATTGCAGAAAACACAGTCACTGACTTTATACCATCTCATTGCATATCCACCTGTGACTTTACCTGATTCTGAGAAAGACATTTAAAAAGCATGTTTTAACATTAAGACCTGCTTTGGGAGAAAAATATATATATAACTTTTCTTTCTGGCATAATGCATGTGACAAATGGAGAATTTTATGGCCAAAGGAATATATTCAATGCAAATGTAACAAGTGAGAATGTCCTCTAATTGATTTATTTTTATTCAGTTTTTCCTTTTTATTCATATTCATAATCATTAACTCTGCTACCAAAGGCAATGCTACAGGTCAGTTGTCAAGTCTCGAGGATGCTGGAAGTCTTGGAAACTTTTCCAAACTCATCAACATTGTGATTTTTGCAGTTCTTACTCAGCAAGGAATTTATAGTCATTGCCTAAACAAGACCGAGGTCATAAAAAAATATATCTTTAACTGTATTCTTGGGGGCAAGCAGTCCTCTCACTGAGGCAGGGCTTCTTCAAACCTCAAGTTTATTACATGTTTGTCCTGCTCCCCTCCCTTGAAAAGCTCCCCAGCGTCAATCATGTCCTTTGCTCCTGGCAGCATGAATCAATCTTCTGGACACATGGGTGACCCAGTGTCCCTGATCCCCCATCCCAGTGCACAGATGCCATATGCATTCCTAGCTTCTTTCGTTGGAAATGCCCTGGAGGAAACACTGGAAATGGCCTGGAGGAAACACAAGTGTCCCAGGGAAGGATGGCCTTGGTGCTGAGTGGGTTTCAAGTACAGAGGTCAAATCTCTATTTTTCCCACAAAGTATCATGAAAGAAAACCTCCTGCAGCAAGTTTTTGTGTTCTTCCTTTGCCACAGTTATGTTTCAGAGTTAAGAAAGGCAAGGGTCAGAAATTGGGACAGAGGATCAGGCAGTGAGAACCACCGGTGACCAGGCTGAGGATTCCAGCCTGCCAGAGCCTCTGGCAGCTGCTGCTCCTGCCCCTCAAGGTTCACAAGACAACAAACACGAAAGCATCAGCCCGGGTCAGAGCCTGCCGTCAGCTCTGGGGTTATGCCAGTAAGATGATCCCTGGCTTCAAGATATTGGATGCAGGTGTCCTCAGTAACCCTTTTGCTAGAGGTGTTCAATGAAATAGGAACATGCAGTTCTACATTTTCTGTGATCCTTAGTTTATATAAAATTTCCCATGGAAAAACTTGTAATGGTTAAATAGAAAAGGTATGTATCATTGGCAAATGGACTAGAAATCATATGTATTGGATACAGTTGAAGTGGTTACAGCTATGTGAACTAAAGAACCTATGTCACAACTGCCTACAAGTATTTTAAATGCTGTGTGGAAAAATAATTAATTGATAGATATACAAACAGAACTTTTCAACACTTGGAAGTTTACAAGTCATATTCTTCTATATTAATTAATTTTATCCTCTGAATGATACTGTGGGTTTCTAATTATTATCCCCTCACTTTACAGAATAGAAAACCAAAATGCAGTCACTTGTCCAATTGCCCAGCCAATAGCTGCTGAAAATGAACTGTGTATAGTCCAACACATGCACAATCACTTCTATTTCATTTTATTTCATTTTACTTTAAGTTCAGGATACATGTGCAGAACGTGGAGGATTTTTACATAGGTGTACGTGGGCCATGGTGGTTTGCTGCATCTATCAACCCATCATCTAGGTATTAAGCCCCACATGTATTAGGTATTTGTCCTAATGCTCTCCCTCCCCTTGCCCCCCCACCCCCTGATAGGCCCTGGTGTGTGTTGTTCCCCTCCCTGTGTCTATGTGTTCTCATTGTTCAACTACGATTTATGAGTGAGAACATGTGGTGTTTGGTTTTCTGTTCCTGTGTTAGTTTGCTGAGGATGATGGCTTCCAGCTTCATCCATGTCCCTGTAAAGGACATGACCTCATTCTTTTTCATGGCTGCATAGTATTCCATGGTGTATATGCACCACATTTTCTTTATCCATTCTATCATTGATGGGCATTTGGGTTGGTTCCATGTCTTTGCTATTGTAAATACTGCTGCAATAAACATACGTGTGCATGTGTCTTTATAGTAGAATGATTTATATTCCTTTGGGTATATATCCAGTAATAAGATTGCTGGGTCAAATGGTATTTCTGGTTCTAGATCCTTGAGGAATTGTCACACTGTCTTCCACAATGGTTTAGCTAATTTACATTCCCACCAACTGTGTAAAAGCATTTCTATTTCTCCACAGCCTCTCCAGTATCTGTTGTTTCTTGACTTTTTAATAATCGCCATTCTGACTGGCATGAGATGTTTATCTCATTGTGGTTTTGATTTGCATTTCTCTAGTGATCAGTGATGATGAGCTTTTTTTCATATGTTTGTTGGCTGCATAAATGTCTTCTTTTGAGAAGTGTCTGTTCATATCCTTTGCCCACTGGGAAAACTGGCTAGCCATATGCAGAAAACTGAAACCAGACCCCTGCCTTACACCTTATATGAGAATTAACTCAAGATGGATTAAAGACTGAAATGTAAAACCCCAAACCATAAAAACCCTAGAAGAAAACTTAGGCAATACCATTTAGTACAAAGGCGTGGGCCAAGACTTTATGACGAAAACACCAAAAGCAACTGCAACAAAAGCCAAAATTGACAAATGAGATCTAATTAAACTAAAGAGCTTTGTACAACAAAAGAAACTATCATCAGAGTGAACAGGCAACCTACAGAATGGGAGAAAATTTTTGCAATCTACCTGTCTGACAAAGGTCTAATGTCTAGAATCTACAAGGAACTTAAACAAATTTACAAGAAATAAAACAAGCAACCCCATCAAGAAGTGGGCAGAGGATATGAACAATCACTTCTAATAAAAAACCAACAACCATCTTTTCACTGAGAAAAGAGAAATTATATTATTTTGGGTGATGCCGGAAAATATAACAGGTTTGGAAGGGTGGTGACAAGAGTTCCCTAAAGAAGGCTCCAACACTGGAAAGGACTCTCTGATAAAGAAACAAGCCCCTCCACCCAGCAGCCCACTCCAGTTCCCATGAATAATTGTACACCTGGGCAGAGTGATTGAGAGGTGGATGTATTAGTTTCCTATTGCTTCCATAACTAACTAATCACCACAAACAGTGGCTTAAAACAACACACATTTTTTATATTGCAGTTATGGAGGTCAATAGGCTGAAATGGGTTGGAATGGAATCAAATTGACATATCAGCAGGGTTACGTTCCTTTAGGAAGCTCCAGGAGAGAATCTGTTCTCTTGCCTCTTCAAGCCTCTCAAGGTGGCCCTCCATCTTCAAAGCCAAATTACACCATCTCTCTGACCCTTCTTCTGGTGTCTTCAGGCACTCTCTGACCAGCCAGGAAAGGTTTCCTGCTTTCAAGGACCGTTGTGATGACACTGGGCACACACAGATAATCCGGGATCATCTCCCCATCACCAGATCCTTAACTCAAACACATTTACAAAGTCCATTTGCCATGTAAAGTCACATAGTCACAGGCTTCAGGGATTAGGATGCAGATGCCTTGGGTCTGCAATCCCTTGCCACAGAAGGGATTTCCAAGCCTCATTTTAAAAGCATTAATTGTGGTTAACCAGTAAATTCTTTTCCTCTTTGGTGTTCTTGAAGAATTCTCTTGACTTGTGTTTCTTGTCTACCAGGTCATGTTTACTTCAGGGAGAAAGTTCCCCATGCTCCTGCAGCTCTGCCATGGTTCCGAGAGTCCCAGGGCATGAGACACAAAGGGCATTTCACTCAGGGGCACATGCTTTCTGCGTGAGGGCAGCTGCTGCCCTCCTGAGTAAGCACACATGGAGGATCTGCCCAATGCCCAAGCAAAACCTGCTCTTTGCTTGTCCTCCTGGGCCATCTCTATCTCTACAAAACCAAGGATGTCTCCCCCAAGAGAGACAGCCCCACTCTGAAAGCCCTCACAGACTCAGAGTTCCCTGTGCTCATGCCAGCTCTTTGTCCTTCCTCCCCATCGAAGCCGTTGCCCTCACTTGGTAGTTTGGAAGAGACAGCGGAGACAGGCATCCTCCTTCTGCTCCCTAGGTGGAAGATGTTTTCACATCTTTCCCAATTTTCCTGTCTCTAATAAGTTTATATATTTCTTCATACTTTGTCCTATTTCTAGGTCTGTTTTGAGTCCTACCTTTCTTTTTGACCATTTGACAAAGAAAAGGCTGAAATTTGTGAAATATAATGTAGAGTTAACCTTATCCATAGATCACGCTTGGGGAAGGAGTTCTTTTTATATTTCCAGTATCAGAGGATTTTATGGTACCACCTTTAACTCTCCCTAAAAGCGGTAAGCATTTATATAATTGGGGTTTCAGAGAGTGAATTAATTTTTCTCACATGGCAAAGCTTTTATGCCCAATATGAATTTTAATAACCAATATGATATTTATAGTATTTACTTAAAATACAACTGTCTGAACATTAGATCATTTGAATGTTACTTTATTCTTCAGAGACATTCATTGGAAATCATTCATTGTCTGAGGATGTACTTTATTTTAATTATTCTAATAATGGCATAAGTTGTCCACTTACTCATAGAATAGCCAACTGACTCCAAGGAGCAGTGAGAATATCACAAAAGGCACACTGGTCTAGCCAGAGACCTGTCCAGCTCTGCTGCCGCACTCAGGAACTGGCTGGTGATCTGTGATGGAGCAAAGCAGTCCCAGAGCTGGCCAGGCTCTCTGCTTGGCTCTGCCACCCCGTGTTGACCTGTGCGCTCTTGAATCCTGTGGTCAGAATTTTCACTAATCATTGTCTCTACATTCTCAACAGGTAATATACAAAAATCAAGTCCAAACCATTGTTAGGGCAATGGTATATTTAAAACACATCCCAAAACACTGTTGTCTAAGCAGTGAAATGGTTCTGTATGTTTTAGCTCAAAACGGAGTAGAATTATCTTCTAACCAATTATTGATTAATAATACTAGTTCACACTACTAGTACTTAACTGCAATTTTGAAATCCTTAAAGCTCTGAAAGCTCAAAGCTGTTTATAAATTCGGCACCAAAACTCATCAGCCAGCAAAGCCTGATATGAACAAATGGAAATCTATTTATAGGTTTTATTTATTCCACTTCTGGATATTGATGTATTTCACTGCAGAACTATTGATGTGTTGGATTGCATGGTGTTCTCTTAGATGTTGCTAGGTGTGATATACATGGTTATAGGTGCCATATTACTTTTTTAAGTCCAACATTTTCTAATTTCCAAATATATCTGGCTATAGGAGATTTGGACAAGGCATCGTGGGCTTATAGTTGATGTTAATACTTTATATTACAAGATCGAGTTACCTTCAAGGTTACATTTAACTGCTATCTACATGCTACCAAAAGAAACACTCAATATAATGAATATATCCATAAAATGTAAAAATAGCTGTTAGCAATTTTTAGACATGAATACTGCCCAACTACATTTTTTCATTTTCAAACAGTTGGGTGGAAACCACTTTAATATGCAGTACAGAAAATTCTCCTTGTTCAGTTGAATAAAATTCATTGAATATGTATTGTGTACATCCTTCTTTGCAATGCCCTGTGATAGCTACTGTTGGAAAAACAAAACCATCGACTATACACACACCGGAAAAATATTATTATTACCTTCCATGAAAACTTTTACATAAGTCTTAAAACTGTAACTTCCACATATTTCTGAATCTATTCAGTCTTCCTTGTCTCAGTTCTCAGTCATCCTTAATAGTGATATTATATTATTCCCTCATTAAACATGTTAATAAAGCTCATTAAGGTTTTGGAAACTTTTACAAAGGTTATTCCTGTTTCTGTTAAACTTATCTTTCATTCTGTTTCCTGAAGCTTTTGTTATAGTTATGTAAAAGCTTGAAAAAACTTCTTGAGAAGTTTAAATTAGGGATTTATTTTGAACTTGAAACTTATTGCCCCAATGTTTATCTGAATTTCTTTGATCTAACATCAGACTGAATTTGTAAGGAGAAGCAACAGACTTCTCTTTACAAATATTGCTTCTGGTAGGATCAGAAGTTCAATGAAAATAGAGTTTTCTCAAGGGATTTAGAAAAGATTTTTTTCCCAGGCTAGGTTGGAAAACTATATGAAATCAAAAGGAGGGAAAACATGTTGTTTGAACCTTTCAGAAACTCTAAGGAGAATGCATTTGGCTCAAAACCTAAGTCAAAGTTCTGGAAAACAAAATCAAATAATGAATTTTTTAAAAACGTGAATAGGTATATTTATCAGGAATGCCTGTTTTGTTTAACTTTTGATTAAAAATAAGTTTTCATGATTTCAAAAGCTGTATTATGCCTATGTAAAGTTAGAAAACAAAGATTAACAAGATTGAGAGAGTGGTGTATTCTACCACCCAGATGATGGCATGGCCCACCCCCAGCAGATGTGCCTCCAGACCCTCTTTTTTGCATATATACACACAACATTATGGCTTTACCAAAATGAATTCACACTGTAAATGATATTTTAAAGCTAACAATGTGTATCATTTTATGTCAAAAATTTATCTTATGCAACAAATTTCCTTCATTGTCTGAAGAGTTTTCTCCACTCCCTTTTGTCCAAATCAGGATCCAAATCCATGACAAATCAATGGATTTGGTGGTGGTGGCCTTTATGTTTCTCTTCACTTGGCACAATCCACCTCCTGCCCCTATTTCTTTATTCATATCACAAAATTATTAAAAAACAAAATTCACAAGCTGATTGTCCTGGGGAAAACATTCAACCTTCTGGATGTGTCTGGTTATGTCCCTGTAATCTTTCTCAGTTTAATCCTCTGGGTCCTGTAGTTCCTACAAATTGGCAGCTAGATTTGCAAGCTGGAAGTCACACAAAATATTTTTTGCCAGCATTCATTCTCTGTGATGTTGTGTAATTCATGTTGCATCTCATCAGGAAGCATGACATCTGGTTGACTGATGGTTAGTGATGGAAAATCAACAGCTGAATTAGGGTCATGATAATTTACCCCTCCACGTACAATTAGAATTTTCACCTCACTTATTGGAAATAGTCTATGTGGAATTACTTTAGCTCTATGCAAATACTCAGTTCCCCAAGAATGCAATGGAACAGTTTTAATATCACTTAATAACCTTTGTCCTAGGTGGTGAAAAAATGATTTTTCTAGTTCTATCTTATGATTAATTTTGACCATTATTAGCTGCTTTCTCACATAATAAAGAGCTTTCTTCACCACTCAAAGTTATTTGGTCACCTTCCCTATAGTTTCTACTGGAAGAGCCAAATAAAGACACCAATTTTAAACAAGATAGCGTGAGTTTTAGTTATTTTTTTCCTGGCATTCCCTTTTCTGAGTTCAATGAACCTGTGTATTTCATTGATTAAATGCATTCCCACTGCTAAAGCAGAATGCCTGTTTTCTTTTGGTGTGTTTTTGTTAGTCTTTACATTCTTTCTTGTTCTATAGCACCTTGTACCTTCTGGTATTCCTTATACCATCATTTCTCCAGGAAGCCGGTGATTTACTCATAAGTAACTGAAGGAGGTTAGAATTAGACTCCCAAGAGCTTTGATTAGATGGCTAAATCAATAGAAAGTTAAAAGCCATTTCTGTCGATTTCTGTTGATTAAGGAGACCTCAGGTGTAAAAGGTTAAACCACGATTTAAAATGTAAAGTACATCATTCAGAGTAATCTCTTCATATTTGTACATGGAAAACACGGACAAAAATTAATCAAATAATTTTAGGGTTTTCCCCCCAGAATTATAAAAATTTGCTTAAGTCAATTTTAGACATGCAGCCAGATCTGATTTAAGCTTAGTTCCTGACTTCCTCTCATTGGAAAACTGAATCTAGACTCCCACAACTAAATGAAGCCCATCTGCTACTAACAACATTCCTATAATATTTGAATTGATTTAATCAGAGTCAACTGGGTGATGGTACAGCCAGCTGGACGTGGGACACACAAGAAGAAGGGTACTCTCTGCGAGAAGGAATTGTCCATTAGGAAGGAATTAGCAGAACAGTTCCTCCTGTCCCACAAGCTTTCCAATCCTGGCAGCAGATCTCGTGCAATATTTGGGACACACACTAAAAAAAATTGTTTTTTATCTGGAATTAAAATTTAACTGGGCATCTTATATTTGATTTGGCAGCCTTGTTCTCAAAGCCAGTCCTTCCATGCAGGGGGGGAGAAAGGTCTTCTATCACTGTCCCTTGTGTTATCTGCCACAAGCTTGCTGCCTTTAGGAACCTTTGCCTGTCTGCTGCTGGAGGCTCCATTACTCACTTGCTATGACTCCTGCTGGGTTTCAGTTGGAATCAAGGTCTTACGTTGGCCTTCACGCCCTACCTTTTCTTCCTACCTTGAGCTGATAATCCAGTCTCAGATCTTATGTCCATAAATACCTGACCCAAACACAACCAAACCTTACTCATTTTTGTGTTCATACATCCTACTTTTTCATGATCCTGAGTTCTGCCTAGACTGTTCATGCTAGCCTTCCATATTCTGATGCACACTTCTAATGCCCACACCCACAATTTGATAACTTAGATGACCTTTACACAGGACAAGAACCCTGACTTGGCATTAAGAGGGCTTTACTTTATGTTATGGTTATTTCAGAAATGGTGATGGATTTTTTTTTTTTTTGATGGAGTCTCGCTCTGTCGCCAGGCTGGAGTGCAATGGCTTGATCTCAGCTCACTGCAATCTCCGCCTCCTGGGTTTAAGTGATTATCCTGCCTCAGCCTACTGAGTAGCTGGGACTACAGGTGCATGACACCACGCCCAGCTAATTTTTGTATTTTTAGCAGAGACAGGGTTTCACCATGTTGGCCAGGATGGTCTGGATCTCTTGACCTCATGATCTGCTGGCCTGGGCTTCCCAAAGTGCTGGGATTACAGGGTGATGGATTTTATTGTATGTATGTCTTGTGCCTTACGGCAAGGGATTCTCATTGTTGACAATATTGCAAGGATTTTTTTTTAAAGAAATAATCGGTTAAATCATCTTTATTCAAAGCGAAATGGACTATGTGGGTGTGACATTTGGCCTATTGACATTATAGCTGAGCTATCTTGATCCTGGACACACATTAGAATTACTCAGGGAGGTTTTGATTCTTGCCATTTCTCTTAAAGATCATTGCCTTGGCCTAACCTCTAGAGGATCTGATTCAGTTGATCTCGGGTTTGACCCAGGTAATCATATATTTCAAAGTTTCCCTTGTCATTTAAATGTGTGTCACAAAGAATCGAAAACATAAAACTAAACACAAATGGGATCAAAGTATCACAGTAAAAACTTACTAAATACCTACTTTGCCCCAGTGGAAGAAGCTAACTCTGAGGGGATGGAGAGTTCTTGGTAAGATTTTTGGATAATAGCACTCGAAGAGAAAAGAAGGGGATTCTAGGCAGATGAAAGGGCAAGCAAAGGGCCACTAGTGAAGGAATAGACAACATGTTCTAGAAATAAAAGGTTAAATTGGTCTTGCAAGAGGGACGCCTAGCAAGACAGACACCTGTGTTTGGGCATGAGATTCTTACATCATCCTACCAGACTTCCCCAAACAGTTTATGGAATCAACACTGAAGCATTAAATTCCATGAAATGCACCTAGAATATACAATGTGCATTGCTCAAAGGTATAATAAAATGACCAGGCTCTCTGTCTTTCAAAATAAAAAAAAAAAATACCAGAGAAGACGCGTATTAGGATATTGACAAGCATCCAGGAAACAGCAGCAATAGATATGGCTGAATCATTGAAGGATGAGAAGAGAACACCAGCCTGCATATAAAAATGATTCCAATTGGATTTTGTGCTCAAATTGGATAGTATATTTAGTTCCAGCCTCCTGGATAATGCAACTTTATAATAGAATTATTCCCATACAGCTGTGCTTGTATGCACGTGTAGACACAATAAAACTTCTCAACCTCATCCACATGTCCTAAAACTGTTATGTCTATTATGGTTCAAATGTGGCCCCCAAAATTCATGGGTGGAAACTTAATCTCCAACGCAACAGTGTTGAGAAGTGGGATCTTTAACAGGTGAGGTTGTGAGGATTCTGCCTTTATGAATGGATTAATGTCTTTATCGTGAGAGTGGGTTTGTTGTAAAAGTGAGTTTGGCCGTCTCTTGCTTGATTGTGCTTGCCCTCTCTTGGCTTTCTGTCTTTCACCATGGAATGATGCAGCACAAAGCTTCTAGCCAGATGCCAGTGCCATGCTCTTACGTCTCTCGGCCTCCAGAATCATAGGTCAAATAAATGTGTTGATTATAAATTACCTAGTATGTGGTACTGTGTAACAGCAGCATGAAATGAACGAAAACACTCTCTGTAGTTCACTCCAACCCTCTCTTACCTCTAGTTGAACAATTATGAGCATTTCTTTCTGAATATTTTAAAGAAACCTAAGAACATAATGATGGAAATTATTGTAATCATTGTTTTCATCTCGAATAAAGAGATGAAGACAAATCTCTCTGGAAATTTCTTCCTAGACAAAAATGACTTAAGATGAATGTAGATTTCTCCTCCTTTCTCTTTGTATCATTATGTCATCATCATGATCACCATCATCTTTAAGATTTTCAATAAACAAAGAAGAAACTCATCATTATTGCTTTCTGGAAGGTCCTAATGAAGAGCAATGTGCCTTCACCCTGTACACACTTAGAGGCCACATGGAGCTTCTCCTCACTTTTTTTTTTTTGAGACAAAGTCTTGCTCTGTCGCCCAGGCTGGAGTACAGTGGCGCAATCTCGGCTCACTGCAATCTCTGCCTCCAGGGTTCAAGCAATTCTCCTGCCAAGTAACTGGGATTACAGGTGCCTACCACCATGCCTGGCTAATTTTTGTATTTTTAATAAGACGGGGTTTCACCATGTTGGCCAGGCTGGTCTTGAACTCCGGACCTCAGGTGATCCACCCACCTCAGCCTCCCAAAGTGCTGGGATTACAGGTGTGAACCACCATGCCTGGCCCCTCCTCACTTTTTTAATGAAAGTTGATGATTCTTGGAAACAAAAAGATTCACAGTGCTCTCCGGGGAGAGGGCTCTGTAGAGGGAGATGGGACGGTAGGTGTGGCTAGGTTGAATTCATAGAGAATAAAGTGTGAGGAAATGGCAGGGATACAACTATTCACCTTGCCTCCTTCCCTATGGGCTCACTTCTAAAGGGACATAAAAGCTTAGGAAAAATCCTTTGTCCCAAGAATCTTAGAGCTCATCCATCTCATAGATAGAAAGATTGATAAAACACATAGTATAAAAAGAGGAAAATAAAGTGAACACCTTAGATGAATGTATTTCTCAGAAAAAAAAGACATAATCCGTTCTGTGAAGAGTAAGCACTCTTCCTGTAACCTGTTACTATTAATAAATTTAGCTAATTAATATTTTTTATTCCAATATTTTTTAATAAATGTCATTCACATATTACACTAAAATCAAAACCATTCATAGAAAGTTGAGGTGGAATCAGTATGAGTTGAAACTAGACTTCTGTTGCATTATACGTGAACAATTTGCCAAATTGCCAGTGAACTGTCTGGAGGCCCATTTTTTAATACATGGATGAGCTAATGTCGATGTGCAGATGTGGTAAAGGGAATGGTTCACCTTGCATTAGCCTTGACTCACCACAATAAATTTTAAATGTTACCAGAAATAGTTGTCCTCTTTTTGTAAGTGACCTACATGCCGTAACTTCAACATTTGCATGTCCAAATGCCTTGGTGGAGGGCATTCTGCTTGCCTATAAAGGTCTGTCTCTTGAGGGAAGGATGCCCTGCAAGGACAGGGAGGCAAAATTGGAACCTGATGATGTCATAAAGAGCCATCCTCAAGTGGTGATCTTGTACTTTCCCTGCAACAAGAGACCTCATAATGACAAAGTCAAATTGTGAGTGATGGATATTAATGGGAATATCTTTTGAGTTTATGTTACTCAAAGAGCCTCCTTCTTAAATCTTGACTGCATAGGAATTGTCTGCTGCCTTTCTCATGCTTCCCTATATATTAGCATATATTTTGTATCTATGTAAATCATTCATTCAATAATGTTGAATTAATCATAAATGAATAAAAGAAATGATGTAAGCTTGAAAGTGAGACATACCTGAGTGGGAATCTTGGCTGTATCTCTTTATTGTGGTAGAAATCGAAGCAAGTGGTCCAACCTCCAGAGCTTAGGTTTGTGTATTTGTAATGTGACGATAACAATTCCTGTCATACATCACAGAGTTGTGGTGTGGAGCACGTGAGCTAATACACGTGAGTTCACATTGCAGTATTGAGAGTCTGTGGTGAACACAGAATATGCTAGGACACACAGAAGAGAAAGCACTCTCCCACCCCTGGAAGAGCTCGAAGTCTTGTGAAGAAGTCACATGGGAAGCAATGCCTGTAGCATAACCCGTGTGTCCACTAACCTCCATGTGCACAAAATGAGCTACTGTGGAGGAATTTTCCACCTCTGCTCTGTCATTTACACATATTTGTTTCATTTCTGTCTCTATTTGATTGAAAGATCCTCTGTAGGAAAGTACTTATGATTTACTTGGAAATTTAATTCCCCTGACTCCTTTTTTTCTTACGAGGATGATGCTTGCATCTTTGTGGAGTGGAGTTTTTGCTAAGCACACTATAGAAAATCCTCTTAAGACACTTCTTCAGTAATTGACAGGATGGAGTATATAATGGAAAGTTCCACTAAAAATTAAAATTTTATGGAATCCTTACCAAATAAATGTCACAGAGCACTAAGCCCTACAGAAGTAAATATCTGCTGTTGACATTTCATATTTTAAGCTATTAATAGATTCCTATGGATTTAGTACCTGTATTGACAAGTTACTAAAATACTGCATCATATGAGTGATGTATTAGTCATAAGTGTGTGATCATGATGACACTGTAACCTATGAATGGCATGTTAATACCAGAAGCCCAAAATAATGATAACTGAAAGTAGTGCTGATGCCCTGCATTTTTGTCATGCTCTCACCTAGGTGAGAAGAAGGGCCAAAGGAAGAAATTGTTAAACAAAATTATGAAAGGCCATTGTTTTGCACTGAGCTCCTGCACTGGGCCCCAGTAGAAAAGACTAAACTAAAATGGAGTCACTCATGCTAAATGGCACATCATTAAATTGAAATGTTAAGGAGGCAGATAGATCCAAAACCAGACCAGTTTTTCCTGAAGAGAGGAGAGTCCAGTCTAACTGAGTCAGTCCCCTCTGCTTTAACCCTTACAGAAAAGTAACCTGGAGTAACCCAACATTAACCAACTAGCTTTTGTTCTATTGTTCTGTTTCTTTGTTCCCACCTTACAAACCCACTATTCTGCCATTGCCCAGTGGGAGCTCTCCTTCTATTTTGTAGAACATAGACTACTCCAATTCATGAATCACAAATAAAAGCCAATTAGATCTATAACTAAATTTGTTGTAATTTTGTCTTTTGGCAGTTCTGGCAACTGACAATGAGACCTAAGAGACACCGTTAGTAACTTCCAAGACCCACTGAAGAATTCAAAAGAGGCACCTTGGACCCCTTTTGAGGTTCTCTGCTTTTCTCATGGAGTTCTGAGGGGTGTAAGTTCCTCTCGGGTCAGACTCTGCTTTTCTTGCATTGAGGATTGCACCTCTAAAATCTTTTTGATGTTCAAATCCAGGGTTAGTTTGTGCTGTGAGAGAGCACATGACCTGCTAGGGTTGCAGGAGCTGAAGGTTCACTGGCAAAAGCTACAGTTTTTGTTTGTTTGTTTTTTGTTTGTTTGTTTGTTTTGACAGAGTCTTGCTCTGTCACCCACGCTGGAGTGCAGTGGCACAATCTCGGCTCACTGCAAACTCCACCTTCTGGGTTCAAGCGATTATCCTGCTTCAGCCTCCCGAGTAGCTAGGATTACAGGCACGCGCCACTATATCTGGCTAATTTTTCTGTGTTTAGTGGAGACGGGATTTCACCATGTTGGCCGGGCTGGTCTTGAACTCCTGACCTCAAGTGATCCACCCGCCTCGGCCTGCCAAAGTGCTGGGATTGCAGGCGTAAGCCAGCATGCCCAGTCCAAAAGCTACAGTTTTAGAGGTAACTGACAGCATTTGCAGTAAGTGATTACTACTGTAGGGAGTGTAAACTCAAGCTTTTGGAACATGCAGGAATTTGGGTTCTATTTGTTTTATTTCTTTTTCTTGTGTGCTTAAATGGGGGAAATGATTGGCTAAGTTGGTCAAGGGATGTCAGAGCCAAAGCCTGGTAGCTGGCTGGGTAGGCATAGGTTGGGCACATAAGAGGTATTAGAGTGCTCACCACCAAAAAAGACTTCCGTGTTAGAATAAGCTGCATATGGAATCAGGTAGCCCCAGCCTCAAGAAAATATCCATGTAATGAGGTATATACTCTGAAAGCACTACAGGACCCAACCTGTGATGTTCCCCTCTTAGGCTTTTATATTGCTCTAAGAGATCCAAAATTTCATGTAAAAATGGGATCCTTAATTTCTAAAGAACTGTTCACTCTGCCTTCCAGGCACACCTGCCTTTTACATGCACAGGCTGAGTATCCCTTATCCAAATTCTTGAAACCAGAAGTGTTTTGAATTTTGGATGTTTTTGGATTTTGGAATATTTGCATTGTACTGATTGAGCACACCAAATCTGAAAATCCTAAATTGGAATGCTCCAGTGAGCATTTCCTTGGGGTGTTACATCAACACTCAGAGTTTCAGATTCTGGAGCGTTTTGGATTTTGGATTTGGGGATTTGAGAAATGTTCATCTGGGTATTAGGCCCCAGAAATTGCAACTTCGTATCAAAATAGCAAAACCTTACTAAAGATAATCTTCAGAAAAGATTTTTTTTAAATTTTCTTACAAAGGCAAATGAAAAGCATAAGGGACTAATTGATGAGAAAAAATGGAATCTGCCAACTTTTTCACTTTGCTACTATAGTAACTAACATTTTTTTTTCTATTGTTCTGTTTCCCTGTTTCCATCTTATAAACCCACTTTTCTGCCATTGCTCAGTGGCAGCGCTCATTCTATTCTGTGGTATGGAGGCTGCCCCAGTTCATGAATCAAAAATAAAAGCCAGTTAGATCTATAACTGCATTCATTGTAATTTGTTTTTTTAACAAGCATATAATAAAACATTCAACTAAAACTTACAATTTTATGGGATCAATACTAAATGCATGTCACAGACCATGAAGCTCTACAAAGTAAATGCCTGCTTCTGACATTTCATATTTTAAGCCAGATTCCTATGGATTGTGTACCTGCCTTGACAGATTATGATGCTCCACACTGTATGAATGGTGTAGTAGTCAAGACAGGCAAGTCCATGCTGCATAGCAAACAATGCAAAATCCAAACAGCTGGCAGCCATAGTGATCAGTCATCATGATCATATTAAGCAGTTTGGCCACTGCTTAATAAACAGAGCCCTCTCCAATGTCCTTATTGGACTCTCCAATATCCTTAGCATCACCATTGAATCTGCAAGGTTTTCTGAATCTTACTGTTTTGGAGTCAAGAACATGATCATCCCCTTACCACTTCGTTGGTATCACTTGGGCATTCAGGCTAACAGAGGTTCCATTGCTACTTCAACCCAACTTCAAAGGATGCCATGGTCGGGGAAGACAGCATGGAAAATTTGTCATCAGTTCTTAATTATGTCCACTTGGAAGTGACACATTTCTTCAGCTTGCGTTTCAGTAATCAAAGCAAGCCACAAGGCTACCCCTAACATCAAGGGGTGTGTTGCGGAAGAAGGGAGAATCTGTCATGAATGGCACCTATTAATGTCTATCGAGGTCTACCCTTTTATTCATTCTTCTTCCCATGTATTCATCCTCTCTCTACAAAAAAACACTTCAAGTCCCATTGTTCGGTACATCTTCAAGTTCTTTTAAAGGTGCATGAGCCTGTCTTCCTCAGGTATGAACATATTGTAGAACCTCAGATTCAGACCATGTACCCCATGTACAGCTGAGACACCAGTGCTTGGAGATAGAGAAAGGTTTATTCAGTTTGGCCAGAGTGAGAGGGTGTGAGAGCAAGTCTTTCAAGTCTGTCTTCAAAAAGAGATGAAGCAGAAAGTTTTTATGCAGCTAGGGAGTAAGAGAGGGAGAGCTTCAGGGAACCGAGGGGAAGAGCCTGTGTTTCTTCAGTCTCAGCCCTTTGAGCAATCAGACTTCTGGGTGTCAGCGGCTGCTCACAATGTCTTTAAAGGCATTCATTCCTTTTGCAAAATTTTTGTGTCACCCTGAAGTTATCTCCTGTTTGACAAAGAAACAGTACATCGGCTATTTATTATACTGCAGGAACAAGGGATGTGGAGCAAAAGCAAGCAATTAATGTGTGTAAGCAGGCAAGGGTCTAATTCAGATTTTTCATTATTTCTGTCACTAAAAATGCTGGACACTGAAATCTCAAGGGGCCCGGTTACAGATACTTCTCCAGTGAACTAGAAAGCATGTTTCTGTCCCCACGGAGCACTAGACAATGGTAGAACAGGGACAGTATCCCTGCAGCAAATACTCCCGTTGGTCCAATGCAACTCTAAAGCACCCCAGGGCAGGAAGTGTGGGGGTGCCCTGGCCTGCAAAGGGTGAACTGATCTTAATTCCTCTCCTGGGGAAGAAGTCTCAGTTCCACTCTTCAAATGTCTGTGTTCCCTTGGTCTCTGGCTTTGGTTTGGAGAGTCTTCCTTTTCCATGCTCTTCCTCAACTATATGTGAAGGAGATGCTGGGATGAGCTCCCTCCGGAGGGAAAGGGTGCAGTGGGTTAGGTGGTCATGGATCCTGTTATGCCTGGAACACACTCAGCCTCCTGGTTCCTCCATCAAAAATGTATCTGGTTTCTGATCTACCTGATTCCAGGGAGCAGAGTGTACCACGGCCCACACCCACATCCTTTCAACATGATCTCCGGGCTTCTTCCTTTTCTTGCCTCCAAGGTGAGTGCCACTCAATTTAGTGGCCGGGAACTTGAGCCTATGTTGCTTTTGTTGGGAGGGCACAAAGGTTATGTGTGACCCTCCACCCTGATTTTAATCCAATTGAAAGAAACATACTTTTAATCCAACTGAAAAAACACACTGAGTATCATACATTCTACCTCTACTTCTTTTCCTGAAGCATTTTCGATGATTAAAAGTTTGCAGTAGGCATTTGAATTTGCAAGGTTTTCTCAATCATTTACTGTTTTGGAGTCAAGAACATGATCGTCCCCTTGCCAAGCCCTGAGTTTTTGGATGTCCTGTGCTTCTTTTTTCTTAGGCTTGCACACTGGTCAATTCTTCCCTAAGCTCCCCTCTGTCTTTAATACCTTACCAAACACAGCCGACAGCAATCAACACCACCACTACTGCTGCGTGTATTGACTGCTAGAGCTACAAATCCACTCAATTCCTCTTCAGTTATTGCAGGGGAGGATTTTAGCAAATGTTTGGCCACTGCTTAATAAAGAGAGCCCTCTCCAGTATCCTTAGCACCTGCCGCCTTATTATCATGGAAATGCCACACACTCAGTGTTTTTGTTACAGGTATACTCTTCTTCATGTGACAGTTCCTGCATTTTCAGGGCAGATTAGATAATGCTGCCTTAGCAAACAACGCCCAAATCTCAGTGAGTTTAAGCAACAGTTTATGTCTTGATTATGCCCCATGTCCAACAGAGGTCAGGACAGACTGGGTAGAGGGGAAGGGAACAGCCCTACTCCCCAGGCATCTGGGCTGACGGGAGGCTGCCTGGGCTCATTGTTCCATGTGATGCTCAATAACGAGGCCGCATGACCTGCCATGGAGGTGAAGAGAGAGGACACTTGTGCCAGGCACAGAAGTGCTTCCACCCAGACGTTCCATACATTTCCTTGGTGAAGGCAGGGCGCATGGACACCTCCAACATCAAGGGAGTCTTTGGCTGGCAAGAAGTCCCTGGAAAGTGCTGATAATACAGCCCATTGGAAGGGAGAACATTGGACAAGTGATCTGAGAGATAAAACAGAGAGCTTGATTTTTTTTTTTTTTTTTTTGAGAGTGAGTCTCACTCTATCACCCAGGCTGGAGTACAGTGGTATCTCGGCTCACTGCAACCTCCGCATCTTGGGTTCAGGCAATTCTCCTGCCTCAGCCTCCCGAATAGCTGGGATTACAGTTGCCTGCCACCATGCCCAGCTAAGTTTTGCATTTTTAGTAGAGACAGGGTTTCACTATGTTGGCCAGGCTGGTCTTGAACTCCTGACCTCAAGTGATCCGCCAGCCTCGGCCTCCCAAAGTGCTGGGATTACAGGCAAGATCCACCGTGCCTGACTGAGAGCTTGATTGTTAATCACCTTACTTCGTTTTGCTTTGGAATTATTTGGTATATAGATTTATTTCTGAAGGATAAACCCAAATCATCACATGCTGAGCTAAGCCTGCCTAATAACACTGGCACCCAGCATGGGTCCTGTCAGTGCTGAGCATGGCAGAGGAGAAAACTCCGCTGGAGACTGCATTTCGGAGGCGTGGAGGATGGGAGCACCTTAGATGTTCCATTAGTTGAATGTGCTTTGGCACGTGGCTGCCCCAAGCACATCAGACCCATGTAAACATGATTGTGTGTATTCATTTTGTTTGTTTATTTTTTATGCATATGGAAATGGAGGAGGGGAGACGAAACTGGTTTGTATTATTTTCCCTTGCTTAGAAATCGTTACACCAGTTACTATGTTTTTGTCAGCTCCCAAAAAGAGACCCAAACATCATTTTTGGGAGGACACACTGCACCCTTTGAAATGAACCCCTCTCTACCAATATTTAGCCTCCAACTTCATAATGTCCGAGAAGAAACACATTTGACTGCTGGAACTCTGAAAGCACATGCTTTGTGGATTCTTGTGTAGCAGTTTGTTGCTTCTCTAAATGGTACAATCCAAGAGGATGTCTTGACTTAAGGTTATTGCTTTTTAAATAGCTCAGGATACCTGTAAATTTTCACCAGAGTCCACTTCACATTGCTAGGTCTGTATTTGTCCCTTAAGGTTTGAATATTAAGAAGAAACAAAATTGTATGGGTATGGCCCTTATCAGTAAGTCATAAAATTCTGAGTCTTGGCCGGGCGCCGTAGCTCAAGCCTGTAATCCCAGCACTTTGGGAGGCCGAGTTGGGCAGATCACGAGGTCAGAAGATCGAGACCATCCTGGGTAACACGGTGAAACCCCATCTCCACTAAAAATACAAAAAAACTTGCCGGGCATGGTGGTGGGTGCCTGCTTAGTCCCAGCTACTCCAGAGACTGAGGCAAGAGAATGGCATGAACCCGGGAGGCGGAGCTTGCAGTGAGCCGAGATTGCGCCACTGCACTCCAGCCTGGGCGACAGAGTGAGATTCCGTCTCAAAAAATAAAATAAATAAAAATAAAATAAAATTCTGAGTCTTGTACAGCCAGATAATATACACACAAACTAGTCTTTTCTGTATTTGAAGCCCTTTCCTTGCTAGTGCTCCTCTGAGGATAAAAGGACTGCATCCCTGGACCCATCCTTTGATGAAAGGGCAGCTGCCCCTCTCCATTCCCTGCAGATTCCAGCGTGTCACCAGAGCTGAACCAGGAGCCAGCTGGGAAGATGGGAGGCCTTGTAAGGCAGGAAAGCCATAGCCCACTCTGAAACAAAGACAGACTTGTGGGGCAGTCAAGCTGGACTAGGCACGTGAGACCATCCTTAGCACTGGGGTCCAGAGCAACCAAGTCAGGTCTCTATGTCAAGTCCACATGGGCAGCAGAGGAAGGGGGAGGCAGGGTGGCAGGGGGAGGTTCCATGACCTGTGGAACCTGTTCGCTGAGTTGATCACTCACCCCCAGTCAACAAACATCTCCTGAGGACATTGAGCTTGTGGCACCATCCCAAGGGCTGGGGCTGCAACATTGAGAAAGACTCTCACCAAATGCACATTCTACTGGATGGAAGATTGACAAAGAAATGAGTAAAAATGAAGACTAAAAGCCAAGATGAGCATTTAAAAGGCATGATGGGTGATAACCGAGAAGGCTCCTTTCGGTGGCAGTGTGGCAACCCGTGGCCCTCCTACAACCCACCGTGTCTTTTGCCGGGTGCACACCTGGCCGCACACACATCTTGGTCTCCATGGGGCAGGTGTGACCATGTGGCTGAGTGCCAGCGGGCGCATGTGAAGGAAGTGGTGGGCCTCCTTTCCAGGCCGACCTAAAACCCTCCCACGCGCCATCTGCCCTGTTCTTTCCTTTTCTAGGGGCTAAAATACAAAAGGGGAAGAAAACAGACTAGGATTTGGTACTGATCACTCGTACGGACTGAATTATGTCCCCACAAAGTTTGAATGCTGAAGTTCTAATCCCCATGTGACTACAGTTGGAGGTGAGGCTTACAAGGAATGAGGTAATTAGGGGTTAGGTGATGTCATAAGGGTAGGGACTTGATGTGACATGATTAGTGCCCTTATAAAAAGAAACATCAGGCCAGGCGTGGTGGCTCATGCCTGTAATCCTGGCACTTTGGGAGGCCGAGGCGAGTGGATCACCTGAGGTCAGGAGTTTGAGACCAGCCTGGCCAACATGGCAAAACTCTGTCTCTACTAAAAATACAAAAATTAGCCTGGCATGGTGGCATGCACCTGTAATTCCAGCTACTTGGGAGGCTGAGGCAGGAGACTCGCTTGAACCCAGGAGGCAGAGGTTGCAGTAAGCAGAGATCGTGCCACTGCACTCTAGCCTGGGCTACAGAGCAAGACTTCATCTCAAAAAAAAAAAACAGAAAAAAAAAGAAACATCGGGGGCTCTAGGGAAGAGTCTGCTTCTAAGCCTGATATGGTTTGGATTTGTGTCCCCTTCAATCTGATGTTGACATGTGCTTCCCCAGTGTTGGAGGTGGGGGCTGGGGGAGGTACTGGATAACAGGAGTATATCCCTCATGAATCCCCTGGGTGACAAGTGCATTCTCCCTCTGAGTCCACATGAGATCCAGTTGTTTAAAAGAGCCTGGCCCCCTCCTCTCACTCTCTTGCTCCGGCTCTTACTATGTGATGGGCCTGCTCCCCCCTTCACTTTCTGCCATGGTTGTGAGGTTCTTGAGGCCTCCCCAGAAGCAGATGCTGGTGCCATGCTGGGACAGCTGCAGAACTGTGAGCCAGTTAAGCCTCTTTTCTTTATACATTATCCAGTCTCCGGCATTCCTTTATAACAATGCCTGTACACATGGCCTAACACATGGGCCAAGGAATCACCAGCAGCGGCTGCTGCTCCAACTTGTCCTTTCAAAACAGCATTTAGACACATCACTTCTCTGCTCAGATACTTTCCTCAGAGACAACGGCACACTTCTGCCAGGGACGGTGAGGGTCTGCAGGGCCTGGCTCTGTCTGCCTCTCCTCTCACACCAAGCACAGGGCAGCTCCGGGGCCTGGCTCTGTCTGCCTCTCCTCTCACACCAAGCACAGGGCAGCTCCGGGCCCTTTGCACTTAGTGTCCTTTCTTCCCCGACAGCTCTCCCTCCCAGATCTGCATGGGATAAGTCCCTCTTCAGTGCCTGGACGTCTCCTCTTCCAATACCCCAATCCGACCTCTAGTGCAAATATCCAGTCTACACCAGCGCCCACGCCTACCAGAGCCCTCGATTCTCATTCCCTCTCATCCTTCAGAGCACCAGTCATGATCTGACACACCTGGGATTACTTGCTATTCGTTGACAGTTGGCTCCTGTCACCAGGACACAAATCCCACAGCAGCAGGGACTTCACCTGCTCTCTGTGGATCTCCATGCCCAGGTTCCTGGACAGGAACCAGCCCTGTGACAGCCACTCAGTGAGGAGCTATGATGACCAAATCAGCATCTGAGTCAGAGAAGCTGTGATGTTTCTCCAACTCCCAGGCAGCTCTCTCCCCACTGCCCTGTCACCAGCCCTGAAGCCCATTACCCAGCACCATCCTCCAAACACAAAACCTCTGGTTTATAAAGGAGACCCCCTTCTACCCTTCACTGAAGAGTAGGACTAGTGTGGAGAGCAAGGGGTCCATGAAGTGTATCCTTAACTTCCAAGCAGAGATGGCTTGTGAAGTTTTGTCCTTTCTTTAAAGTGCTCAAGATGTGTAAGTGTTATTTCTTGTGGCTGTTCTAACAAATTTCCACAAACCGAGTGGTAGAAGACAACAGAAATGTATTCGCTTACAGCTCTGGAGGCCAAAAATGCAAAATCAATACCAATGGATGGAAACCAGTGTCCGCTGGGCCATTCTCCCTCCAGAGGCTCCAGGGGAGAATGAGCCTTTCCTCTTCTGGTTTCTGGTCGCTGCCGGCATTATGTGGCTTTTGTTTGTGTCACTCCAATCTTCAAGGTCAGGACATTCAAATCTCTCTCTTCTCCATCTTCACTTGTGAGTGTGTGTTGGAGGAGTTGTGTGTGTGAAATCTCCCTCTGCCCCTCTTTTATAAGAACATTTGTGATTGCATTTAGGACCAACCCAGATCATCCAGGATGCTCTCCCCATCACAAAATCTTTAATTTATCACATCTGCAAAGATGGCTTTTATTTATTTATTGCCACATAAGGTGGCACTCACAGGTTCTAGGAATTAGGACATGAATATATTTTTAGGGAGGTGTTATTCAGCTTACACAACATAGATTTTATAATTTCTATTAAAAGATAATTCATAGAATATTTAATGAATATTTCAAAGAGAAAAAGAAATTAGAAATCAAAGGATTAATTTTTTTTGAGAAGGAGTCTTGCTCTGTTGTCCCAGGCTGGAGTGCGGTGGCATGATCTTGGCTCATTGTAACCTCCGCCTCCTGGGTTCAAGTGATTCTCCTGCCTCAGCCTCCTGAGTAGCTGGGATCACAGGCACACGCCACCATGCCTGGCAAATTTTTGTATTTTAGTAGAGACAGGGTTTCACTATGTAAGTCAAGCTGGTTCTTGAACTCCTGACCTCAAATGATCCCCCCGCCTTGGCCTCCCAAAGTGCTGGGATTACAGGCATGAGCCACCGTGCCCGGCCTAATTTTTGGTATTTATATATAAAGTTGTATAATTTTTCTTCTCTAAATATGCTTTTTCCCCCCAAACAGTATTTGCTTCTTGGAACTACTTTGAATTCGGTAGCATTCAATATGGAAAGATTAATTATAGTTACCTCTAATGAAAGAGAATATTGGCTTAAAAACTGCAATTAAATTGCACTGCTGTAAAAATAAAATTCTATTGTTTTGTAGGGAGAAAAAGTGTTCGGTGTTCTGGTTTTATAATATATATGTTTTCACATAATTAAAAATATATACCTGTGTAATTTTTGATAATGGGAAGACCTCCTTTTATCTTTTATATGTAATTGGTACACAGGATGTTGCATTATGCAAGTAAAATATTTGAATAGTAGTATAAGTACATCTCTAGTTATGAATTTTATCTGTTTCACTTTAAAAAGAATACCATTTTGCATTTACTCATGGATTATGGATGTATGAGAGATGCCGTTATTCTTCACTTAGTACTTTTATGTTGGTGGAGAACAGAATCCTCTCATTATTAACAGATTTAGTTCTCTGGCAAAATCATGGAAGAGGAAGTTGAGGATGCCATGAATAATACTGAAGACTCACACATAGATCCAGAAAAATCTTCAACTGCCCCAGATTTTAAATGATTTTAGAATCTTTTCAAAACCTCTTTTTTTTAAAAAAATGCAGTTATTTGAAATGCCATCATGTGTTATTTTGGCTAAAAAGGTATTTATATTGAGAGTTGTGAAGAGAGAAAAAAATGGTGTGAAAATATATGTGGTTGAGATTATTCTAATTCCCTTTAACCCTTGAAGTTTTAAGGCCTTATTGTTTTCTTCAATCCTGGGCTTTAACAAGTCTCAAATTCCACATTTCCTCCAATTCTAGGATGTGTGTTTTTATTTTTATGTCTTAGCACTTCTGAAGTTGAGAAACTTTGCTATAAAGGAAGGAATAAATTGTGATGCCCTGGGGGGAGTCCTTCTCTGTCCAGGTAAAAACAGACCCTGGAGAAAGGGTTTTTTAATTTGATTATCATCTTTGAGATATCTTCTTTGCCTGTTTCATAGGGAGTTGACTTGTGCAGTTATTTTTTGACTCTTAACTGTTGGTTAAAATGCCTTGTATGAGACAACAGTATAATTCCCCATTGAAACAGAACAGCAAATCAGTGTGCCGCTCATCACAGCCAGCAGCATTACTCTAGGTGGTAGGCATCGTGGAGGTTCCTGGGAGAGGCCCTACACATTTACGTTAGGGAAGGTTGTCATCTTCAAGCCTGGTCATCCTAGCATTGAAAACCTCTGCCAAAACATTGCGATTCTATATAATATTGGGAAGCAATTCTCCATGACTTTAGCTGTGATGCCTCCTGACCCCTGAAAGGCTTTCAGCTCAGTATCAACTCTATGGCCAGGGGTGTTATGGATGATAGAACTGCCCCTTCCTCCTTGTAGGCCAGCGTGGAGTCTCAAATTGCTAGCACATCCTGCTCTACCTGAATTAATGCTTCCACAGTGGAAAGGTCAATACAGAAACATAAGGAGAACACCTCCTCGCCTTCTTAGGCATCCCTGGGAATTGGGCCAATTCGATCCCAGCCTCTGTTGGCCAGACTAATCACAGAGGCTGGCCGAGTGACATGCTCATGGGAAAATTTGCCAAAAGTCATGATGTATAGAAATGATGTGTGGATTGTGTTTGGTGACAGTTCACCCTAGGTCTCATGTTTCTTCAGGTCTTGTGAGCAAGGCACTGCCTCCCCTATGTTTAGCCTTATCTTTCCAAGAATGTTTATTTTATTTATGTATTTATTTAGAGATGCAGTCTCACCCTGTCCCCTAGGCTGGAGTACAGTGGTGTGATTGTAGTTCACTGCAGCTTCAAACTCCGAGGCTCAAGGCATCCTCCTGCCTTGGCCTCCTGAGTAGCTGGGACTAGGGGTGCGTACCCCTACACCCAGCAGAAGGATGTAAGTGTCTACAAATAGAGTGGGCAGCCTTGAACAGTAGAGCTAGCATCTCTCCCTAAGGAGCAAACAGCCGGCAAGCTTACTGCCTGTGGGAAATCATTTGCAATTTTAAAATCAGGGTTCCTCTTTTGTAAAGGCACTAACCAAATGTGCAGGTATCATCTGTCATCTGTCTCTCTCTCTGTTATTCTGTGGAATTGGGGCTCAGGAAACTCTCACAAAAATGCTAATAGTCTGGCTACTGCTATTGCTGTGAGTAATATCCGATCCTTCATCTCTGACACAGGAGTCTTGTGTCTTCTGCCAGGTTCTGTGAAACACTGAAAGGCTAACATATTAGCTTGCAAGCATGGTGAAATCTCAGGCCCTTCATTCTTCTTGACCCTTGTATATCAAGAGTTATGAAGGGAAACGAGAGACAGAGGAACAGAAAACCATGTGGAAAAAATAACAAAAGAAGATTGGTTTCAATGAGAATAAAGTTTGGAGAGTGAGAAAATTCTTTCAGTTGTTTGACTATCTATATTTTTCTACCTTGCAACACAAAGTATTTATCTATGGTTTATTTTTATAATATTTAGAACCAGAGTCATCCTTTATTTCCACTTCTCTTCTTATGTATTTGGAATGATAAAGGAGCAGCCATCATCCTAAGTTATTTAGGCTATTTTTTTTTTTCTAAATCTAAGTAGCCACTATGCCAGAGAGCAATTAGGCTTTTTCTTGGTCTTCCCAGAGTAAAGAGTACTTTTATGAGTGGGAAGTGAATTCAGTAATTTTCGGTCCTCCTGGTAGCCCTTCCCAGGAACCTTGCCCAGGTCATCTGTGGCAGTAACTACTTCTCTATAAATAGGCTTCAAATCAAGATTTCTGCACCCCCTCTGCCCAAGTCAAACTGGAAGTAATTGAACTGAATCTCAATAATGTTGATCTTGATGAAAGAATCTGGCTGCCCTTTGAATGGCAATCACAAGCTCATTACTTGTGTTTCTTTACTGCTGTGTGAAACTATACTTCTGTCAACACCTATCACACTATATTCTTACTATTTTTTGTTGGCTGTGTCTCAAAGGCAAGTCTCCATTTTATTCATCTGTATATTTTTTACTTCCTTAGGTAGTGCCCATAAATGAACCTTTCTTCCTTTCCTTTCCCTTTCCTTTTCCTTTCCTTTCTTTCTGGAGGTGGACTCTTGCTCTGTTGCCCAGGCTGGAGTGCAGAGGCACGATCCCAGCTCACTGCAACCTCTGCCTCCCGAGTTCAAGCAATTCTCTTGCCTCAGCCTCCTGAGTAGCTGGAATTACAGGCATAAGCCACCACGCCCAGCTAATTTTTGTATTTCTTTTAGTAGAAATTTTTCATTAATCAATGACTGAAAACTAGGCAAAGAAAAATACATAATACAGTTGATTCTCTTTATTCACAGTAGTTAGGTTCTATCAAGGGACACAAACACTGATTCACATTAGTGAATATGGAACTGTGGCTTTTAGGGGAAATACAGGGTTAGGTTGCTCTGAGCCTCTGGTTTTGTCAATTGATCAATGCCTAACCTTGTTTTAAGTCAGAATCTGTTCCAAGAAGTCGTATTTAATATGCATTGTTGCTTCATTAACATTGATCTTGAAGCCAATGGTCCTGTAACTCTTGCTTGAACGAAGCTTGAATAAAACATAGATTTTCTCCATAAGGCACATCTCAGCCTCCTTGTGCCTAAGAATGCTAAGCAACACTACTATTGGGGATTATTTTAAACAGTGCAATCACCCACACAAATGCAAAAGGCCGTGAAAAGGACACTCGTTCTCAGTATGAGAGCTGAAAGCAAAGGCAGAATACCCCCTGCTTCACTCCGGCTGGTGATGTGTGCCTTGGGTAGACTCAAAGTTTTTGCTGTTCTGGGCATGTCTGCAAATTACTGGGAAAGTGTCACAAACATAGATTTGGGGGTGACAAATAAATTTTAGTAAGTAGAAAAATTTTCAAATGCAGAACCTGCAAATAATGATGGTCAACTGTATACATACCAATTTCCCTTCTGTTTACACTTCATTCACCAGTGCAAGGTTTGAATTAAAATTGCTTCGGAGACATAGGTATTAGCACTGAACACGATGCCTGAGTTTAGGACCTTGTTATCAAGCACACATTGATTAAAACCCCAACATATGTTTTATGACTGTTTCCTCTATTGTGTGTATCCAGCTGTAGAGATTTGGCTGTGCATTTCTCTATATACAGTCTTGTTCTTTTCTGCCTATGGAGAAAATGTTTAAAGCATATTAATGTCTCCTCTTCTATAATAAACAGGAAAGGATGGACACAGAATGGACCAGGAGTCATCTAAATAGATACCAAAAAATTAGGAATTACAGCAAACAGGAAGAGCTGATGAGACCAATGATCACTTCTCATAACTCGGTGGAAAGAGGAATTTGGCACGAGGGATGATGGATTAACCACCTGTCTCATGAAGGGAGGTATTGCTGCAGACAGACTACATCATCTCCTGGCATGGACAGCCTCTGAATTACTAATAGTTCAATACTATGAAATAAGCTTTTGTGGGTCAAAAATAGACATTTTTGTGTGGCTCATGTTAATAATTAGAGTGCACTATAATAAGCAAATAGTCATCAGTGTGAGGCTCCCAGTGGCTGGCCTTTGATTGGCAGAGGTTCAGAGAGGTGGCTTCAAGGGCAGAGTTGCAAATGGAAAACGAGTGGCCAAAGGGAGGGTGAGTGTCTCTGCATAATTTATAATAGTGAGTCACACTCACTATTGAGTGTTTCCTAGACCATAGCTGGCATTTCTGCTGTGATGGCTCTGAGTGGCTACTGGGGAAGAGAGCGAACTACATGTGGGACATCTGAAAGCAATTATCTTGGTAAAGTGATATGACAACAATAAATATTCACCTTTTAAAGCAGACCTCTCAGCCTCTGGAGCCAATTTGCAAATTGGGAGATAAATGACACATACACAAATATCATTTCATTTATTAATAAGTCTTCATAGACCTATACCTGTACCCCAGGTTGAAAATCATCACCAAACATTGAACAAATGCCTGCTATGGTTAAGGCATCATTTTAAGATCTGGGGAGGACACAAAGAGGCATGAGACACAGTTATTGTCCTTCAGGATTTTAGACTGTGGTTGGAAACAGGGTATATGGTACAAAAACAGAGAGACCAGGCCAGGCGTGATGGCTCACTCCTGTAATCCCAGCACTTTGGGAGGCCAAGGTGAGTGGATCATCTGAGGTCAAAAGTTTGAGACCAGCCTGGCCAACATGGCAAAACCCCATCTCTACAAAAAAAAAAAAAAAAAAAAAAATTAACCATGTGTGTTGGTGCATGCCTGTAATCCCAGCTACTCGGGAGGCTGAGGCACGAGAATTGCCTGAATCCAGGAGGTGGAGGTTGCAGTGAGCAGAGATCATGCCACTGCACTCCAGCCCGGACAACAGAATGAGACTCTGTCTCAAAAAAAATAAAATAAAAAGAAGAGAGAGAAACCAATACTCTTTTGATAATTTCTAGATGAAGACATAGAATAATAACGTATTATGAAATATTACATGCTATTACCATATAAGTCCATCTTTGCTGTGGAGTGTAGGTGCATGGCACAGGTGTCCTGGCTCCCACACCATAGGGCTGGTCTGTGGTTCTGCTTCCACAAAGACAGTCTCTAATGCTGACTGACAGTGGGAAAACCGGGGTCTGGGCAGCCAAGATGTCCCTCTTATTCACTCAATTTCTGAACCAAAGTTCCACTGTTAACAGAAAAAATGCAAAGTATCAAGGAACGTGGCTTAAATCTGAGGGTACAAGGACTTTTCAACCCACATCCTAGAATGAGGCACACAAGTCTCCAGTCATTCCCAAGGGCAAGAGAGGAGGAAAACAGCTGCCCCCCACCAGGAGCTCTCTCCTAGGAGGAAATGAGAGGACAAGACCCATGCTGAGAATTCCTGGCCCATTCTTCTGCAGAGAAGAGCCAGATAACCTCCCAGCACCCCACCTCCAGCACAGAGTGAATGAGGGAGTCATGGGAGGGCTGAGGTACCATGTGTCCTGCCCTGAGATGCAGCCCACCCTGCACTCGTATCAGTGAAAGCAGAAGATGATGCAAGGGTTCCCAAAACCTTTAACAACCACTTCAATGTCAATCTACTGCAGACCGTCATGCAAGGAGGCAAAAAAACACAGATTTGGGGTCAGAATTTGGGACCAATGAATGAAATGCTGGTTTGGACACTGTTGACCAAGTAGGACTCATGAGTTACCGTAACAATCATCATGGAGCCAAGCCTTCAGGGTTAAAAGTCCCACTCCCTCCCTCCCTATCCCTTTAATGAAATGCAATGTCCAACCACCTCACGGACAGTGGGTTCTCCATAAAGTAGCAGAACTTCCTGTGAAAACGCTGATTTCCACATATAAGTCACGGAGGTGGTGGCAGAAGAACCATGGGTTCTGTAATTGCTGCTTACAGGATAATTAAGAGCTTAATATTATAAAAGTTAATTATAAAATTATATTAATTAATTCTAATAGCCCAACGATCCTTCTGGAATTGATGTCTGAGAAGAACAAAGTCCCCAGAGAGGTCCACAGGGAAAAGGTCGAGTCAGACAGAAGTTTTCAGGCCCAGAGCTGTGCCTGCTTTGTTCTGAGCTCTAGTTTGGGAAACACAGGAAGAAACGAAGAGGGACACATAGTGACAGGGACCCTTGGGCTCCTGGGGGTGGTGGCAGGAGCACATGAGTGACAGCTGTTTCCAAATATGGACCGATGACAAGATGCTTCCAAGAGCCAAAAGGTAGGCCTTATTAGTACTTTGTAAACTTTCTCAGGCTTACATTATACAAGGGGTAATTTTTAAAAATAATCATCATGATCTTTTCTAAATGAAAAATTTGATGATGCATTTACTATCCAAATTACTGTAATAATGAACTGCCTTCTAGTCAATTTCTAGTGTAATTGGGGGATCTATGGCATAAAGCTTAAGACTTAGACACAATTCTCCTCCTCTCTGTCACAAGCTTCAAGCCTGATATTTTCCTGGCAACTCAAAGCCTTCTTGTAATATTGTCAGCAGTATGTCTTCCTCCCCAAAATTTATAAAAAGTGGTTGTGTTTGGATTTGTTTTTCTTACAGATTAGGAAAGATCTTTTCATCTTTCAAGTGAAAAAGATATCTGCTAGCAAGAATAATGAGGATTTGAGAAATCATTGTGGAAAAAGAAGATTTGTTTATACGAAGCCAGTGACTTTGGCCTGACTGTCATATGTAAGCACATCTGACAGAAGCAAAGGCAAACCTAATAATCCAATGATTACACCCCGAGCCCATGTAATTTGAGAAGTGAGCATCTTGGGGGTAGTTTAAATCAGGGGCTTTGGTGAAAGGCAGATCTTCTTCTTCATTTTTTTTTTTTTTTTAATTTTACTTTTAGAAAACCCTGCAGAACATGCAGGTTTGTTACACAGCTAAATGTGTGCCATGGTTGTTTGCTGCACCTATCAACCTGTCACCGAGGTACTAAGCCCCGCATTCATTAGCTATTTTTCCTAATGCTCTCCCTCCACTAGCCCCCACAACCGACAGGCTCTGATATGTGTTGTTCCCCTCCCTGTGTCCATGTGTCCTCATTGTTCAGCTCCCACTTATGAGTGAGAATATGCGGTGTTTGGTTTTTTTGTTCCTGTGTTATTTTGCTGAGATGGTTTCCAGCTTTATCCTTGTCCCTTCAGAAGACATGATCTCATTCCTTTTTGACTGCATAGTATTCCATGGTGTATATGTGCCACATTTTCTTTATGTAGTCTATCATTGATGGGCATTTGGGTTGGTTCCATGTCTTTGCTATTATGAATAGTGCTGCAATAAACATACATGTGCATGTATCTTTATACTAGAATGATTTATATTCCTTTGGGTGTATACCCAGTAATGGGATTGCTGGGTCAAATGATATTTCTGGTTCCAGATCTTTGAGGAATCACCACACTGACAGTATAAAAGTGTTCCTGTTTCTCCACAGCCTCGCCAGCATCTGTTGTTTCTTGACTTTTTAATAATTGCCATTCTGACTGGCATGAGATGGTATCTCATGGTGGTTTTGATTTGCATTTCTCTAATGATCAGTGATGTTGACCTTTCTTTCATATGTTTGTTGGCCACATAAATGTCTTCTTTTGAGAAGTTTCTGTTTATGTAGAAAGGCAGATCTTCTTTCCCCACTATGGGACCTTGGGTTGATGTGTCTGTGGTTCCCATGACAACTCTCAGATTTGATGATTTACTGGAAGGACTCACAGGACTCAGGAGAGTTATAGTTTGTGACTGTGAAAGGACACAGATTAAAATCAGCAAAGAGAAAAGGCACACAGGGAAAGGTCTGAGAGAAAAAAAAGACACAAGCTTCAAGTTGTCTACCCCCAGTGGAGTTGCATGACAAGTGCTTAATGCCCTAGGAATGGTGTGTGACACACCTGCGAGGTGTTGCCATCCAGGGAAGCTCGCCTGGGCCTTTGGTGTCCAGGGTTTTTACTGGGGGTTCGTCATGTAGGCAGGCAGTGTCTTGATAGCTGACCTTAGCTACTGACTCTCCAGCCCCACCAAGGTCCAGCTGATAGAGCACGGCCCAAAGCCCCAAGCGTACAACAAGGGAGCATCATAAGTCACACTGATAGCACAAACTATCTGAGCAAGCTGGTATAGCATGGCCCAAACCTCCGTCACACAAACATTTCTATCAGGCCTCAGACGTCATCATGCAGGAGCCCTTCAACAGCCAGTCCTTTGTCTGGAATAGTGTAAGGTTTGAGCACCAAAGCCTGCTGAGTTAACCTTTTACTGTACGATTACTCTGCCTCACTGGAACTTGATTTTCTTCTCAGAAAAACTACAGCGATAAAAAGATCTTTGTGATAACTCAAAAGATTACCCTGAAGATAAAATATATGTAACATGTTCAGAATAATGCCTGACTTATATCAAAAACTCCATGTTATTTCTAAAATTTTAAACTTTTAAAAACTTTATTCCAGGGTGTGGTGAGTCTTCTGGGCTTTGCCTCATATGTCCCAGACTTGGAGCCAAAAACGTTGGTAAGCAAGGAATGCCAACTGGAGCAGACAAAAAAAATAGCCCCAGGAAAAAAAAAAGCCCCAAGAAAACACTACTTTCTCTAACCAAAGGAACAGAAAAGGGGCATCCTAGCCAGTTAGAATACTTTTAGGCAATAACTGCTCTGGTGCAGCTGAACATCACAGAGAAACTGTGGCTTCACATCTACCCCTGCCAGCAAAGGCTGACTGGGAAGCCTATACTGCCACCACGGCTAGGCTGTAACAAGCTACCTAAACCACTCTGGGGTGATGTCAGAGCAGGCGAGGTAGGGACCTGGGACTTCCATCTCTGATGGGTACTAATGGGCACCCCCCCACACACACCAACATCAGTGGAGACCATGTAAACAACCAGGACTTCCAGGATATCATGATGAGAAGTGAAGCCAGCTGGACTTCCTGGGTCGAGTGGGGACTTGGAGAACTTTTCTGTCTTACAAGAGGTTTGTAAAATGCACCAATTTGTGCTCTGTAAAAATGCACCAATCAGCGCTCTGTGGCTAGCTAGAGGTTTGTGAATTGGACCAATCAGTGCTCTGTAAAATGGGCCAATCAGTGCTCTGTAAAATGGACCAATCAGTGCTCTGTAAAATGGACCAATCAGCACTCTGTAAAATGGACCAATCAGCAGGACATGGGCGGGCACAAATAAGGGAATAAAAGCTGGCCACCCCAGCCAGCCGCACATACGTTTGGGTCGTGTTTTTTTTCTTGGATGCTTGGTGCTTTCCTTCTTCAGACTAAATCTTGCTGCTGCTAACTCTTTGGGTGTGTGCCACGTTTAAGAGCTGTAACACTCACTGTGAAAGTCGCGGCTTCGTTCTTCAGTTGCAGTGAGCGAGACTGTGAACCCACCAGGAGGAACCGACTCTGAACTCGATGTTACAGACACCTCTACCGTGGTCAGATGGGATGGTGTCGTGAAAAATCAGGACTTCCATCACTGCCCAAGGGTAATAATCACAGAACATCTCCTGCTCCATGGTGCCACTGGCTGCCACGTGGGTAGCAGTAAAGGCACTCTTGGGTCCAGCCAGGGTGCTATCAGCAGCCTACTCTACCCAACCATTAGTAACAAGGATGGTGTGCTTCCATCAAAAACCAATGAAGGTTGAGTAAAGAGGAAGGTGCTGAAAAATGTTGCAAAAAGCAATTACTGACGATATCTTCAGTTAAGCAAAAACTATAAACGTAGAGATACAGCATGCTGCGCAGAACACAAATAGGATGAACCCAAAATGATCCACTCCAAGGCCTGTCGATGTCAAACTTTTGGAAACCAAAAATAAATTTAAAAATCTTGAAAGGTGTGAGAAACAGTGCCTTGCTTACAAGAGAAAATCAATTTGAATGACAGCTTATTCCTCACGATAAGCCATGAAAGCAGCACACTTTTTTATGTGCTAAATGAAAAATATTTTCAATGTATAGTTCTATAGCCAGCAAAAAAAAAAAATGCCTCCCAAAATAAGCTTCATGTCAAGGATAATAGGGAATTTTGTTTATTTCTCCCTCATCTTAATCAAAGTCTCCATTTTATACCCTGGAATTAATCCCTTACTATAGTTAATGGCAATGGGAACAACCAGATTCTGTAGATAAAACCAACTGTTAGCCAAATGGATGTGTTTACTCAAGTCTTGTGGTCCAAACATGCCAATAATAAAACACCTTGACATTGGTACCTTTCCCAAGGGTGGAAATTACTTTAAAACCTGTTATTGTGTAGAATTATGCTGTATTTAATTTATATGATGTTAAATTTGCTTTTGTGAAAACTCATTTAGAAAACTTTTTATATCCTTTTTACTTCTGGAACTGTCACATACACACTTTCAAAATATAGCAGATGAGTAAACTGCGAACATCTTCAGCAGCTGGATTATCTACTTGAACTACATTGTAGAGCTTACTGCTCAAAGTCTAGTCCCTAGCCACATATGGTTATTTAAATTTAAGTAAAACTAAAATTTACTTGCTCAATCATACTGGTCACGTTTCAAGTGCTCAGTGTGGCCAATGGCTGACATATTGGGTGCACAGATAGAAAATATTTGTATCATCCTCAAAAGATCTATTGGCAGTGCTATTTCACTGGGCTATCTGGTTCCTTTTATTTCTTGGGTCATATTTCTCTTCTTAGAGCATAGGGTTTTTTTTTTACATGAATTATGCATTTTGGAATCTAATAATATCAGATTTTAGGTGTAAGTAAGTAATATATGATGTATTCATGTTACCATCATACAACAAATCCGCTTTTGCTTCAACATTTGCCATCTTTTCTCGGTCTCTCTCTCTGCCAGAAAAGTCCACCTGCCCACTGGAAATTTTGATATGAAGTGTCCAGTAAGTGCTTTTCATTGTACTTTCAGGAGGAAACCAAAATAAAGTCTTAAGAAATTTATGGTATAAAGTACATCGGTTTGGTTAAACTAGCTTTCCCTCAAAACATACATATACATACACAAAAGGTAAATAACATCATGCAAAATTCAAAGGTCCCCAAATTTTTCTGTGGGCTTTTATTTACATGTTAATAGCATTTTATTGAAAGGCTTGAGTGTTTCTCTTCTTGCTGTCTAAAATGCCTTCGTAGTGCTCTCATGCAATTGTTTAGAACCAGTTGCTATAGTTAGCACAAACTTAATTGAAAAATTATACATGACTACCCAAATAAGTAATGGGAAATAAAATTATTAAGATTAACTTCAATAATTAGTTGTGACTAGTTCCGCTATGTCAAGGAATGTTTTACTCAAGCAACAACATAAAATATTCATGAATTCTTAAAGATGGTGATGCTGGGTTTCTGGCATCAAATATAGCTGTATGGTTAGGAAATAGCTTCAAATGCAGCACACCCTCAGGCACAGTATCAGTGTGTGGATCATTACAAAGGGAACACTCTAGTGAATCTACAGAATCGAATCCAAGAAAGCTCTGCATTGGCTTCAGTAAATGGAGCCAATGCAGTAAATGGATGGCTTCCATCCACCAGTAAATGCAGAGGCCATGTTGACTTGCCCTCCTTACTTTTCCCCCAGTGTACTACCACTTAACTCCAGCAAAATGGATTCTCAATGACTTCTTTAATTGCTGCTCGAATTTCATTAGGTCTGTCGTCCCCAAGCTTTAGAGTGCTTATGTATCAGCTGCAGAGCTCACCAAAATGCAGATTCCTGAGCTGTATCTTAGAGATTCTAATTCATTCAGTCTGGGTAGGACCCAAGAATCTGCATTTTGGAAAGCACCGCCATGTCATTGGATGCAGATGTTCCATAAACCACCCTTTGAAAAGCATGAACCAAACTCTCCCTTTCTTCATTCATTCTCTAAGCTAAATTTTTAATCATTTTGCAACGGACAAGAGCATGAGTTAGGAAACTAGGCAGGTTTGGGTTAGAATCGTACATCTCTACCTAGTCTTATTAACCTTGGACAAATTACTTATTATTTTTAATATTGAGGTTTTCCCCTCATATTGTTGTAGTTGTATTTGTCTTTACCACTATCTTCAGTGGCCATCATCAGTTTAACAACGTGCACAGTTTCTATTAAGAATCTTATGGAGGCAGAATTTCTTCTAGGCAGCTGTGTGGCATCCTTTGAAATTAGCCTAGTAACCACTAGAGACACAGGTATTTTTTTTCTATAGCTTTAAAAAGTATTACTCTTTTTTTCTCTCTCTTACTTTTTCTCTTCTCTCTCTTTTTTTTTCCTTTCTTCCTTCCTTCCATTCTGATGTTTGTTGTTAAGACTATAATTTCTCCTATATTCCCCCAAATATCATAATCTAGCAACCTGCTAGATTCAAGTCAGAAATTTCATTTCTGGAGTTTTTCAAAGGTCCATAGTCTACCTTAGGGTTCATTGAACTAGGGTTATTTTATTGGCACAGATTTTTAAAGATTGTTAAAGTTAATGTGTTTTGACTTCTGCTCCTAGCATCTTCTTGGTGGTCCCATAAAAAGAAAACTGTCCTAAGTGACTCAACCACAGCTCAGAAACATCACATCTGCATCATTACATAAGAATACTTTCTGATGTATTTTTAAGCACTATATTCATAATGTCGGTCTTTAATTCAACTTGCATGCTGTGAAATTGGTCTGTTTTATATTTGTTGAACACTTCTTTTCATTTTATTTTTGCTTGAGTCCAGCAGTTAAATCATTTTTCCCATTTTTTATGGATTGACGTGTCAGGAAATTGAGTAATTCAGCTAATTAAAAGGTCTAAACCTCATCCCAGGTAATTGATTCACTAGAGAAAATGGAAGAAAGATGTGATATAGATAGCAATGCATTCTTGATACTCTTTTGGTCTCTTTTTATTGATTCAGCACATAGTTGTGAAATTCTAATCTGTCTGAGTCACCTGGCTCAGTGGGTTCTTCCTGAGTGCATGCACATATGTGTAGATTACATACATACAACTGTCACATCAGATTCCAACTATGAGAGTAGTACGAGGTTAATCAACTTGTATTCTTTCCTCTATTTTTATAAAAAGCCAGAGAAAACACTGGGAAAATGGCTAGGCAGGCCTGAGGTACAATGGGTTTATGACTCGTTCTTATATGTGTGTAACAGGGTCTCACTGTCACCCAGGCTGGTGTGGTCATAGGTCACTGCAGCTTCGACCTGCTGCGCTGAAGCCTCCTGAGTAGCTGGAACTATAGGTGTGCACCTCCACACCTGGCTTTTTTTTTTTTTAATTTTTTTTTTACAGAGATTGGGGTCTCACTTTGTTGCCCAGGCTGGTGTCAAACTCCTGGGCTCAAGTGATCCTCCAACTTCAGCCTCTCAAAGTGCTAGGATTACACATGTAAGCCACTGCACCTGGCCCCATTTTTTATATATACTGAGCAACTGGCTTCATAAGAAGAAAATCCAGGACCTTGTGTCCTGACCAAAATAAATTAATAACAAATTTTAAACCAGCAACACATTTTTTCTTTTTCAATGAATTACATGGACATTGATATATTCATTATTTCATTTTTATCCTTGTTTTTAACCTTTACTTATTTCTTTTTTTAAGCTTTATTGGGGGTATAACTAATATATAAAATTGTACATATCTAATGTATACAATTTGATGAGTTTGGATATATGCTGTCTGTGATCTCATCACCACAATCAAGATATTAAATATATCCATCACCTCCCAAAGTTTCCTTGTGTTCGTGTGTATATGTGTGTGTGCATGTGTGCATGTATGTATATATGTGTGTATGTGTGAGCGTGTGTGTATATGTGTATGTGCGTGTGTGTATATATGTGTGTATGTGTGTTGACGTATGTATATATGTGTGTATGTTTGTAGTAAGAACACTTAGCATAAGATCTATCCTCTGAACATATTTTCAAGTGTTAACTATCTGCACTATGCTGTACAGTAGTTCTCTAGGACTTACACATCTTGCATGACTGAAACTTTATATCCATTTTCTTTTTCTTTTTTAGGAATTTCAAAATGCTGTATTTGTATTCATTTCTAAGTACCTGGATGATGCCATACTCCAACTTTATGCGGTAATAAAAAAGAACCCATCCAGATATCTGTTCCATCAGTGAAGGCCATTTGATAAAAAAAAGTTCATATCAGTCATACCGGTAAGAGAAATACTGGTATATAAGGAGATAAGTGAAAGAAAGTATTTATAAAACAAGAAAATCTGTCATGAACTTGAGCAGACTTCAGCACACACTGTGTCATGCTAATTTGTGATGAAATATAATAGAAATTTTAAGGCAAAGGACAAAGTAATTTGATCCAGGTCTTGTGTTCGAATGTTCCCTGATCGATGCAACAGAAAAAAAATATTAAACACTAATCAAGGAAATTTGTTTAGGTGTGTGATAATGATATTGTAATTATGTTTTGATTTACTTTTATTTTTATTGAAGTATATTTGACAACTGTATATATTTAAGGTATACAATTTGATCATTTGATGTACAGATACATTGTGAAATAATCACCACAAACATGTTAATTAACATATCCATCATCTCACATAGTTACCTTTTTTCTTTTTGGGTGAGAAGCTTAAGATCTGTCCTCTTAGCAAATTTGAAGTATACAGTAAGGTATCATTAACCATAGTCACTTTGCTGTGCATTAGGCTTCCAGGTTGTATTCATCTTGCTAACTGAAATTTGTGCCCCTTGACCAACATTTTCCCATTTCCCCCAATAACAAATATTTCATTTTTTAATCAACAAATTTGAACATGTTTTATGTTGCAATTAGAAACAATTGAAACAAAAGCCCTCCTCTCTGGGGCTCTGGTCTGAGAGACAGAATATAAAAGTTACAATGTCACATAAGGAGAACAGCATGAAATCTGTAGTGCAGCCTGGATTTCGGACATCTTGGTATTCAATTTCTCATGCCAGGCATTTGGCACTGCTGGGTGTTTGCTACACCTGAACTCAATTCTTGTCACCATCTTCCTGGACTCTGAAACTTGTTCCTCCTTGGTGAGTTCAAAGACAACCCTTTCTTTGAGGCCTTCCCTCATCCTTCTTCCTTTATCAACTCCATGTTACCCTCAACTTTTCTCAAGACAAAATCAGTCATTCCCTTCCCTGAGCTCCCCAAATACTTAGAACGCACCTCTGAATAGCGGCGCCCCATTTTAAGACAGGTGTGGCTTATGTTTGTTCCTCTGATTTGACTACGACCTCTGGGAAGGCAGGGTCCAGCCACTCCATGCGCTTGCAGATCCTCTGGTCCTCCATGGGTACTCAAATACATGTCCTGGGTTGTGCTGACTCAAACAGGAGGAGAGACATCGCCCCCAGGCTGCTGCGCACCCTGTGTCTGCCCCAGCTCGCCTGCTCCCTGTCTCTCTCAGGCACCACTGGGTGGTTTTGTAGCAAGGAATAATAACAGGCAGCCCTCTTGTGGATGAGCCTGAGATTAACCAGTTCTTTTTTTGTGAAAGTTAGGTAAGGTGTGATCATACAATGCCTTGACCTGCTCCACTTCCCCAGGACTGTCCCACCTTTGTGTTTCAGGTATTTCAGCACTGACGCCTCACAAGAACATGGGATGTCACCCTCAAAGCCTGTATCTGTGAGCTTGGCAGGTTTCTGAGCTTTAAGACAAATAAAATGTTTTGGCCACAAGCACATATTTATGTGGTCTGGCCCAGCTGTGATATTGGGTAAACAGCAACTTTGGTGATGAGTCAGTCCATGGACCTGTCCCATGCATGATGCGAACCTGTGCCATGCATGCAGTGAACCTGCACAATGCACTACATGAATCTGTGTGATGCATGAAGTGAAACTGTGCAGTGCTGATGTGAATCTGTGCAATGCATGGAGTGAACCCGTGCAACGCATTATGTGAATCTGTGTAATGCATGCATGGAGTGGACCTGTGCCATGCATGGTGTGGACCTGTGCCATGCACGAAGTTCCATGTGTTTTTAAACCCAGCTCCAGCCAAAGTTATGTGTTATAAATTATTCCAGATTAAATTGAAATAAATATCAAATGTCAACAGAGAACCCCATCCACTGGACCAAACCTTCCCTAAAACACAACATAGATGAGTTCCAATGTGTTCTGTCAGCCTCATAACTACCCCTGTCAGGTAATTTATAATGCAATTCAAGAAGCTGTGTGCCGTTTCCTTACCTTTTAGGCCTCTTTTTCCCCTTTGGAATATCTCACCTTTTTAAACCACAGGAATAAAACTATGGTTAGAAATGATTAAATTTTAACTTACACATTCTGAGCATGGCTCAGTGTGTAAAGGAAAATCGCTTCACATTTTGGGCAGTAAAGCGAATCTGAAGTATGTCACACGAGTAATTGTCTCCTAGGAGACCCAAGCGCACATCATTGCCATGGAGACCACCTCGGTAGGCCCTCTCTGCTTGAAATGATTAGCATGGATCATCAGCTGGGGTTTGTTTTCGGGGAGGAAAGGCTATAAATACATGGCCAAGCCTTACAAACTATGACAAGTCGTGTGCTCGAGCATGGGCTTGGGATGCAGAGATTTCCAAGTCCAGCTCTGGCATCGCAGGGGAGGACCTCATGGACTGTATCCCTAACACACCGCTTGCACGTGAGAACAGACAGGAGCAGTCAGCACCAGGGGAGAGGGCAGGCAGCCAGCGATCCAGGAGGGGGGCTCCTCCGAAAGCCAGGCTGGGGAAGACTCTCCCCAGAAGCAGCCAGCAGCCGTTCCCTCGTTTGCCTTGCCTGACCTATGCCTCTCCCTGAGTGTTTCCAAAGGGCGGCAGCCGCAGGAGAGGGCCAGTGTTCCCGAGTTGGCTAGAGGAAGAAAAAAGCGTGCCATGGGAAAAATCTATTCTGTTAGCAATTTTGAAATATACGATACATTACTATTAACTGTGGTCACCATGCAAAGCAATAGATTACTAATGCTTACTCGTCCAGTCTAACTGGAGCTTTGTACACTCGGGTCAGCATCTCTTCTCATCCCCCTCCGTCCCCCCAGCCTATGGTAATCACCTTTCTACTCTCCGCTTCCATGAGTTGAGTCTTTTCAGATTGCGTATTTAAGTGAGATTATATAGTATTTGTTTTTCTTTGCCTGGCTCTTTTCACTTAAAATAATGCCTCCAGTTCTATCCCTGTTGCCACGAATGACAGAATTTCCTTCCCTTTTAACGCTGTACGTAATCCATTGTAAGGTGGTGAGGTGATATCTTAATTAGTTTGACTGAATATTTTTAAAATGTATACATAGATCAAAATAGATACAATTAGTATTTGTCAATTAAATTAATTTTAAAAGGAAGACAAAAATGCACAGTGTTCTGTTTTTCACCTAGATTCCCTGAAACTCATTTTTGACATAATAGCAGCAAAATTGCCATGAGAACAGCTTTAGCCATCATGTTCATTGCTGTACCCAGCTACTGAACCCCTCCTGTTTCAGAAACAGGTGCAGCGCTAGGTGCTGGCGCTGTGAGCTCAGGAGCCGGGGGAGGCTCCACCTCTACCCTCAGCCAGTGGCTTTTGTTTCAGGGATTGCCAGTGCATGTGGCACACCCAGCTGCATAGAGAGAATGGGAGAGGTCAAGGAAATATTTTGAAGACGTGGTTCACTAACAGCCAGAGGATGAAAAGGAAAAGGAAAAAAATGGCTGAAAAGATAAGTGTCAGAGTGTTGCTCACTCTGTGGCAGGTGGGCCTATGAAATCCTCTTGACTGGGACTTAAGTTTTATACACAACACTGGGAAACGTGTTTTCTGAGAACGCTGTTTTAACTGATGGGAGTCTGGAGGTGATGATATCTGAACATCATGCTTTTTAACCCTCTTATATTTTATTTATTAAGTGAAGTCTTAATATTTCTTCCACTTTTCTTGGGCTCCTAAGAGCACTTTTCCAAGCGTGCAGGGCTCTGCTCTTTGAGAGCTCTGATGTTGGCCACTCCCCCGTGGCACTCTGCAGGCTGTTACAGCCACGCTGATTCCACGGCATTTAGTGAGTGCTGGTTTCCATTAGTGGGCCTGACTTCTCGGGGGTCAGTGGTGCAGACAACTGCTTCGCAGCTGGCTTGGAGGCTCCTGGTGGGAAAGGCCTGGGTGTGACTTAACTTCGTGCACTTCTTTGATTCATTCATCCATGCAAAAAACAGTCCACCAAGCACTGAAGTGTCAAGCATTGGATGAGACTGGCAGCTCCCTGGGAGAGAGGCAGCAAAGTCAAGGAGCAAATGATCTGAGGCACAGGGCAGATAGCCGGCTGCACTCTGGCCATGACGCTGAGAGAGACACTGCTAGAGCAGGGGGCCTGTCACAGCTGGACATTCAGGGAGAGCTGCACTGAAGGACAGCAGGCATTTAGCCCTGCAAAGAGACGAGGGAAAACCCCAAAGCATCCAGTCTAGGGGAAGAGACAGTGGAAAGCCCAGGGGCGACATGGGTGGGGACTGTCCTAGAACTCCAGGCAGGCCAGCATGGCAGAGGTTAGTAAGGGAAAGTGTGGGCGGGTCCCACGTCATAAGACCTGCTTGCGGGCTTTGATGGCAATCTGTGTGGAACGCAGAGCCCCTGAAGGGCCTTCAGCACGGGATCATGGTGGCACTGGAGTTTCCAAAAAGGCACTTTTTTGAAGAGGTTGGAGGGAGGTGGGAATCGAACCCGTTCAGAAGAGATGGCTGTGGCTTGACTGCGGTTGCGCTAGGCTATGGGATATCCTTCCTTGGTGCAGCTGTAATCAGGCCCCAGAAATCGGGAGAAGATGGTTAGAACGCAGGCAAAAGTGGCATCATCATCACACCAACCACTTTGGGTTACTGGCTTTGAGGAAGCCAGGATCTCTGAAACTGGGAAAGAGTATTACCGAGGAGCACTCCTATGCCCCTATAAACTCATGTGCTGCAAATTGGTCACCAGTGTGCCCTAAGCATGTATCCCCTCATCGTTCAGGAAGATGCGGGTGAGGGGTGTCTGCGGCTGCTTCAGCCCCCTCCTCTACCATTAGACACAAGCAGCCTCGTCCATCCAGCCCAGCGTGCTGCACAAATGCATCTCCTGCTGTAAGTGCATGATGGGAGAAAAGCCAGGAACACAGAAGAATCTGCCCAAAATGGTTTTTGAAGTCTGTCCTCAGGAGATAATCTCAGGGACGTAAGAGGGTTCCATGTGCAAATAAGTTACGGAACCTTTGGCAGAATGCTGCACGCTACATCTTCTGTTCACCTTTGGGGATTTATAATGCAGCAGCTTACCAGTGACTCAGAAGAGGCCCTCAGTGAGAAGCCCATTTCCAATGTCCTTTAACTTAAGATTTCTCAGACATATTTGACCATGGGGCAAGGTTCTTTTTAAACATAATACCTATTAATATTTCATAGTGGAAACATTAAGAAATGCCATCATAAACTGGGCGCAGTGGCACACACCTGTAATTCCAGCTACTCTCAAGGCTGAGGTAGGAGGATTGCTTGAGGCTCGGAGTTCAAGGCTAGCCTCAGCAACATAGCAAGACTCTGTCTCTAAAAATAAAAAATAATTTAGAAAAAGAAATGTCATTATGGGTTTTCCTAGATTAAGATGGGTGGAGGGCTTTTGAAGGAGTAGAACAGAGAAAACTGGAATCACTGAAAAAAAATGAAGCAGCCAGGATGAATGCTTATACAAAATCTGCATGTATAAACAGATTCATTCCTTTAAATATATGCATTTTCAAAGCACGTTCACTCCTGATGCCTTTTATTCTCACAAGTGTGAGGCAGGTGGTGTTGGGGCTCAGAAACTAGTAACCCTAGTAACCCAAAATACATGCTGATATGCTGAACTGAGGAAGCCTCAAGGACTCTCACCTTAACCCCCTCCGCAACGGTCTCCACCAAGGAAGCTGAATTCCTTTATCTGCGTAAGATCCAGACCCACCAAGGAGAACAAGTATCTTTCCTTCCCCTCCCTGTTATCTCATTTTCTGTTGCAGAAAAGAGGACCAAGATGTGACCACACCTGAACGCACCCTTTTAGGAATATAATGACTATCTCCAAGGGTCATTTAAATACCAGACAGAACTATTTACAAGTTAATCTTCTTTCCTGGATTCAGTCAGTCTCCCTAGCAATTATTTATTACAGCCCAATAGAATTCCTCCTCTCTCCACTGCCATAAGCTGTTTTATCAGGATCCAAGCCCCCTTTTTGGAACTATCCCCACAGGGTTGACAATAATTGCATTACAAGTTCTAGGCCGGGCAAGGTGGCTCACACCTGTAATCCCAGCACTTTGGGAGGCCGAGGCAGGCAGATGATGAGGTCAGGAGATCCAGACCATCCTGGCTAACACGGTGAAACCTTATCTCTACTAAAAATACAAAAAGATTAGCGGGCGTGGTGGCGGGCACCTGTAGTCCCAGCTGCTGGGGAGGCTGAGGCAGGAGAATGGCGTGAACCTGGGAGGCGGAGTTTGCAGTGAGCAGAGATTGCGCCACTGCACTCCAGCCTGGGCAACAGAGCGAGACTCTGTCTCAAAAAACAAAAACAAAACAAAAAAAGAATTGCATTACAGATTCTAGACAGAAATATGGTTTTTGTCCTGCAAAAGGAAAATAAAATCTCAGGACTCCAAACTCACTATGCCTAAAGGAAATGTTAAACTTGGAAACTGAGTCATGAAAAAAAAATCTGCCTTTGCTTTTGTTCCTAAGCCAAGTTTTCCTCAGGTGGCCTCCCTTGCTTTGACAATGTAAATTAACAGTTTATCCTCATGGGTACGGGATAAGATGAGACTAGAAATTGTCCCTCCTCCCATTCCCTGACCAATGCATATTTGACTTATTCCTCAACTCTAGGTTGACTTTATCTGATGTAAAGTGCAGATTTACTGAGCATAAGCCGAATGCATAATTGACTCTTCCTCTACCCCATGCTTTTCACAGGCAATGTGTGGCTTCAGTGAGCACTAATCAAATCCTCATGAGAATGTGACCATACCCTCCCTCTTTTATTTTCTTTCCTCCTTCCCTTCCTGCCTTGTTTTTTCCCCCTTCAAATGTTGTAAACTTCAAAACTCTCTTTGGAAAATGTATGGGCCATAGATCCTACTGTGGCTTGTGTCTCTTTTTCCTGGATGTGTCCTCAACCTCGGCAAAGTAAACCTCTAAATTGATTGAGACCTGTTTCCGATACTTTTTTTTTGGTTTACTGCCGCTACACTGGAAAATAGTTTCATCAACGAAATAGCATCGTCCTCAGCACAGATGGTAAGTGCTGTCTGCTTGAAGAATGCCTCGCTTATTCATTTGAGGTGGTGGTGACCAAGTGCAGTCAAAGCCTTGATCTGATTTGATTTAAGCAGCTAGAAATAATCATGGCTGTCCTTCACGGCAACTAGAGGGGAGATTGTAATTAGCAGGATCTTTGTGTTTAGGAAGACCCACCTCAACTTTGAGGCTATTCTGTCTCCACTATTAAAATACCAAAACTAGAATGAACTGCTGGCTGTGCCACACACAAGCATGGCAAATTTAATATAGATCAAAAGGGATGAATTGTCCCCAGCCACATCTGGCTATGGAAGACGTGGCTATGAAAACCAGACATGATTCAGCATCTGTTGTTATGACAGAAGCTCTCCTAAGGAAATTTTGATGAGTAGTTGAGCTGTGGTGAACTGGCCCCAAATCTACTCCCTTTGAATTCATACAGAGCTCAAGGTTGGAAAAGAACCTAAATTAGCTCCTAAATTAGTAAAATCAAGCATTTTTATCATTGTATACACAGATTCTAAATGGAAACACATAAACTGAATAAGACAACTTGATAAAGGCAAGAAAGTAAATGTTACCTTTAACTCAGAGGATGAATATCATGTTTTTGGAGCCCAGGTATAAGAGCTGCATCTCAGGGACGACATTATGACAATAAAGAGTATTTATTTCAGACAAAAATTACATGACCTGTTTCACAGCCACATTTCACCAATTGTGTTGATTGTCGAACTTTTCTCCTTTGAACACATCTGTGGTTCATTGTTCTCCTGTATTATTCTCTTGTCAGCTTAACATTTTCCATTTCTTCTAATATTTCATCCAATTTTAGAGGCCTTTTGATATGGTTAGGCTTTGTGTCCCTACCCAAATCTCATCTTGAATTGTAATCCCCAGGTGTTTAAGGGAGAGACCTGGTGGGAAGTGATTGGATTAAGGTGGCAGTTTCCCCCATGTTGTTCTTGTGATAGTGAGTGAGTGCTCATGAGATCTGATGGATTTAAAAGGCAGTTTTTCCAGCTCTCACTAGCACTCTGTCTCCTACTGCCATGTGAAAAGGTCCAAGTTTGCTTCCCCTTCGCCTTCTGCCATGATTGTAAGTTTCCTGAGGCCTCCCAGGCCATGCGGAACAGAGTCAATTAAACCTCTTTCCTTTATAAATTACCCAGTCTCAGGTAGTATCTTTATAGCAGTGCAAAAACAGACTAATACACCTTTCAATGCAGATGGCTTTATATAAGCTAGTGTTAACCTGCATTTTTATTACTTGGTTTGGAAAAACATAATCCCATCCAATTATTGTACCTGAATGCTTTCTGGCCACTTACTCCCTCCTGAAATCATCCTTGCTCTTCAAAGCATCCTTCCATCTCACTTCTTCCTCTGGAATTCATAGAGAACCAAAATGGTTCTATTAATATATTTGTATGTGCTTTTTGTGGAAAGTATTCTTAACCCCTGATAAAGGGACATGTACAACAATAGTTGTTGCAATTTCACAAACACATTCAGATGGAAAAAAAAAAAAAAACCATCCGTAGGCAGGTAAAGCTATTGTAACAATGAAAAGGAGGCCTAGCGTGAGTAACTTTTTCTCCTAACCCCCCTGCACGCAGTGATGTCTTTTAGGTTCATTGCTTTTACTTATCTCTACATGTATATTAAGGTAACTATGGGAAGAATTTAGTTTATAGTTTAACTTTTTAAAGAAAAGATAGTAATAGTCTTTTTTCCAACATTAACCCCCTGAGGACATAAGAAAATATGTACACAATTAATGATGCCAAAGATTTATAGGAACACGGTGACCTGACTGACATTATCTGAAGTCAACTGACCAAGAATAAAGAAGCTTTACAACCTCCTCGGACCCTTGCTGCTACCCAGATGTCTGTGGTTATTGGTCCCCTCTTGGTCTCAATCCCCTCCCTCTTCTGCCTTCTACTAACGTAAAAGGAGCCTAAAATTCTATTAACTTGAGATGGTTCTTTAGGACACTAGTCTGCCATCTCCTTGCTTCGCTGCTCTATGAATAAAGTTACCTTTCTTGCCCCAGCACCTTGTTTCTGTACTTATTGGCTGCTGCACAGTGTACTGTAGGAGCTTGGATTGGGCTACACTAAGAGGGAGATAAGCAGATGAAGGGTAAAGTCCAGAATGGGGAAATTGAACATAACTGAAAAAAAATGCACCATCCTTAGCTTCCCGAGGCTCACAATGGTATGCAGGGCTCAGTTTGAGTGTGTTGATGGGAAGCAGTTGCTTGGCTGTGAAAAACGGAAACAATCTTTGGTCATGCTCATTCCCATCCTCAGTCCTGGATTTGGCTGCTATGTGCATGATCCGTCATGGCAGTGATGGTGGAAGAGACAGGGAGGGATACTTGATCTGTAAGAGCACGGTTTGCCTTTTCTCTGAATTGGTCCTTCCCAGCGACTCACAGTGGCAAGCAACGGGCTGGATAATGGGGTTTTCTTTACACAGAAGCGAAGTCTGATCTCACCACCCGTAATGCTTCACCATTACCTAAAGTAGATTATTTCTGCTGAATTCACCACTGAACTGTGAACCTTAAAGATAACCAAAAATATTTCACTCCAAAACATCCTACTTTGACATCTTTCGAAATGGTTATTCAAAAAAACGTGTGTGGTGAAACAACCAGCCAGGCTTTCTCTGCATGCCACCCCTTGTCCAAATCTAGGAAAGATTAACTCCAACTCAGGTAACCCTCCATTCTCTCCCAGGGCAGCTCTGACATTACCTGAGACACTTCATCTGCATAACAAGATAGCTTTGGTTTGCTAGGCTTTCCTCCCTTCATCCTCCGATAACCTGTGATGCCACCTCCCCCAGAGCCCAGGGAAACTTGGTCCCATGACATTGTTCTTTAGCTCTTTCATTTTCCCTGAAAATATTCACTCCTATAAGCCCCCATATTCCCTCTCCCCAATGAAGAGGATGTTTAAGTGACAACCATCTTGTCTTTCTTTATGTTTCTATACTTTTTATGCTTCCCATGCACACATGTGCATGTTAATAAATTTGTATGCCTTTCTTCCTATTAACCTGTCTATTATCAGTTTGTTTTATAGACTCAAATGATCGAATTTTCAGGGGAAAAATTTAAACTTCCTTACAACCACAACTGCAACAATGACTATGAAGCTAACATTTTCTACACCATAAAATCCGTATGAAAATCTTTGACTTGCAAGTATTTAGCATTTGCTTGAGTGAACCACATAAATCTCAGCCATAAGGATAATCTCTCAGAGCATCATCAGAAAGATAATGGTGGGTTACAATGAAGATGCAGCATCCGACTAAGGTTTCACAATAAAATGTAAAACATTCAGAGATAGCCCTTCATGCAATGAGAGTGCTGAATAATAACAATGATCTCATTTAAATTTATGTATCGGATAATGAAATGAAATGGCCCCATCATTTCCAGAGGAATCTGTAGAAATCACTGGTTTCATTATTTCATGTCCTGTGCTCTAGAGCTCACCTGGCGTGTAAATGGTCTCATTTATATCCTGTGTTCCTTCCACATCCCTTACACTCTCATCGCCATAGTCACTAATGTACTTTAATGAGAGCAAAGCATGGGGAGACTCAAATGAACCAATAAAAATAGAAGGGATAAAGTATTATTAGGTGGAATGAATACAAAACTAAACTTATGCTATGTGAAGTGCTGTTGATTTTATTGATGCAGGCTTACAAAGGCATGCCAAATTCATGCTTTAGCTGCCCATGAATAATGGCAATAGCAAATCATTTTCTCTAATAAGACATCACTACCATCTTTTCTTCAGGGTCCAAGTTTCCAAATTAATAACCATTTTTATTAATTTTCTTGGATGAAGCGACTACAGTTAGAAATAGTTTCTCCCTCCGGTCCCCATTTATTTCCTACACACAGACTTATGAAGTCAGACATAATTCTAACATTGTTATATAATCAGATTTATCTGTCTGGCAGTGGCAGAGTTTGGGGGCATTTTTTTTTTTTTTTTTTTTTTTTACCAATTTACATGCAAGCTTTAAAAGGGGAAAATTTAAATTTTTAAATGAGGCATAAAAGTGGAAGCAAAAGTTAGTTTCAGTAAACAGCAGAGAGCTGAAAAAAAGTGAAAAATTGGTTTCCTTAAGGGGAATACAGTAAACGACAGGAAACAAGAGGAGAGGAAGACGTGAGAGGAGAGAGCGATGGAGAGGCCTCCTGTTAGCCAGCTCAGATGGCACCTCCTTAAGACCTGCTGCACAAGAAGCACTTTCCTACATGTTTCCAGGAAGCATAGGTGACAAGAGTAGCTTACAGGTGCCTCTGCACTCCACAGGTGGGACACATGATGGAAGCACCAGGCAGATAGACTCATTTTTCTTAATACTAAATGCTGTGTCCAAAGGCTTGCTGGAGAGGAGACTGTCCGTGGGCTCCTGTTTTCACTTTTCAATTCCAGAGTTGATGGCAAAAATCTCAGTTTGGAAATGATGAAGAAAGAACCAACCTTTTGCTGTATTCTCCACACCTCCTGCCATCATCACCAGAGTCTCTGTCTATATAAGAACAGTAATTCTTATTCATTGAACATTTAAAATATGCCGAGAACAATACAAGGCTTCATAGACATTGTCTTATTGTATCTTCACAATGACCATGTGAAGGAGGCATTGTACATCCTGGTTTTCAAATGAGGAAGCCAAAAGGCTCAGGTCTGTCCAGGTTCTAACCACTGTGCCCAGTGCCTCCCCAGCACACATCCTAGCTTTACAGGTTCCCATGGGCTCAAAACTGGACTAACATGGTATGGTGGAAGGTGTTAATGAGTGGAAAACCCATTTGGCATAATCCTGAAAATGTTATTGAATGCCTCTGATTCTAAATACTTGTATCTATGAATAGGAAGAATTATATCCACCTAGTTTAGCAAATTGCACTAAGGATTAAATGAAATATTGTTGGTAAAAGCACTCAGTCCACATGAGCTCAACACATGTTCCTCTCCTGGTTCAGGGACAGTCTCCACTCTGCCTCAGCAACTGCCTGTGGCCACTGAGCTCTGCCCCAGTTCAAACGGCATCCTCTGAAAAGCCCTTCCCTAGCCATAGTCCAGGCGCACATGACACTTCCCCAAATCCACTCTTCAGCCTTGTGTGGCAAGAGCCTCCCGGCCAACACCTGGTGCTCCTCTCTCTGGCTTCTCAAACTCAGCATGGACGCCTGCTAATTCATTACCAGTGCAGATGCCTTTGTTGTTTTGTCTCTGTGTCCTAAGTTCCCTCTGAACCTAAAATGGTGTAGACCCTCTCAAAATGCAAAACTGGAAAAATGTGGGCCTTGCAGCCCGAGCCCAGACCTGCTGAACCAGATCGCTCTATGTTGGACTTGAGAATCCAAATTTTAACAGGCTTCCCCCAGTGAGCCATGGATTCCTGAAGTCACAGGATAAAACACACTGACCTTAAAAAGAAGAGGCTGACATGTCCTTTCCAGTGTTAGGTGTTAAAGAAGTTTCTGGGGATTGTACTGTTAGGCAGATGTTTTGCTGTGATGTTAAGTATCATAATCATAACAATGTAACTACATGAACAAATAACAACAGTGATGCTTTTTATTGTAGTAGGAAGTTAGAAAATAAACAGAAAGTAGGCTGAATGTGGCAATTACCAGATAATAGGGTCAGCCAGAAAAGAAATTCAATCAAATGTTTCCAAATACTCTCCTCCAGAGAGAGAGCGAGAGAGAGATTGCTGTAAAATTCCAATTTCTAAATACTCTAGCAGAGTAGCATGTGACAATGGATATATAACGTATCATCTCACAGAATAAAAAGAACTTGCATTAAAACAACCAGACTTCAGATCCACCAACTAAATAGAATTTCCCTCCTCACAAGATGGGATTGCTGAACACCCCTGATTGTAGTTGTTATTTCTTCCAAGTTTTTATTACAAAAATATTCAAATATACAAAAGAGTTGGAAGGCAAGTATAATGAACGCCAAAGTACTCTTCATCTAGAGTCAATCCTTGTTAAAATCCTACCATGGTTGCCGTATCTCTAAATATATGTGTGTTTGTTGTGTGTGCATTTGTGTACATTGAGTCATCTGAAATTATGTTCCAACACTTGAGCTCCAAATACTTCTTAGCATGCAAGAATAATTCTTAGCATGGAAGGTAATTCTCTAAATCATTTCTCTAAAATCATTTAATCATTTAGAGAATCATTAAATTCTCTAAAATCATTAAATATACATTCTATTTTCAAATGTTCCAAATTATATCCTTTATTTTTAGTTGTTTTTTTCTTTGAATCCCCCAAAAGGATCCAATCAAAGGTCATGCATCAGTTGCGTCACAAGCCTCTTTAGTCTTGTAATCTAGAACCTACAATAGTCCCCGCATTTATGTCACAACATGGACTCTGTGAAGAGTCCAGGACCATTGTCTTGTAGCATATTCCACATTCTGGATTTGTCATGTTCATTCCTCATTCCTGTATCCTTTATTTTTCCCATAAACTGTAAATTATGCCTGGAGACTTAATACTTCCAGATTAAACATTTTGGAAAAAAATACCGCACAGGTGATGGAGGTGCTTCCTATGGCATTACATCAGGAAGTACATAATTTCAGATTTTCCCTTCCTAGGTCAAGCTACATGTGATCATTTGGTTAGAGTGGTGACTGCTTACTCTGTGAACTTAAACATTAGATTTTCCTCTTTGAAGTTGTAAAAGAATTGAAGAGGTGATACTTTGTCACTACGTAAATATTCTATTCCCCCAAAATCTTTTGTATTTTTTGAGACGGGGTCTCACTCTGTTGTCCAGATTGTAGTGTAGTGACAAGACCTCAGCTCACTGCAACCTCTGCCTCCTAGGCACAAGCGATCCTCCCACCTCAGCCTCTCAAGTAGCTGGGACTACAGGCACGCACCATCATGCCTGGCTAATTAAAAAAAATTTTTTTTTTGTAGAGATGAGGTCCCACTATATTGGCCAGGCTGGTCTCCAACTCCTGAGCTCAAGCAATCCTCTCACCTTAGCCTCCGAAAGTGCTGGGATTACATACAGTTTTTAGCCACTGGGCCCAGTCCCTCCAAAATCTTTCACAGAACAATTTCAACCTTCATTGAAAATTCTCGCAGTATCAGTCATTACATTTGGGGTTGCAAAATGTTTATTTTCACATTCTATTATCCTTTCTGCTTTTATTATGTGACATTCTTTTATAAAGAAGGGCTTCCCTTTTTCTCTTTTTGTCGAAATATCACTCTAAATTCATGAATTTTCATTCAGTCAGTATGTGTTTTAGTTATTAATATTATGGCTGTGTAAAAATTATCTCAATGAATAAACAAAACACCGTGGATACATACGAGGGAATATTATTCAGCTTTAAACAAAAAAAAAGGACATTCTGACACATGGTACAACAGAGATAAACCTTGAAGACATGGTGCTCAGTTATATAAGCCAGTCACAAAAAGACAAATACTGTGAGACTCCATGTATACCAGGTACGTAGAGTGGTCAAATTCATAGAGACAGGAAGTAGAAAGGCGGTTGCCAGAAGCTGGTGGGAGGGGAAAAGGGAAGTGAGTGTTTAATGTGTACAGAGTTTCAGTTTGGCAAGACTGAAAGAGCTCTGTGAATGGATGGTGGCGATGGTTGCACCACAGTGTGAATGTACTGGCTGCCACTAAACTGCATGCACACTTAAAAATCGTCAATTTTATGCTGTATGTATTTTTACCACAATTTCAAAATATAATAAAATAAATAGAATCATCTCCAAATACAGTAGCATAAAACTACGGTTTATTGTATTTGCCATTCCTGTGGATCAGGAATTTGAATAAGGGACAGAGGGTGGCCTATCTCTGCTCATCCTCAGCCTTCAGCCAGAAGGTTGGAAGGACAGAGCGGGAATGACCTGCAGTTGATTCTGGGGGTACGGGGGGACCCAGTTACTTGCTCCTTCGTATCCTCTGCATGTGTTCTCTCTAGATGTGCTCGTTTTGGTTTCTTCACACCATGGGTGTCAAGGCCAAGCTTTCTCAGAGAGAGAGAGAGCGAGAGACAGAAGTTTTAATTTTTATGACCTCATCTCAGAAGTCACATAGAATCACTGCTATACTCTCTAGGCTGCAGTAGCCACAGGCACAGGTCTGGATTCAAGGCAGACACATAGCGCCTTCATCTCTGTAGGAGGAATTTTAGTCACATTGTACCAAGAGCACAGAACATATGGGATCTCAGGCACACCACCCCCCCTGCACCACCCCCGCCCCCACCAACACACACACATAGAAAGCCATCATAGAAAATACTTGCTGCCCATAAGGTGCAACTATCAATTACATTCATTATTCTGCGTTGCTCAGATTGTCCCAATCCTGCCAGTGTGAGCCATTTCAAGTACGGTGTTCATATCCTCTTTTCATCACTCTATGAGTCTTTGTGGCTTCCTCGCCTTCTGGCTCCACAGGGCATCTCAGGCTCATTTTGTTCTTTTCCTGTCCAAGCTGGTCTCAGCATTTCTCGAGGAAGCCTGGTTCTCTTGATGTGGGAAATCTAGGGACTGTGTGTGTTCCCTGCTATTGAGACGTCATTGCTTCTAACCCCTTTCAGTAGACAGAGCCAGGAATATCTTTTTCAAACCATGAATTCATACTTGCGGTATTTGCAATTAAAGTTTAATACCATAGGCCAGGTGCAGTGACTTACACCTGTAATCCCAACACTTTGGGAGGCTGAGGTGGGAGGATCACTTGGGCCCAAGGGTTTGAGACCAGCCCAGGCAACATGCTGAGACTTCATATCTAAAAAAGATACAATTTTTAAAAATTAATATTATAAATCTTTTTCCTACCTTCTTTGTTTTTTAATCTTACAGTAAAATCCTGGTTCCTAATAATGTTAATATATTTATTTATTTGCTTTATCCTACAGTCCACATTAAATAATTCAGAATTACAATGCCAATATTATTAACAATAAACTATCAAATGAGCTTTAAAATTTATTTTTAGTATTCATTGTCTTTAGAATATGTCCTGCTAAATATATTTAGCCAGAGAACTATATTTAAGGATTCTTTAAAATAAGTTTTTCCCAATATAGTCAGGTTATCAATTTGATATAGGTTTAGATTTATTTGTTTCAGTTTGTGTTCAACATTAGGGTTTATTTTATTCTCTCTGATTTAACTTTTTGGAGATTTCACATATGTATGAACATCCATAGACACGCACACACACACACACACACACAGAGACACACACACGGACACTACACACACACACACACACACCTCTAGTTCAAAAGTTAAGTTTATCTTTAAAAGTATTCTCAGAGATGTGTCTCTGCCAATCCTGTCCCCTTTGCTCTTTTGCCTTCCATACTCCATAGGTAACCATTTTCTTATGTCTCTTGTTATTGTCTTAGAGTATCTCTTATTTTCTTCATATGCGATAGTGAGCTCACACAATTGACTGCCCTACATTTCGCCATGACCTGGAAGAATGCACTAGGATGGCAGCCTCACATGACGGAGGAATGCTGGCCCCCAATCCACTCTAGGGAGCAATTCCCTGGACACTATTGGGCATTTTGTGAGCCTTGCTTTCAACCTGTGTGGTGCTCTGCCATGAGATTTCAGAGCTTGGTACTGCAGTGGAACCCATCTTACCCTGACCCTCTTTCCAATTCCCACTGCCACTGAGGTTACCTTAGAAAAGCATCCCTAGCACAGCAGCTGGCACATAGTCCATCCCTGCTCCAGTCCTCTCACAGACGCTGTGAAATCCCTCATTGTTTCTTTTCTGGGCTGCTGAACTAGCTTCCTAGCAAGTTTTGATTCCTGTTCTCCTACCTATTAATACAACCTTTATTTTCCCAAACGTAAGTGTAGTGAAGGGCTTACTCTCTCTCCCAATGCCATTTTCATAGTACGTATCACTCCCTGACTCTCATCCCAAAGCCCCCCTACTCTCATCCACCCATCCAAAGCCTGGTCACCCCCTGTCCTCTCTCCCACTTACTCATTGATCACATCAGCTCTGGGTCCACCACCTTCCTTGCCACCCACAATTACGCCATCAGCCTGGGTCCCTCACCATTCTCATGGATGACCCATCTGGTGTGGTCTGGGTGTTTTGTCCCCTCCAAATCCCATGTTAAATGTGACTCCCAAAGTTGGAGGTGAAGACTGGTGGGAGATGTTTGTGTCATGAGGGTGGATACCTCATAAATGGCTTGGTGCCCTCCCCATGGTAAGAAGTGAGTTCTTGCTCTGTGAGTTCATGTGGGAGCTGGTTGTTTAAAGGAGGCTGGCTCTTCCTCCCTTCTCTCTTATTCCTGCTCCTGCCACGTGATGGCTGGCTCCCCCTTTGCCTTCCACCATGATTGTAAATTTCCTGATGCCTCACCAGAGGCAGATACCGGCGCCATAATTCCTGTACAACCTGCCAAACCGTGAGCCAATCAAACATCTTTTCTTTATAAATTACCCAGTCTCAGATATTTCTTTACGGTAATGCAATGACTGCCTAACACACCATCTAAAACTCAGCCTCTTTGTTTCTTGACCTCCAGATCCTAATAATTTTTATTTTCTCTCCACTACCCATTTACGTTTAAGAAAGCACTAAACATCACAATTAAAAGTTTAAATGCTATACCAATGAACTCAAGTATCTACTAGAGTCTTCTTAGCTGATCAATAGGATGCATATTATTCATATTCTTATTCAGTGTACGTAAGAAATTCGTTACGTGAGTTTGAAGGTATGACAAGTAAACTTTTTGATTCTTTATAAAGGCTCATGCATCTGGAAAGAGCTGATCCCGGAAGCTTGATTGGCTGATTTACACAGAGCTAATGGAGCACACTTATGAGTAATGAATAATGGTGGGTGCAAGCTTGGAGACCAATGCTTCCACCATGCTCAATGGCTGCATGAGACAGGGAGCAGGTCTAAGAAGGGAGTGGGATGTCTGGAGGGAGTCTGGGGCCCTGTGGGTTGGCCAAAGCACACAAGAAAGGCAGAATAGACACAGTAGCCATGGAAAAGAAATAAAGAATCTCCAGGAGGAAGCATGTCCAATCAAGGTGTCTTCATGTGAAACGCTTTATGCTATGTTAGTCCTCTTCACTCTCTCCCCAACACAGTCTTCAGTGACTTCTTCATTTTCACCAGAGCTCTTGTACAGAGGGAATGCTGTGGACTAAATATTTGTGTCTCCCCAAAATGTATATGTTGAAATCCTAACCGCCAAGGAGGTAGTATTGGGAGGTGGGGCCCTTATTAAAGCTTTTATAGTGCCCTTATATAAGCTCCCTTGCCCCTTCGGCCATGTGAGAACACAGCAAGAAGGCACCATCTATGATGCAAGAAGCCCTCACCAGACACTGAATCTGCTGGCACCTTGATCTAGGACTCCCGAGCTCCAGAACTGTGAGTAATAAATTTCTGTTGTTTATTAGCCATTCAATTCAAGGTAAGTTGTTATAGTAGCTCAAACAGACTAAGACAGACAGTTTTGGAAGAGCTCAATGAACAGGTCTAGGGGACAGCTGACATGAGTTATGAGCCTAATGGAGTTTACAATGTCTATTAATAGTTGTTAAATAATTAATTAAGGACCACTGATGGAGTACCAAACCCCAGCCTGTCATGAGGTACTCACCTGTCTAGGTAGCCTGCTGCCTGCCCTATCACACCCCTGGAACCTCTTTTTTTTTTTTTTTTTTTTTTTTTTTTGAGACGGAGTTTTGTTCTTGTCGCCCAGGCTGGAGTGCAGTGGCACAATCCCGGCTCACTGCAAAGGCCACCTCCCAGGTTCAAGTGATTCTCCTCCCTAAGCCTCCTGAGTAGCTGGGATTACAGGCACACGCCACCATACCCAGCTAATTTTTGTATTTTTAGTAGAGACGGAGTTTCGCCATGTCAGCCAGACTGGTCTCAAATTCCTGACCTCAGGTGGTTCACCCACCTCAGCCTCCCAAAGTGCTGGGATTACAGGCTTGAGCCACTGCGCCCGGCTGCTGGAACCTCTTTGTAGAGAACAACTTGCAAGTCCAGTAGACATAGTTTGCATTTCACCTTGGCAACATGTGATACTGTAGCTCATGCCCCCCTTGTTGAAATATTATCTTCCTTGCTTCCTTAAATCTCTTCATCAGTCCCAGTTCCATGTAAGAAAACAGAAAGTCTAGGATTTCAAGAAGAAAAAAAAAATTTAATCCAAGAAATTACTTGCATAACAGAAATCACTGGATGAACTACAGAAGCAGAGGTCAGTGGACTTCTGCTGAGATCAGAGCTTAGAGGCATGTCAATAAAGCAGGATCCAGAGGCAGGGAGGCTGCTGCTGTGGCCACACTGTGCCCTCCACACCCACTTCTCTGTTTGTACAGTAGCTGGTGACAACCCACCAGAATGCTGAGTCCAGCCATCACAACCGCCCTAGCACCCAGGGCTTTGCAGCTCATGCCAGCAGTACCAGCAGGAGGAAGGTGGCCTCTGCCTTCCTGCAGCTGTCCATATCCACCTAACTGCAGAAGCTAATTATGATTTCAGGCCTTAGTTGCAAGGGCATCTGGAAGATGTTTCTGCTGCTTGTTTACGTATGTTCCAATGGCTAACACTGGAGAAAGGCTGACGTGCCAGTGGAGTGCCGGTCCACTGTGTCTGCCCAACTCACTGCGTGTTCTTCCTGCTTCCAGGATCACAGCCCTTCCTCCAGTCTTGGTTCCTCACAGGCATCTTGAACCCATTTCATGGTCTACATATTTGTTGGGCTATCTTATTCTCTTTCTTGTTTCCAACTCCCATCTACTTGCTAACATATCTCAAGCCAAGGTTGCTACCACAGATCCATCCCTGAATGTCTCACTGAAATCTCCCCTAGGACGTCTCAAAAACTTCAAGCTCTGTGTGCCAAGAGCTAAACAGATCACATGCCCCCAGATAAACATACCTTTGCCTTGGCCCCTAAGTCGGGCCACAGCATTGCCATTTATCCCATTGCAAAGGCAGGACCCTTTGCACCTGGTTTTAATTGTTTTTTCCCTCTCATGCCCAGACCAATTGCTATGAACTCCACCTGTATTGAAGCCATTCCACTCCACTGCATCAGTCTCCCTCAGACACATGCTCCATATCATGGCCAATGTCTGAAATGCAGGAGCTGAAACTGTGTCATTTTCCTCCTTAAAATCAAAGCTGGGCTAGATGCGGTGGCTCACACCTGTAATCCCAACACTTCGGGAGGCCGAGGCAAGTGGATCACCTAAAGTCAGGAATTCAAAACCAGCCTGGTCAAAATGGCAAAAACCCGTCTCTAGTAAAAATACAACAGCAACAACAACCACAAAATAGCCGGACGTGGTGGCAGGCACCTGTAATCTCAGCTACTCGGGAGGCTGAGGCAGGAGAATCTCTTGAACCTGGGAGGCAGAGGTTGCAGTGAGGTGAGATCGCGCCACTGCACTCCAGCCTGGATGACAAGAGTGAAACACTGTCAAAAAAAAAAAAATGCCTTCTGAAATGAAACATAAACCTTTGCTATGACTTAAATTGCACATCATGATCTGATTCATGCTCGCCCTCTCAGCCACATTACCTGCTTCTCTCCCATTGTTTCACCCTGAACCTTAATAAGCTGTCTTCAGCTTCCCAAATGCACGAAGCTCTCTCCCACCAACATAGTTTTGCACATTCTCCTCCGTCTACCCTGACTTGTTTTCCTAACTTCGCCCACCTGTTTCCTGACATCCTTGAGTGTCAGCTTAGCTGTCCCTAGGAAGCATTTCTCAAGCTGGCAGATCTGAGTAGGTGGACCTTTAATATCCTCCCAGGAGCCTGGTCCTGATGCCTGTATTATCTGGGGACTTGAAATTCAGAGACAGCAAGAACAGTCCTGCGGAGTTGACAATGCCTGGCCCACAAGAAACCTCTCCGAAGAATGCCATTTCTCAGAACCTGTTGATGGCCCAGCATTTCCTGCCAGTTAAATCCTGTATTCCAGAGCCTTCCTATGGTAACAACTGTGCAGCCTACAGCCGTCTGTCTTGGCTCTGCAGCTGCCCTCCCTGTGAAGAGCTAGCCCTTTCCTCGGTGCCTGAGAGTGCATCGCACCTTCTCGCATCTGTGTTTTCATTGATACACTCTTTTTCTGGGATTTCCTACCTTCTCTTTTCAGGCTGCCAGAACCCTTCTCAGTCTTTGAATCCTGCACCAAGCAAACCTCTTCCATGAAGCTTTTCCTCATCCCCTAGGCAGGGCTTGGTTCTTCCTGTCTTTGGGCTCATTGGTACTTTGTTTTACCTTCTCTGAGGCCCACTGAACTCTACCACAACACTGGCTTTTCCTCCCACCTAGACTGAAAGACAAAAGCTCTCAGGTGTGGGCCGGGCGCGGTGGCTCACGCCTGTAATCCCAGCACTTTGGGAGGCCAAGGCGGGCAGATAATGAGATCAGGAGATCGAGACCATCCTGGCTAACATGGTGAAATCCCATCTCTACTAAAAAAAATACTCAAAAAAGTTAGCCGGGCGTGGTGGCGGGCACCTGTAGTCCCAGCTACTCGGGAGGTTGAGGCAGGAGAATGGCGTGAACCCGGGAGGCAGAGCTTGCAGTGAGCCGAGATCGCACCACTGTACTCCAGCCTGGGTGACAGAGTATCAAAAAAAAAAAAAAAAAGTGTACAGGTATGGTGTCTGACGAATCCCTGTGTTTCATGGAGCAGACGGTCGCATGAGCCACTTAGTAAAGACTGAAGGTCATTCTTTTTAAATATCCTAAAAAGCAAGGAAACTGCTCTTCTGACTATCAAAGAAGAAAAGATGTGTCAATAAGCCACAGAATTCCTTACAGCCTTTGAAAAACTAGTCTGATTCATGTCGATGCCATGGGAGAGGACCCATTCCTCTCTAACTACTGATGTGGAGAGAAATCTCTGCTCTCACTTCTGTTCTCACCATTTTATACTTAAACAACTTCAATGGAATACCAGGATAATCACTGCATACTATTGGACAGATTTTTCTACTGAAAGAAATCTGTATGAGTAATGAAAGAAACAAGAAAAATCCTATCACATTTGTGTGTATTAGAAGGAGAGCAGTTGGAATTAATGAAAAGTCAAAATCCACATGCATGGGTTCCAACCAGCAATGTGTATTGCAAACTCACCCTGGCCCCATCAGAGGAATTGACTGTCATTTCTTCTTCACAACCTGCAGACCAGAGAAGGATATAGTTATCACTATTTTACAGGTAAAAAACCTGAGACTCACAAAAGTTAAGTAACTTGTCCAAAATTACAGTCAGTGAATGGAAGGGTCTGGATTCCAAACCAGAACGCTCATTCTTTACCATTCTGCTGTACTTTAAGAATAGACCTGTAATTAGTATGGAGCTAAAGGAAGGGGAAATTCCTGGGGGAGTTACTCTAATGAGTAGGTGAGTATGATTTGTAATTAGCATATCAAGGATTTCTAAGTAAATTAGTGTTTCCTTCTGGAAGGGGCTTGAAACTTGAAAATGGAGTTCTGTTAGGTAGGGTTACATGCTCAGCTTTCCTATAAGAAGCCTCCGAGATTAACTCTGCACCTCACTGTCTGAGTCATCTCAGGCCCTATTATGGAGGTGAGAATTAATTAGATTTGCCTATGTGTGTTTCATCAAACTAAAAGAATAAGAAGCATTAATCACCATCCTCTTTTCTATACTATCAATTTAATTAATTTGGGGCTGGTTTCCCACTGAGTGGTAAAGCTTAGTGATTTTGTGATGTTAGACTCCCAGCTTCCCTTGAGCTCTGTGGGGGTGGGGGCCACTCCCCAGGCATCTGTCTACACTGGCGTTCTACTATGTTCTGGCAATGGGAGAGCTCACTGCGGAGGCTGCAGATCACCTGCATCAGAACCCTGCTCCTGCAACTCAGAAAGATTAGTTAACCTATCTCCATCTGCCACAGTTTTTCTATCTGAAAAGAAGAATCCCAACTTTTTAGGATTGACAGAAAGATAAACAGAGTTAATTCTTACCTATAGTGCAATCTCCATAATTGGTACCTATTACTATTATTGCCAGTTCTTGTACACAGGTTGCTCAATACATGTTTTGAATTTGGGTACTACCATTAATTGAATGCTTGGGTGTCTCAAAAATTCATATGTTGAGGCCCAATCCCCAGTGGGATGGTCTTAGGAGAGGAAACCTTTGGAAGGCGATTAGGTCATGAGGATAGGTCCCTCATGAATGGGCTTAGTGCCATTATAAGAAGATGCAGGAGAGAGTTTGCTCCTCTCTGTGCCCTCCACCATGTGAGGATACAATGAGAAGATGGCCAACTGTGAACCAGGTGGTGGGCCCTCACCAGACACCGAATCTGCTGGCACCTTGATCTTGGAATTCCAGACTCCTGAACTGCAAGAAATAAATTTTGCTGTTTAAGCCATCCAGTCTCTGACATATTTATTATATCAGCTTGAGGCGACTAAGATAAACATTAACAGTAAGAAGAGAAGGAAGGCAGCAAGGGAGAGAAGGAGAAAGAAGGAAGAACAAGGCATCTGGAAATTAGTTCTTTCTGGCAAGATTTTAGTTTCACTCTGAAAACTCTTTTTTAGAGCTCAAATGGCTTACTCTCCTTAAAGCTGGGTCTCCTTAAAGAATCCATCCTTGTCCAGGGCATTATAGGGCAGCGCAAGTGTCAGCTCTCCACAATGGAGTCAGCCCAGCAGCCACTGGAGAAACCCTGAAAACAGACTTGCGCTGACCTCTAACGTGTCTATAGCACAGCCAGCCCCATCCCTGGGTCATTAGCAGGCTTCATGTTGGCACAAAAGCTGTGTAATCTGGGTAACAATAACATGAAGAAAAAAACCCGACATCCTGGGGATGATGCCAGTGATCTGGGCACTGTAATTGCTATAATTAAAAGCAAACCCAGCACTGCAGCAAAAGTAGGTCAGTCATCAGCTTGGCACAGTCTGGATGAGAGTGGAAACCAAACATTAAAAAAAAAAAAGACATGAAGGTAAACAACGTTTTATAATAGTTCAGCAAGAAATCGACTGGGATTCCGCATAGTTGTGTCTGTATATTAAAAGGTAACCTCATCAGTGCCGTGGTAGCTCAGACAATATTTCATAACTGTGGAACTTCAGAGCACAGGGGACATTTTGTTCCAGTTCTTAGTTGATGCTGACTTTGTTTAAGTAACAAACACATCGATCCAAATACAAGCTCCACTTTTTCCTTGTCAGGAGACAATTGCCTTCATATCCAGAGCAGGGATGGGTGCTTGGTGAAATCCCTGACTGCACACCCGTGAGGTTTTCTTTACAACAAATCAATCATGGAAACTGAAGCTGGCTGGAGCCACAAGTGGAAACTGGAGAAAAGGGCTTATATGTCAGGGCCCCTTCCTGTGGCTTCTCTTTTAGATGGACAAAAAGAGAAGTTTCGTGCTAGTCCTACTAGCTCTGTGCAAGGAGTAGATGTGGGACTTTGTAAATAGACAAACGGGGCTAGAATCCCAGCTCCTCCCTCTCTACTTAGCTAAACTTGAGCAAGTTAATTCCTAAAGTCTTGTTTTTCCTCACTATAAAATGTATACAATAATAAATTGAGATCATATACACATATGATATGTATACATATACACATATTACATATATATACATTCTTGTTATGCTATTGGCATCCAATCAATGGAAACCACTGATTTCAGCGCTTTGCTCACATTTTTCCAGGGGATGTCTCCTACCTGCTCTAATGGCCCCCTACCTGCACAAGCCCAACTGGGCCTGGGTCTCAGGAGCAAGAAAAGCCCGTTATGCTTGAGACAAGAAGAAACAAAAAGCGAGCCCAGATTCTTTACCTGCACCATTGTCAGAACGTACTGAGAGAAAGAACACCAGAGTGGAGCTGTTGCCATGCCAGCAAGCAGGCATGTCACTCAAATGCACCCACACAGCTCCCCAAGCTGACACGACCCCTGAGTCAAATTTCTTCATCCCCTCCACCTGCCTGTCTATGAAAATGTTTTGTCTTAAAGTATATTCCCCCTGGAGGAATGAAACACCTTTTATTGGGTGTCAAATGCCCCTCTCTGGTGTCTAGCATGGCTTTTGCTTTGTTTTCTGCCTCTTCCAGGCACTTAGGAGGGACAGGAGCTGTGTCCTCTGCCATCTGCCCCACCACAGAATAGGGCAGGGTGGGCGTGAGGGTCAGAGATGCTCAGGAGCTTCCTGGGACTCATTTTGGTGACAAGAGGGGAGAAAGCAACTGACCCCAGGCACTTAAAAATGTCCCACGCATCTCTATAGCTCCATGCTGTACTTTTCCCCTGCTGGAACCAGACAGGCTGGACATCTCAGTCCCAAGAGGTATTCCCCACAGCCCAACACACCGGCTGTGGCAGATTACAGTCAGAGTGCCTCTTCAGGCCTGACCTTGACCCATCCCTCCTCACTGGGAAGGGCCTCCCTACAGGAACTCCAGCAACTCCAGCCAGGGGCTCAGAGACAGAACTCTGAGCTCCCTGGGCCTGAGCCCCTAGTGGGCATGGTGGCTGTAGTCTCCACAAACCAGCAGACTTAGTCTTTCCTCCTGCTAGTTCCGAGGAATCTGGGCAGTGCAAAAGAGTGGGTTTCCCCCCAGCATAGCCACCCCCTCCATCAAGGGGCAGCCAAAGTGCTTTGTTAAACTGGTCCTGCTCCCCTTGCCACCCAACTGGGTGAGATCCTCCAACAGGAGTTGTCAGACACCCTATACAGGAGCATTCCTGCTGGCATCAAGTTGGTGCCCCTTGAGGTCAGAAATCCCAGATGAAGGAGCAAGCAGCCATCTTTGCTATTCTTCAGCCTCCTTGAGTGTCATCTCCAGGTGCAGGAGTGAACCAGATGAATAGGGCCTGAAGGGAACCCCCAGCAAACCACAGCAATCCTACAGAAGAGAGATCTGACTATTGAAAGAAAAACAAACAAACAGAAAGCAACAACAACAGTGTCAACAAAAAAGTCCCCACAAAACCTCATCTAAGGATCAGCAGCCTCAAAGTTCAAAACTAGATAAACCCATGAAGATGAGAAAGAATCAATGAAAAAAAATGCTGAAAACCCAAAAGGCCAGAGTGCCTCTTCTCCTCCAAATGATTGCACCACCTCTCCAGCAAGGGCACAGAATTGAACAGAGAATGAGATGGATGAATTTACAGACATAGGCTTCAGAAGATGGATAATAAAAAACTCTGCTGCAGTAAAGGAGCGTGTTCTAACTCAATGCAAAGAAGCTAAGAACCTTGATACAAGGTTACAGGAGCAGCTAACTATAATAACCAGCTTAGAGAGGAACATAAATGATCTGATGGAGCTGAAAAACCCAGCATGAGAACTTTGTGAAACATACACAAGTATCAATAGCTAAATCAATCAAGCAGAAGAAAGAATATTGGAGATTGAAGACCATCTTGCTGAAATAAGCAGGCAAACAGGATTAGAGAAAAAAGAATGAAAAGGAATGTACAAAACCTCCAAGAAATATGGGACTATGTAAAAAGACCAAATCTACAATTGATTGGAGTACCAGAAAGAGATGGGGAGAATGGAACCAAGTTGGAAAACACATTTCGGGATATTATCCAGGAGAACTTCCCCAACCTAGCAAGGCAGGCCAACATTCAAATTCAGGAAATACAGAGAATACCACTAAGATACTCCACAAGAAGATCAACCCAAGACACATAATCATCAGCTTCTCCAAGGTTGAAATGAAGGCAAAAATGTTAAGAGCAACCAGAGAGAAAGATCAGGTCACCTACAAAGGGAAGCCCATGAGACTAACAGCAGATCTCTCAGCAGAAACCCTACAAGCCAGAACAGAGTGGAGGCCAATATTCAATATTCTTAAAAAAAAGAATTTTCAACCCAGAATTTCATATCCAGGCAAACTAAGCTTCATAAGCAAAGGAAAAATAAAATCCTTTTCAGATAAGCAAATGCTGAGGGACTTTGTCACCATCAGGCTTGTCTTGCAAGAGCTCCTGAAGGAAGCACTAAATATGGAAAGGAAAAACGGGTACCAGCCACTGCAAAAACACACCAAAATATAAAGACCAATGACACCATGAAGAAACTGCATCAACTAGTGTGCAAAATAACCAGATAGCATCATGATGACAGGATAAATTTATACATAACGGTATTAACCTTAAATGTAAATGGGCTAAATGCCCCCAATTAAAAGACACAGACTGGCAAATTAGATGAAGATTCAAGACCCATGGGTGTGCTGTATTCAAGAGACCCAACTCACGTGCAAAAACATACACAAGCTTAAAATAAAGGGTTGGAGGAAAACTTACCAAGCAAATGGAGAGCAAAAAAAAAAAAAGCAGGGGTTGCAATCCTAGTCTCTGACAAAACAGACTTTAAACCAACAAAGACCAAAAAAGATAAAGAAGGGCATTACATAATGGTAAAGGGATCAGTGCAACAAGCTAACTATCCTAAATATATATGCACCCAATACAAGAGCACCCAGATTCATAAAACAAATTCTTAGAGACCTACAAAGACTCCCACAAAATAATAGTGAGGGACTTTAACACCCCACTGTCAATATTAGGCAGATCAACAAGACAGAAAATTAACAAGGATATCCAGGACTCGAACTCAGCTCTGGATCAAGTGGACCTAATAGACATCTACAAAACTTTCCATCCCAAATCAACAGAATATACATTCTTCTCAGTGCCACATGGCACTTATTCTAAGATCGACCACATAATTGAAAGTAAAACACTCCTCACTCAGCAAATGCAAAAAAACTGAAATCATAACAAATAGTCTTTCAGACCACAGTGCAATCAAATTAAACTCAGGATTCAGAAACTCAATACGACACAAGTACAAAGAAATTGAACAACCTGCTCCTGAATGACTCCTGGGTAAATAATGAAATTAAGGCAGAAATCAAGAAGTTCTTTGAAACAAATGAGAGCAAAGAGACACAGCTCTGAGACACAGCTAAAGCAGTGTTAAGAGGGAAATTTATAGCACTAAATGCCCACATCAGAAAGCTAGAAATATCTCAAATCGACACCCTAACATCACAATTAAAAGAACTAGAGAAGCAAGAGCAAACAAATCCAAAAGCTAGCAGAAGACAAGAAATAGCTAAGATCAGAGTGGAAGTGAAGGAGATAGAGACACGAAAAGCCCTTCAAAAAATCCATGAATCCAGGAGCTGGTTTTTTGAAAAAATTAATGAAATAGATAGACTATTAGCTAGACTAATAAAGAAAAAAAGAGAGAAGAATCAAATAGACACAATAAAAAATGATAAAGGGGATATCACCACTGACTCCACAAAAATACAAACTACTATTAGAGAATACTGTAAACACCTCTATGCAAACAAACTAGAAGAAAAGGATAAATTCCTGGACACATGCACCCTCCAAAGACCAAACCAGGAAGAAGTAGAATACCTGAATAGATCAATAACTATTTCTTAAATTGAGGCAGTAATTAATAGCCTACCAAAAAAAAAAAGAAAAAAGCCCAGGACCAGATGGATTCACAGCCTAATTCTGCCAGAGGTACAAAGAGGAGCTGGTACCATTCCTTCTGAAACTATTACAAACAATTGAAAAGGAGGGACTCCTCCCTAAATCATTTTACAAGGCCAGCCTCATCCTGACACCAAAACCTCACAGAGACACAACAAAAAAAGAAAACTTCAGGCCAATATCTCTGATGAACATTGATGCAAAAATCCTCAATAAAATACTAACAAACCAAACCCAGCAGCACATCAAAAAGCTTATCCACCATGATCAAGTCGGTCTTATCCCTGGGATGCAAGGCTGGTTCAACATATGCAAATCAATAAACATAATTCATCTCATAAACAGAACCAATGACAAAAACCACAAGATTATCTCAATAGTTGCAGAAAAGGCCTTTGATAAAATTCAACATTCCTTCATGTTAAAAACTTTCAATAAACTAGGTATTGGTGGAATATATCTCAAAATAATAAGAGCTGTTTATGACAAACACACAGCTAATATCATACAGAATGGGCAAAAGCTGGAAGCATTCCCTCTGAAAACTGGCACAAGGCAAGGTTGCCCTTTCTCACCACTCCTATTCAACTTAGTATTGGACGTTCTGGCCATGGCAATCAGACAAAAGAAAGAAAGAAAGGGTATTCAAATAGGAAGAGAGGAAGTCAAATTGTCTCTGTTTGCAGACAACATGATTCTATATTTAGAAAACCCCATCATCTCAGCCTAAAAACTCCTTAAGCTGATAAACAACTTTAGCAAAGTCTCAGGATACAAAATCAATGTGCAAAAATGACAAGCTTTCCTATACACCAACAATAGACAAGCAGAGAGCCAAATCATGAATGAACTCCCATTCACAATTGCTACAAAGAGAATAAAATACCTAGGAATACAGCTAACAAGGGAAGTGAAGGACCTCTTCAAGGAGAACTACAAACCACTGCTCAAGAAAATAAGAGAGGACACAAACAAATGGAAAAACATTTCATCCTCATGAATAGGAAGAATCAATATCGTGAAAATGGCCATACTGCACAAAGTAATTTGTAGATTCAATGCTATTCCCATCAAACTACCATTGACATTCTTCACAGAATTAGAAAAAACAATTTTAAATTTCATATGGAACCAAAATAGAACCTGTATAGCCAAGACAATCCTAAGCAAAAAGAACAAAGCTCGAGGCATCACACTACCTGACTTCATACTATACTACAGGGCTACAGTAACCAAAACAGCATGATACTGGTACCAAAACAGACATATAGACCAATGGAACAGAACAGAGACCTCAGAAATAACAACATACATCTACAACCATCTGATCTTCAACAAACCTGACAAAAACAAGCAATGAGGAAAGGATTCCCTATTTAATAAATGGCACTGGGAAAACTGGCTAGCCATATGCAGAAAACTGAAACTGGACTCCTTCCTTATACCTTATGCAAAAATTAACTCAAGATGGATTAAAGACTTAAATGTAAAACCAAAAACCATAAAAACCCTAGAAGGAAACCCAGGCAATACCATTCAGGGCATAGGCATGGGCAAATACTTCATGATGAAAATGCCAAAAGCAATTGCAGCAAAAGCTAATTGACAAATGGGATCTAATTAAACTAAAGAGCTTCTGCATAACAAAAGAAACTGTCATCAGAGTGAACAGGAAACCTACAGAATGGGAGAAAATCTTTGCAATCTACCCATCTGACAGAGGTGTAATATCCAGAATTTACAAGTCCATTTTCATGCTGCTGATAAGGATGTACCCGAGACTGGGCAATTTACAAAAGAAAGAAGTTTAATTGGACTCACAGTTCCATGTGGCTGGGGAGGCCTCATAATTGTAGTGGAAGGCAAGGAGGTGCAAGGCACATCTTATGTGGATGGTGGCAGGCAAAGAGAACTTGTGCAGGAAAACTCCCCCTTATAGTAACCATCAGATCTCATGAAGCTTACCCACTATCATGAGAACAGCATGGGAAAGACGTGCCCCCATGATTCAATTACCTTCTACTGGGTTTCTCCCACAACTCATGGGAATTCAAGATGAGATTTGGGTGGGGACACAGATAAACTATATCAGAACTGAAACAAATTTACAAGAAAAAAAACAACCCCATCAAAGAGTGGGCAAAGATATGAACAGCCACTTCTCAAAAGAAGACATTTATGCAGCCAACAAAATATGAAAAAAAACTCAATATCACTGATTACTGGAGAAATGCAAATCAAAACCACAATGAGATACCATCTCACAGCAGTCAAAATGGCAATTATTAAAAAGTCAAGAAACAATGGTTGTGGTCAAGGCTGTGGAGAAATAGGAATGCTTTTAAACTATTGGTGGGAATATAAATTAGCTCAACCATTGTGGAAGACAGTGTGGCAATTCATCAAGGATCTAGAACCAGAAATACCATTTGACCCAGCAATTTCATTACTGCATATATTCCCAAAGGAGTATAAATCATTCTACTATAAAGATACATGCATATGTATGTTTATTGCAGCACTATTTACAACAGCAAAGACATGGAACCAACCCAAATGCCCATCAATGATAGAATGCATAAAGAAAATGTGGTACATATACACCATAGAATACTATGCAGCCATAAAAAGGAATGAGATCATGTCCTTTGCAGAGACATCGATGAAACTGGAAGCCATTATTCTCAGTAAACTAACACAGGAACAGAAAACCAAACACTGCATGTTCTCACTCATGAGTAATAGTTGGACAATGAGAACACATGGACACAAGGAGGGAAACAACACACACTGGGGCCTGTGGGGGTGGGGCGGGGGTTAGGGAGAGCACCAGGAAAACTAGCTAATGCATGTGGGGCGTAATACCTAGGTGAAGGGTGGATAGCTGCAGCAAACCACCATGGCACGCGTATACCTAAGTAAGAAAAGTACACGTTTGCACATGTATCCTGGAACTTAAGGTAAAATAAAATTAAAAAAAAAAAGTCCCACACAGAGATAATTTTACAAAAGTAAGGTGCTGATGGGGATGCTGGCACCCCCTGAAGTTTCGGTGCCCTCCTGGCATGCTGGGGCCCAATCCATGTGGGGCCCTCGAGAGCAGAGTCCCCACGAGGCCCCAGGACCCCCTGGCTGCTCAGCCAGTGGCAGGCCCAGGCGGGAATGAGGGGCCCATGTGGCTCCCCAGAGACACCATGTTTAGAACTCTCTCTTGACTTTTCTTTAGAATAGAATACTTTGACTCTCAGAAAGACTTCGTGTTGTAAACAATACCATTGGGTTTTGAGGATTTGCTCTAAGCCGTATCTACTATTAATAACATCAAACCGTAATCTGAGGAAAGAATTTCCAGAGTTTGTGTCTATTCAGGCAGTTTGCACACCATGGGGACCAACTCCTCAGGGCTAAATCTATTTTCTATTTTCTTACCCACATTTTTTTTTTCCAGACAGAGTCTGGCTGTGTCGCCCAGACTGGAGTGCAGTGGCAGGATCTCGGCTCACTGCAGCCTGGACCTCCTGGGCTCAAGTGATCTTCCTTCCTCAGCCTCCCAGGTAGCTGGGACTACTGGCATGCACAACCACACCTGGCTAATTTTCTTATCTAAAATTTTTTGTAGAAATGGGGGTCTTGCTATGTTGCCCAGGCTGACCTCGAACTCCTAGCCTCAAGTGATATTTTCTCACCTTTTATTTCAGAATGATCTTGAGCTGCATTCCCCTGAAGTGGACTCTGGTAATAAGATTCACCTGCATGTGACTCATCAGGGAAGGGTCCCCCTACAGGGAAAGCTATAAGAAGGCATGGGAAGCAGAAGAGGGAAGGAGAAGGAATCAAGCCAGAGGGCAACCTCAGACAAGTCCCCACCCACCTGGTCCCCAGGAGCTCTGGAGCTGGCTTACACCTCAGACTTTGTCTCCATACAGGCAAGAGAGCTAAGTATGCATTCTCTGCTCCAGTGATTCATAAGCCACCGTTGTCCTGGGAGGAGGCGAATTCCCAGACACTCCCAGCTCTCTGCGCAGGAGGCTGAAGAGAGTCGAGTAGTTTTCTAGCCTTTTTCTGAAAGTTTCAGGAGCTGTAGAAACCAAAGAACAAAGAAGCTGAGATAGGGGTGTACTGAAACTGAGGTTCCCGGATTTGGCAAGTGCACATGCAGGACAAATATTGCAAGGACCATGCTTGCACTAAAAATGGGCTTGCCGTTGATCTGACATTCACACATAACTGTCTCCTGTCTCGCATCTGGCAATTCCAGCCAGCAGAATCGGGGCAGGGAGAGTGGGGGCGGTGCCCAGCATCTGATGAGCTCAATGCCACCCCGAGGGTCTAGAGATGGTGCCGTGAGAGAGAGCTTGCTGGTCCACAGTATTCACAAAATGTGATCTTCATGCAAAAATGTGTAAGGAAGACGAGCTGAACTTTTCTTAATGCAGCCTACTTTTTTATGCACAATGCGGTAGAAAATTTCCCACTAGATTCCAGATTTGAATAGGGAGAGGCAAGTCTAATCCACTGTCCATGTTAAACTTTTCTTGGGTCCTTGGGACTGCTATGTTTCATTCTGCTTCAGGCTAGAAATCCTGAATTCCTTCCAAAATTGCTCCAATACTTTGCTTCTAGAAGGTTCCAAGCAACATCCTAGGCGTGAGACTTTCACGGGAGTTCCTTGGGCACGGACCTTGTCTATCTTGGTCACAGGTGTTTCCTGTCCTAGCGTCGTGAGGGGTGCTCGGTGAGTATTTTCTGCAGGCTGAAAGTGGAGCTCCCCTTTGCTGTCTGCCCTCTCAGATGTCATCATCCTGACATAAAATTTGCATTGAATTACATTGAAATAAATAATGAAAGAAAGGGTATCGGGACTTCTTATTGAATTGAGTGGAGTTTTGTTAGGAAAGTGTTTCCCCAGCTTCCTGTCTTTGTCCCTGATACCTGTTTCTTTCGGAGGCTCTTGCTCATAAGCACAGATTATTTTTCTGCAGATGCACCAAAAGGTCCCCTGGATCTTTCAGGTAGATATGAACTTGCCCAGTGCTAAGCAGCACCCTGTCCAAACCTAACATTTAGGGACATTGTATCAGAATTAAATAGGCAAGCAGCTCTTCATTCCAATTGTTTTGCCACAAGACACCAAACCCATTCAACGGACATCAAGGTGACTATGGAGCCCCCACATGAAAAGGGGAAAATGTCATCAAACCGACTGGCCATTTAAATTTAATTTTTCATTTTGAAATGATAATAAGATGTTGCAGAAATAGCACAGAGAGGCCCTATGTATCCTTTATCCAATTTTTCCAATGATTGTCTTTTATCTACAAGTAGTATAATGTCAAACTGGGGACGGGGCACCTTATGACTGCTGGGTGGGGCAGGAGACTCAGGCTCCCCCCTAGAGAGCTGATGCTGGGGTCAGCTGCAGCTGCCTAGGCAAAAACTAAGCTTTGTGCCTAAAAAAACTGCAGTTTAGCAGGGGTAAGCTGCAGCTTTTCTATGGGGTTTAGCTGGAGTTTTTGCCTAAAATTTATCACCCTGTCTTGCTAGGCTGTCCCTTTCCTGGCCCTTTAACTAGAGGGGGCTGGCTTTTCTTGGGACTTTTCTTGTCTGTGTTTATTGGTGTTTGGGGTTACTAGCTACTCCAGAAGACAGTCCAGGACATACAAGTCAAAAAGAAAGCCAAATGAACTGAACCCTGGGACATTCCTCAGTCTCCAGGTCCCTAGTAGCTCTGCTCTTTCCTGTACACCTTGCAGTCTTATATTTGGTGTATACATAATGTCCAGAGATGGGATTTTAGCTTTACTTAGCTTTACTTAGTGGAACACATAGGGAAAGTTGTGTTTGCTCCTTCCTATCCCCAAAAATGGAAGCCTCACAGACTGCTTTTTCTGTACTTGGCTGTTTAATTTCTCCAAGGAGGTAAGTCTTTTCTTTCTTTATTACATGCGTTCTATCCAATTAGTGTAATACAGAGTGAAGCTGTTAAAAAAAAAAAAGAAAACCCACATTTGTAAAATAACAAGGCATTAGCTATTGTAGCAGATAATAACCTTGTTATTTTAAATAAAGAAAAAAAAAACCAGTGATGAGGTCATCCCTGGCCAAATGGAGTTCGCAGCATACATCTTTACATGCCACCCCGTCCTCCAGCCCCCTGGCATTTGTATTTAATCTGAATATCATAAGTGTTAAGGATTTTCCTCTCAATGGAACTGGGAGCATAAGCATAAGAAGCCCTAATGAACTGACAAGGTTTCAGCCAGGCTTGCTTCTGTTGTCATGGTGACAGCAGAAGGAAGGTGGAGCTTTATGAATGCCTTGAATCTTTTATAAAACCAGTCCACTGGGCTAACTTATTTTCCTCCTGCCCCCGACCACCTTGATTCACTCCACAGACACCCACAGTACGTAAGACCAGGACTACTGTCCCACATGAACCTATTTGAGTAATAGTTTCTACCAAGTAGTGGTAGTACCTATATATTCCTTTTAAATAAAAAGATCCTTTCCATCTATAGAGCAATTAAAAAAATTCTCCAATCTAACAATTGATTCAGATGAGCATCAGTGAATGCTAAAACCCTTAGAGGAATGGCAATTGGGAAATAAGATATTTGCAAGGTGCCAAAGAGTCCCTGCAGAGATGACTTGCTGATTGCAAAAGGATGGTGCATCTTCGTGATGGAGAATCTGTCAGTTTCCACCTGGGACAGCCAGATGTTATGCGCTTCCAGATGAGATGAGATATGAAGTGCACAGCACTGCCTAGGAAGAATTCTTGCCAAAAATGTTTACCCTGAATCTAAAAAGTCACCTAGACTCAACTTTAATTCACAGAAAATAATATAAATAGAGAGAAACATTAAATACCCAATAAGGAAAAAATCCTATAATTCCAGAGTGTTGAACACTAGACACAACAATCAGACCTGACTTCAAAAAATAAAGATGATGGAGAAGAAAAGCATGGACTATTTTAGACTAAAAGAGACTAGAGTCCCATACAAATCTAATGCAATGAGCTAACTTTGAGTAAATCCTGGCTGGGGTAAAAACACTCTAAAGGACATTTGGAAAATCATGAGTAAAATTAAATATAGTCTGAAAATTAGATAAAATTCAAGACATTAATTTTCTTAAGTGTCATAACGGCATTATAGTTAGGTAGGAGAATATCGTTAATTCTTCAGAAATGTATTCTGACATATTTAGAGTTGAAGAGATATCATATCTCTTCAAATGGTTTGCATTAAAATCATTCGAATGGCTTACATAGAAAATATGGCAAAATATTAACAATTATTAAATCCACTTAGAGCAGGGGCTCAGCAAACCATGGCTCATGGACCAATTCTGGCCAACTCCCTACTGTCTATGAGCTAAGGATGGATTTTACTGTTTTCAATGTTGAAAAAACTGGAAAGAAGAATAATGTTTTATGGCATGTGAAAATTCTATGTAATTCCAATTTCATTGTTCATAAAGACCTATTAGAACACAGTCATCATGGCTCACTTAGGGACAGTTAGGGCTGCATTTGTACTACAGTGTCAGAGCTGGGTAGTTGAAATAGAGACTACGACTTGCAAAGCCTGAAGTTTATGAGACTGACAGCCACAAGTGTTAGGAGGTGCAACAACTGAATGTTCATGCACTACTGCTGAGAGTGCATCTTGTACAATCACTCTGAAAAAGCTTTATTTGTTCGGCTTTGGTTGGAAATGTGTAGGACCAATCGGACCCAGCAATGCTAGTCCACATGCCCAACAGGAATGTGCCTGTGTGCAGGAACAGTCGAGGCTACAGAAACATTTATAGCAGCATTTTCATGATAGCCCCAAACCATATGCATTATACAGCATGAAAATGAATGAAATGTAGTGGCATGCAATGTGGATGGATATCACGAGCATAATATTACTGATCAAAAAAAGCAAGACAAAAAACAACACAGACTGTCTAATTCCCTTTTTATAAAAAGTTCAAAAGCAGGAAAAACTTAAGTCTACTGTTAGAACTCAGCATAGAAGTCACCTTTAGGGAGATGTGAAGGGCTAACACCATCACAGGGCACAGGGAAGGATTCTGGTGTGCCACCAATACTCTGTTTCCTAACTTCAGTGGGTTATTTTGTAATGATTTTTTGGACCACTCATTTAAGTTTTCACACTTTTTTGTAAGTGTACTTCATTTCACCATTTAAAAAGTTAAAACTGGGCTGGGCACAGTGGCTCACACCTGTAATCACAGCACTTTGGGATGCCGAGGCAGGAGAATGGCTTGAGACCAGGAGTTCAAGACCAGTATGGGCAGCAAAGAGAAACCATGTCTCTACAGAAAGTAAAAATAAAATAATTAGCTGGGTATGGTGGCATGCACCTGTAGTCCTAGGAACTTGAGAGTTTGCGGCAGGAGGCTCACTTGAACCCAGAAGTCTGAGGCTGCAGTGAGCTGTGATCTCATCACTGCACTTCAGCCTGGGCAACAAACTGAGAGCCTGTCTCAGAATAAAATGAAACAATAAAGTAAAGAAGGGAAGAAGACTAACATGTGATTCAGCATCTATTACATACTCTAATGTTGTTAGGCACATTCCACGTCCCTCCTTCAGCCCTTTCAGCATTATTATCCATAATTTTGCAAATGATGAAACCAGCTTTCAGAGAGGGTAAGTGCATTATGTACCACCTATAAAAAGTAAAGGGAGAGCTAAATGTGATTTCTTTTTCAGTGCATACTGCCTCAGCTCAGTAATCCATTTAACTGTGTTCTCACCTGAGCTTTGCTATTTTTAAGGATGGCAATTTAAATAATGAATATGCATTATAATATTTTGTAGGTCATATTGATACAGACTTAAACATACACTATGTATATATTCATGTTTATGCACATTCACATATTTGAATGTGAAAAACAAGGTCCAGTTATTTGAAAAGGCCACTTAATTTTAAACAGTTGAATGGTGGTATGAGATGACCAACGTTCAAATTATTTTTCCCTTTTTTATTTAGTGGTAAGTTCATGGGAAAATCAAGAGATGTGGATTATTATTTCTCTGCTCATGGTTTATCGGATAAATTTTAGAAAATCCTTTAGACTCCCTGTACTTTAATGTCTTCATTCCAAAAAGAGAAATTATACAACCCCTCCTCCCTCATAACACTGCTGTGAGAACATTGGAGCAGGAGCATAATAAGACTTTATTGAAAGCACCACCCTGTAGAAATGCAAAGAACCACCAGAAGCTGAGGTATGGCATTTTGCAAGGATCCACATTGCTCCCATGTGCTACACAGGAGCAATCATGAACAAGCAGAAATTTGTAACTATTTGAAAGATAAATGAATCTGAAAGGGGAAATAGAAATGAAATTGTCTTTCTCTAGTCAATCTTCCAAATGAGAAAATGTGTTTCTGTGTCTTCATCTAAAAGCAAGTAAATCAGTAGTTTGATATGTCATGTGATTCTTGAAGAGAAGGGAGTTAATAGTCTAAAACTACGTTTCTTTCTGTGTTCAAGTTGCTAAGTGGAATTGATGTAAAGAATGTTGCTGCTGAAACCAGTGGATACTTTGAACAAGTGTCTATGACGTTTAAATTATGTCCCAAGCATCTTACAGGCACTTCTGGATAGTACAGTTCACTTAATTCTAACAACAGGAACGAGGGTACTGTGGGCTTCATTTCAGAGAAGAGGAAACTGGGATTTGGAGCTGAAGTAACTTGACCAAGAGCAGATGGCAGGTGAATGATACACTCAGCACTTGAACTCAGATTTTCTGATTCCGATTTCAGGATTATAGTCATAAAAAACTTTAAAAAATCATTTATCACGTAGAAAAATAGATCCAGTGCTTTGCTTCTTGGCCTTTTGGCTAAGATCAAGTGTAGATCCAGAGAAGGCAACCCACTGTTACAAGGACATTCTGGTGAATGCATTAATACTAATTAACTCAGAAACCTTCCCTCAGTTCAAAGTTCTGTGCTAGACAATCATGGAGTGCAGAGAAAGAAAGAAAGAGAGAGAGAAAGAAAGAAAGAAAAAAAAAGAGAAAGAAAGAAGAAAGAAAGAGAGAAAGAAAGAGAGGGAGGGAGGGAGGGGGAGGGGAGGGGAGGGGAGGGGGAAGGGAGAGGGAGAGGGGAAGGAAGGAAGGAAGGAACGATGGAAGGAAGGAGGGGAGGGAGGGAGGGAAGGAAGGAAGGAGAGAGAGAAAGAAAGAGAGAGAAGGAAAGAAAGAAAGAAAGAGAGAAAGAAAGAAAAAGAAAGAAAGAAAGAAAGAAAGAAAGAAAGAAAGAAAGAAAGAAAGAGTGGGTTTAAATGCTGGACCTGGTTAAATAATCTGATGATGGAAGATAACATGAGATTTAGAGAAATCAGTAAAATTAATTATGATCCAAAGTATCAGAAATATTTATTAAATCACCAAACCTCTTAGACTGGATTCCTGTTGCATTAAAGGCTGAGACTCCAGCCTGTGACTGACCTTCTAGGGTGTCCTACACAGATCTAACTCAATGGACTCACATCCTTCCCATGTCCAGGCCAAGTTTCCACTTGAAAATTATTCTGTGAGTTAAGATCTTACTCAGCATCAAAGACATCCCTAAAAATAGCTTCACACATTTATTATAGACTTCCTTTTCAACAAAATGTTAAAAACTCTTTCTAAGAGAACCTCTAAAATTCACTTAACATTTGTTAACATTTTTATGATTAATATTTAAAAAGCACAGATGGAATTAAGGAATATAATAAATAATACTTAGGAGAAATAAATCATGCTATTTCTTTCTGTACAATAAACTAGTTTTCCCTCTAGTAACACTGGATTTTCTCAGTAGCTTTACATTTTCTTCACTATCTTCATTCAATATTAGCAACCAAGAGTGGATGCACATTTAATTCTTCAAATACACTGGAGGTTACAGCTCCATGGTAGGCCAAACTAATTCTGTTTTTACATTGACTTTTGTTAAGTGCCATGAGATAAACATGATTCGCAGAAAATATAGAAGCTTGAGTTGTAACAACAGATATTGCAGGGCTTCATGTGTGGTCTGGACCTTACCAACAGCATTCATGAAACAATAAATAAATTCCAATTAAAATATAAGATGTGTCTGATAAATTATGAGGCTATAACCTTAATGGCCCTGTTGTTTTGTAACCATATAATCCAGCTAATTGGTAGCTCAGGGACCAGCCACAAGCCCAATTACCTAGTGAGATAAATTCATGCTTGTATTAAAGCTGAGGAGATCCCTAAGAGACTTGGGAAAGACCTGCCCTTTAGGGAGGAGAACAAATAACTTCTTTGTAGATATCTGGAAGGGAATCTCACAGGCTTTCGCTGGTTGACCTTGTGGGAATTCACTAGCATTTGTATACACAAAGGTAACTGCTCCTCTAGAATATGTTGAAAAACACCAGCTTTCCAGCAAAATCTCCAGTGATACTTCTCTGGCCAAATCAGCTCCAGCCACACTTTCTTTCTCACTGCAGGGCCAAGTTTAACTTGCTTTTCTCTTCTCTGCACCTGCCACCTCCCACTCCATTCCTGAGGATGGTCCCTTCTTCAAAGACTGAAGCCAAAGTGGATACGATCTTCCCAATCCTGCTTTTCTTCTCTTCTAAAAATAAGCATATTTTTATTTAACTTAAACTATGCAATGCTAATCTCTAAAGTGAATCAAAGAGAGGAAAATAAAATGACAAAATAAACTCATAAAAGTTAGACAAGATTCCCAAACCTACAGATTTCTTGCAGCCTTCATCTCCAAACTACAGTCCTGACTCCCTTCCTAGATGATACCTTAGTCCATTGGTGTTGCTATAAAGGAATACCTGAGCCTATGTAATTTATAAAGAAAAGAGGTTTATTTGGCTCACAGTTCTTCAGGCTGTATAAGAAGCAAGGCAACAGCCTGTGCCCCTGGTGATGGCCTCAGACTGCTTCCCTCCTGAAGAAAGGCAAAAAGGAGCTGATGTGTGCAGACATCACATGGTCAGGGAGGAGGCAAGAGAGAGGCGGGTGGTGCCAGGCTCTTTGTAAAACCCAGTTCTCACAGGAACAAATAGAGCAATAATTCACTCATTACTGTGAGGAGGGCACCAAGTCATTCATGAAGGATCCATCCCCTTCATTCATGAAGGATCCATGACCCAAACACCTCTCCTTCAGTCCCACCTCTAACATTGAGAATCAAATTTCAATATGAAGTCTGGGGACACAAACATCCACACTATAGCAGGTATTAACCAGATCTCCTTTCTCCTCAGATCCTTGTCCCCCATCCCACCTTTTTCTCCACTTCCTCTTCCTGCCACTTTCCAGCAATGGGTTGGAAGTCTAGATTGAAGATCACTCTTTTTTTTTTTTCATCTCCATCTAGGTTGGCTCAGTGGGGTGATTCTGTATATCAATATAAACCTCATATATCTATCAGAATCCACTTCAAAGGGCTCAATTGCTCTCCAAATGCAAAACTTTAAAAGACGGCAACATTTCCATCCACAATTCAGATGCAAGGCTAGGTCCAGTGGTTTCAATGGGAAGGGAACCTATGTGATATGATTTGAGAATGATTCTCATAGAGGCTGTCCTCCAAAATGTATGTCACTTTTATTTCTTGGTTCTTAAAGGCACCCCTGAGCATGAAATATAAATTTCCCCCTGAGGATTTATGCCTTATGTTTCTAGAGGGACATAGAGAAGACAGATAACTGTAAGTATTTAAGACAGTTTGCCCCTCTTCCCAAAATATTTTCTCCCTAACTCCTAACTTTTACATGAGTATGTCGTTCTACCAGCAGTTCTGATTCAGTTGTCCAGAAGATGTTGGCACTGAAGCCCTTTGATTAGTCTCACACAGTAGTTAATTAAGGGTATGGTCAAAAAGTGTCAAGCCAACCTCAGTTATGCCTTCCTCCCAACAGTCCAAGAATTTAGTCAATTTTAAGTAAGTCCCAGAGATACAGTGTTTTTCAGATAGCCAAGATGTAGTCTAAGGTCAGACTACTATCCGTGACAACCCACTCAAAGGTATTTAGATTTACTTTCTGATCTTTGGTGTCATTGTCAATAACTAGAGGGGCAACAGATGGGCCACAAAGCATGCCCATTTCTAATGGAGCAACATTCCGTGGCCCACGTACAAACACAGAAGCCAAAGAGACACAGGTCCCTCCAGTTTGGGATTCATTGTTTCACAGTGGTTTGGTAAAGTTGCATGGACCATGTCACTGAGTTGTTGCAGCCTCAGTCACTGCCCGTGGCACATCCCAAGGCCTCTTGGATATGTGGAGAAGCACACGCACATGGATGGCCTTTGGGTCTGTGCATGTTCACAGCTGAGAGCTGAGGTTGATGGCACCAGGCACAGCAGGATCAGGACAAGAAGGTGTGTTCACGTGAGCTTATTGTCTTCATAGCTCACAGACAGGGTACAAACCCAGGAGCAGGTCGGATTGTCAGCTGCAGCCACTGTTTGACTTAGCCATTGTTGCTGGATCTGGGGAACAAAGAGAGTGTTAACTGCCACCAACACCCATGGTCTAAGGTGTTTCCTCCTTAGTTTCCAGGGTCCTTTCTCCTCTTATACCACCTAAATCAGCAGGTCCCATCCAGTTCCTATAGTTTATCTTTTCTCCAGTCATCCGCTCCTTCACCAGTCCCTTTTTCTGGAAGCATCAAGGCAGAATTCCCACATTTCAAAATAGCTCAGTATGATTTTACATATTCCTACTCAAAGCAATGAGAGAAAATGGTCCCTTTCTAGGGACAGCTGTATTCAGTGACCAAACTGGTGTACGGACCTAGAGGAAGTGAGAGAGGTAGAGTCAGAAACCTTTCTGAATAAATTTTCTAGAAGGCATTCAGGTGCTTATCTCTACCAGACATGGAGGAATTTTTGGGGAACATGGAATGTCCATTAAGTACATTGGTCCACTGATAGGTGGCCTTTCTGACAAAAGTGACCTTTATGAAAAATAGGTGTCCTTTGTGACTGAACAAGGTCCAGAAAGCTGATAGCACCACACAACTGAGGATCAAGAGCCCCTGTGGCATGGCTGCAGTTGGTGAGAGCAACACTATTAGCCAGACTTTCTAGACCTCAGCACTACTACCACTTGGGATCCAACAGTTCTCTGTTGGAGGAGCTGCCTGTCCATCGTAGGGTGTTTATCAGCATCCCTGGCCTCCACACTCTGGATGCAATTGCATCTCTTCTGAAATCGTGACAACCAAAATGGCTCCAGATGGTGCCAAATGTCCCCAGGGGAACAAAATAGCCCCCGGTGGAGCATGTTGTCTGCATCAGCAGTGTCCCCAGCACTGAGGACACAAATCTGAAAGCTGCAGGAAGATGTGTACTGACAAATAGGTCTTCTGAGCACACTCTGATAAAGCTAAATGCAGAGCACCAAGGAGGGCAAGGGGCACCACAAGGGCCAGACGTGGGAGGGAGTAGAGGGCCGGGGTGGGCTCAGCTAGCTTAAAAAGGAGGAGATAGTTTTGTGCAAAGCCACAGATGTCACCTGTCCTTTCAGGAAACTGTCAGAAAAGACATCAAGGCAAAGGGAAAAGATCATGGCCTTAGGGTCTAATCCTTGGGTTTGCATGTTGCTTCCACAACATTAGGACAACTGTACAATGTTGGACAAGTGATTTGGCTCTTCTGAGTTTCAGTGTCCTTATCTGAAATGCCCAGGTAATAACAGTAGCTCCTGGGACCTGTGTCAGGGCTGTTCTATGTTGGGATATGGTGAGTTGGTAACTGGCAGCAATACTTGGTAATTCAGGCCTGCTGGAACAATGCGTGAGAAAAGTGTAGAAAAAGATGAAGCAGTAAGGGAGAGAACAAGAGCCTTTTTATGGTTTTTATTTTGCTGTGATGGCTGGGCCATGGGAGAAGTTCATGCATAGAAGATGTGGAACCATCTGTATTTTAGTAAGATTTGTCTGACAGCAGTGTGAGGAACCATTGCAGGAGGCAGGACCAGAGTTGGAGACTCAAGTCAGAAAACCCCTGCCACAGTGTTGGCTTGGAAGTGATAAGAGTCTGAGCAGAAGCAGTGGATGATGGGAGGGAAAGGGAAGGAGTGGTTCTTTGAAGGAAAAAATGGTCCGAATTTGGAGAAACACTTGATATAGAATATTAGGGCAAGGAAAAGGAGGAGAGGGAGGCAGGGAAACAGAGGAAGAGAAGGGAAGAAAAACAGGAAAGTGAGAAAAACCCTGAGAGGTATCCATTAGCTTTAGAATTAAGGGATCAGTTAGTGAACTTGGAAAAATCAATTTCATGAGACTGAGAAGCAAGCATGACTTCTCCCAAACAGCATGTGTATGAACAACTATATTCACTGCCTCCACCTATCCCTGAGAATGTAAGGTATTCAAGTAAATGCACGCCCTCCACATCCCCATAAATGTGCCCCGTATACCCATAGGTCTCACCCTCCATTTTTACTGAATAAATAGTAAAAAATGTAAAGTAAATGTACAATTTTTAATGTCCATAATACTTATTTGCCCATACATATCAATTGAATCAGCACTCATTCATTGAACTGTTTCATTATTTGCTTTCTCACTAAGTTACGCTCATGGTAAAGATGAGATTTTTTCAACTGGGATTTTTTAAAAAATAATTTATCAGTCATTCTAACTAGAACAATGTAACACAAATGATAACACAGAGGTTAAAACGTCATTGAAAAATATTTTCAGACTAGCAGTTTGGTTGTGCTTAATATCTTTGAGGCAAGAAAAAACAGGGGCATTAAAAGATATTTGCTGTTATCATGTGTTAAAAATGGAATTAAACCAGAATTATGATGGAAACAAAAAACTCCACAGCTGCTTTTCTATCAGTTGTATGGAGAAAAATCAAGTATTAGCTTAACAACTTCTTTCGATATCCAAAGCAATAAAATTACTATATTTAAACAAATTTAAATAATGTTTAAAAATTACTTTTAAATCCCTTTCATAGGATTTGAAATGATAGCTATACAAAATGTATTTAATCGTCATATTCAGAAATAATTTATTTCTTTTAGATTCTTGTTGTAATGTTATTAAAAATATGCATGCTGGCAGTTTATATATTTACTATTGAATGTCATTTTCTTGCTATATTTAAGGGATAAATAATTATTACTTGCATAGTGAAGGGAAGTATAAATCATTATCTTAAAAGGAATAAATGACAAACATTAAAGTACTATCTGGGAAGAAAGTAACATTTTTTTAAGTCTAATAAAAATTATTATTTGTGGCCAGGAATGGTGGCTTATGCCTGTAATCCCACCACTTTTGGGAGGCCGAGGCGGGCAGATCACCCGAGGTCAGGAGTTTGAGAGCAGCCTGGCCAACATGGAGAAACCCAGTCTCTACTAAAAATACAAAAAAATTAGCTGGGCGTGGTGGCATGTGCCTGTAATCCCAGCTACTCGGGAGGCTGAAGCAGGAGGAGAATAGCTTGAACCCAGGAGGCGGAGGTTGCAGTGGGCTTAGGTCACGCCACTGCACTCCAGCCTGGGCAACAGAGTGAGACTCCATCTCAACAACAACAAAAAAATTATTATTTGCTAAGAATGTATGTGCTATTGACTAATTCTATGTGGTTATCAGTAAGTGTATTTTGATCTGCAGATGTAAGGCAGTGACATATTTATTTTATGTCATTTGATGTGTCAGTTTATTTCTAAAGAGAATTAAGGACTCTAGAATGAGTATTTTACTCACTATTCTAAAAGGCAGATACTAGACCCTAAGTCAAGCCTGTGTAGTAGGGCTGATAGCCTTTGGGAGGTTGCTGTGGGCTGGGTGTGTGCTGATGCTCTTCCCTAGATCACAGCTCCCGCCTTTCAGCTCTCACAGCCCATCCAGCCCACTCCTTTCCTGGATGTGTATATATACGAGAAATGCACGCACACCCCTATGGCATACACAGATAGCTCATTGCCAGAGCCTCAGGGGTCTTTTGTTGGCCTCTCCATAATTATGATCCTCTCCCTCCCTCTACAAGTCACTATTACTGATTTTGTGATAAATACTTCTCCATGCTTTTATTTATTTTTATTTTTTATTATTTTTATTTTTATTTATTTATTTATTTTGAGACGGAGTCTTGCTCTGTCTCCCAGGCTGGAGTGCGGTGGCACGATCTCGGCTCACTGCAACCTCCGCCTCCTGGGTTCAAGCGCTTCTCTTGCCTCAGCCTCCTGAGTAACTGGTATTACAGGCATGTGCCACCATGCCCAGTTAATTTTATTTGTATTTTTAGTAGAGACAGGGTTTCTCCATGTTGGTCAGACTGGTCTCAAACTCCCGACCTCAGGTGATCCCCCCACCTTGGCCTCCCAAAGCATGCTTTTATTTATAATTTAACCAGCTATGTATGTGTGAAAGGAAAATAAATCTCGGGGCTCCCAAATCACTAGGCTAAAGAGAAAAATTAACCCGGGAACTGCTTAGGGCCAACCTGCCTCCCATACTATTCACAGTCATTACTTTCCTCACTGAGATAAATGAATATCTGATTGGCTCCTTTGGAGAGGCTAACCAGAAACTCACAAGAATGCAACCGTTTTTTCTCTTATTTACCTATGACCTGGAAGCCCCGCCCCGCCACAAGCCTTCCCGCCTTTGCTTCACATTGTCCCGGCTTTTCCGACTGAACCAATGCTCATCTTACATATGTTGATTGATGTCTCATGTTTCCCTAAACTGTATAAAATCAAACTGTGCTCTGACCACCTCGGGCACATGTCGTCAGGACCTCATGAGGTTATGTCACCGGTGTGTCCCCTACCTTGGCAAAATAAACTTTCTGAATTAACTGAGACCTGTCTCAGGTTTTCGGGGTTCACATATATATCCTCACACACATCATCCCATCATTCTGCCTGTTTGGGAACTACATATGATCTGCAGGGATGGAATTGCTTGCTATTTTTTGCCTTGTTTCCCTCCCTAAATATGGAAATTCAACCTTGTTATTCTGTTTAGAATGAAAGAATTTTATTTATGTCCATTGATGTGTAATATTGGATCCCATGAATATGCCACAATTTATTTATGTGTTTTTACTTGCAGTAAATACTTGGGTTCTGGATTGGGGTTATGTCAAACATGCCACCGAAGATTCTTGCACACGTTATGCTGGTGTACATATATGGAAGTGTCTGTGAGTACACACGTCACGGAGGAACTGCTGTGCCATAGGGGATACACACCCTCAACCTTGGCAGATGATGCTGAGCTGCCTTCCAGAGCAGCAGTGCTGGTTTGCACTCTCAGAAGCTTTGTAGAGAGTTCCAACTGCTCCACTTTCTCACCCACGCTTGGTATTTCCAGACTTAAGTTTTTGCCAATGAGCTTGTATATGTAATGGTGCCCTACTGTGGTTTTAATTTGCATTTCTTTTCTTGCTGCAAATATCAGAGCCCCCTTTCTTCTGTTTATTGGCCCTTTGAGTTTCTTCATTTGTGGAGTATATCTCCGAAGTCTTTGGCCCATTTGTTTCCAAGGAGTCTTTTTCTTATTGATGTGTAGATGTTCTCTAGATGTTTCAAATGTCAGTCCTTTGTTGCAAAGTCTCAGTCTCTCTCTCTCTTTATGCCTTGCCTTTTCACTCTCTTAAAGGTGTTTTTTTAATTAACAAAAATTCTTAATTTTAATGTAGTCAAATTTATTTTGTTTAATGCCTTTGGTGTTTTATTAAGATGGGTCTCCACATAATGAAGGTGGAAAAATAGGTTCTCCTGTATTGTCTTCTAAAAGATTTATAGCTTAGTTTTTCACATTCAGTTGTACAATTTTTTCTTAAAATGATTTTCTTTTATAGTGTTATGTCTCTTATTGAAGATAGTTCATATTTTTTCTGTATGGATACTATATGCCCAGACACCCATGGCTTTGGGGGCCATTTCTGTCATATATCAAGTGTCAATGTATTCATGGGTCAGTTTCTGGATTCTCCAACCTGCGCCCCTCGTCTATTTGTCTATCCCCAGACTTAAGGCAAGGTATCACATTTATTATTGTTTTATAATCACCGCTGATATCAGGTGGTCCTCCCTCCCTATTTTTCTTTGGCAATTGTAGGACCTTTGCATTTTGACATGAATTTTTAAAACAAATTTTCAGGTTCTTTGCAACACCTGCTGAGATTCTGAGATGTGAATTGGCATCTTCCATATGGAGTCTTCCAGTCCATGAGCATAGTGTATGTCTCCATGTAATGAGATCTTCGCTAATGTATCTAAACAAAGTTGTTGCTGTTGCTGTTTTCTCTATAAGTCTTGCATATCTTTCGTTAGATTTGTTGCTAGGTACTTGATATTTGGGATGCTATGTTAAGCAGTAAAAATGTAAATTTTGCTTGCTAATAGTGTTTTTCTGATAGATGGGCTTACAATTGATTTTTTACATTGACTTAGTATTTAGCAGGCTTGTTAAACTCTCATTAATTCTGATTTATCATCAACAGATTATGCCTCTTCCCATGCCTTGTGTAATTTAATACGGCTGTGACTAGACAGTGGAGGAAAACATTCTTAAAGCTTCTGATCAAAGTGCATGGCACCCAGTGAGAGAGACAAGCATCCATCATTGTTTTATTAAGACTATGCTCTCAGTGACCCTGTGCCAGGCACGCTCTTAGAAGTAGCCCACTGTGAGCGGTGAAAGGATCTCAGGGAGCAGGACCACAGGAAGGGATGATTCATGAGACTTTTGCAAAACCTAGGCAAGAAAAGGGATATGTGAGGAATGTAGATTTCTTGATATTCCATGCCCTTTCAGGACCACAATCTCCCTACCCTCTGAAATGTTCTTCCCCCTTTCCTATTTTTTCTTACAAAACTAACTTAAATGTCTCTTTCACAGCAAAACTAGCTCTACACCTTCAGAGTAAGTTGCTCTGTCCTTCTTTATTAACTTTATTCTGATCCCCTGTGGATTCCAATGCATTCTAATCCCCTACCACCCACCACGGGACAGCATGGTGTTTCTGTCTATCACCCTCCCACCCTCTAGACTCTTAGATTTTAGGATAGTAATCCCTATACTGATACCGTGCTAGACACGAAATAAGCTCACATAAATCTTGACACGCTGAATACCAAACATATTACATGCAATGATTTCATTTTTACTGTATCTCACTGACATTAAACACTGTGGAGGGTTTTTTGTGGGAGATAAGGGGTTAGAAGTCTTTATTTTTATATAGGTTACATGAACCCCATGACTATTCAAGACTTACAGGTAGGTGGGTTCTCTCTTTCTCTCTTTCTCTCTCTCTCTGTGTGTCTCTTTCCTGAGGAAACATTTTTCTAAAATGTAATTTGAAGTGGAAAACATATCAAATATATATTACTTGAAGAAAGAGCAATAGATATTTGATAATGAACCTAGGATATAGTGTACATATGAAAATAACATAATCACTGAAGGCCAAAGCTACTAAAACTTCAGACTTAGAGAAACAGAAATATTATAGTCTTGTTTCAAACCACCACATCACATTCTTGGTCTCATTTTTAACAGGATAGGATATAGGTTAGGAAGAGGTATAAAAGAGAAAAGAGCAAGACTGTGATTTCACAACATAATCTTGGTGAAATGTCTTGTCTATAAAATGAGAAGTGGGTTAAACCACATGGTCCCAAAGTCTCTCCCAGCCCTAATGTTCCAGAAATCTAAGCAGAAACCACATTATGCATTTGAGTGAAATACAGGGAAGGAAGGAAGGAAGGAAGGAAGGAAGGAAGGAAGGAAGAAAGGAAGGGGAGGGAGGGAGGGAGGGAGGGAAAAGTTCAGAGTTGAATTTTGTAAATGACAATAAATTGCAAGAGAGATCCTTCGTCGCCTTACCTGAAGTCACGCCACCCAGCCTTCCACGTAGCATAAGTATGTAAAATTGCAAGGCAAAATCTCCTCTACCACAAGACAACCTGAAATGATGATTTGGGGTTATTCATATAGAGATTTTGGATTTGACTAAAAAGCTATAAGCCCTGCAATTAGATTCACTTGGACAGTTTGAGCTAAATGATGTGCAAAGCAATTGAAAATAACACTGAGTTCACTCTCCTTGGAAAGACTCCAGTGTAAACAGTCCACTCGACTTTTTTTGGGTTTTGCAGTTTGCAAAAAGGTCTAGTCCTAATTTCAGAGCCATGTAAAGAAGTTCCTATCTGGAATTATACAAAGAACATTAGCTTGATCCTAGAGATGTTTTCTATAATCATCTTCCAGAGGGATTAATAAAATCTTTTCACTTAATTGACTATTCAATGAAAACAATTAATTCAGTAACTTCAAAAATTCATTTTAATACATGTAGAACCAAATAATTATTTGGTCTGACTATGATTCACACACTTTTGCCAAGCATATTAATCTTATTTTGAAGATCAATAGACTGAGTTTCAGAATGCCTTAGTGACTTGCAACAAAGAAATAGCACACAGCTTTCTGATGTGCTGATGGATATGGAGTCCGTGTGGTCAGGAAGCACTACACACCACAGGCCACATTCTGGCCAATGTGGTGAAACCCATCTCTACTAAAAAATACAAAAATTAGCCAGGTGTGGTGGCGGGCACCTGTAATCCCAGCTAATCGGGAGGCTGAGACACGAGAATCACCTGAACCCGGGAGGTGGAGGTTGCAGTGAGCCAAGATCACGCCACTGCACTCTAGCCTGGGCAACAGAGTGAGGTTTCATCTCAAAAAAAAAAAAAAAAAAAAAAGAAATCTGGATATCTGAAAACATTCATTCTGATTTTTGTGTCTTTTGCATGCCTGCTTCTCCCACTCTCTACCAAAGACCCTTGAAATTTAAATTTTTGGATTTGAGGGCTAATATGATATTGATTGTGCTTTTGTTTGTCTTAGGGGAAATATTTGGATCTCCAAAACACAGTAAACAAAATCAAAGTGAAAAATCAGATCCTGAACTTATAACAAAAATTATTTGAGAGCTTTGTAGGTTGTTCTGTCTCTCAAATCTTCTCAAAGATGTGATTAGCACTAAATTCCTATCACAGTTTTCTTGTTTACGATAAACTCAGGCAACAGTCCATGCTGTAGTGTGTAAAATAAACTCTAACGATGCATTTGGTATATATCCCCCGCTGCTGTATTTGGATGTTAATTTTAAAGTAAAAAAAGAAAAAAAAAAATGCCATACCTTCTCTAGAACAAATGAACAAAGTGAGTTACATTAACATTATTTACATAAATTGGTGAACTCAGGAGGGGTTTGCGACATTGTACATGTTAAAGAAAAATGTTCTTTCCATATTTTCAAAGAAGACAGTCTTGGTTTTAAACAACGTTTGCTAAAAGCAATGATTGCTATTTTCCACAGAAATAAATCAACCTGTTTTTTTTTTTTTAATACAGGTATTTGCCCATGAGGGCTGTGCATTGTCATTGAAATGGCATCTGGTGACAAGCCTTAATGATCTCTTCTCTCTCACACTGTCCTTCTCTCTCAGTCCTTTGCAGGATGTCGTTAAGAGGGGATTTTTTTGTTTGTTTTTTTTCTGATAGGGGCTGACTCTGTCACCCAGGCTGGAATGTAGTAGTGGCACAATCTCATTCACTGCAGCCTTGCCCTCCCCGGCTCAAGCCATCCTCCCACCTCAGCCTCTAAAGTTGCTGGGACTATAGGCTCGTGCCACCACACCTAGCTAATTTTTTGGGTTTGTTTGTTTTGGTAGAAACGGGTTTTACCATGTTGCCCAGGCTGGTCTCAAACGCATGTGCTCAAGTGATCTGCCTGCCACAGCTTCCCAAGTAGCTGAGACTACAGGTGCCTACCACCATGCCTGGCTAATTTTTATATTTTTAATAGAGACGGGTTTTCACCATGATGGCCAGGCTGGTCTTGAATTCCTGGCCTCAAGTGATCCCCTCACCTTGGTCTCCCAAAGTGCTGGGATTACAGGCTTGAGCCACCGTGCCTGGCTATGAGGGATATATATATTTTTTAATCAGTTTCAGATGGATCTCCTGGGGCCCCTTATTTCAGTTTTCTGAATTATCATTGTTATTGAACACTCATGACGTTGAGTGCCTTATGGCTTATTGATCCCCAGTGAGGACCTGCATAACAGTCTATCAGGGATTGCCAGGGCTCAGCGTGGGATTGACTCCTTGAGAAAAAATGCAGTGCCTTTTGTGGCAAGATAAGACATTGCCGTCGTAAGCTCTGGTGGCTTTTAGCATGTGCTTATGAAGGTCTTGCCATTTGCTAAATCATGATGGTGGTCAGGAATATCATGCCATTTTGGTGTTCACAGACAAACTGCCCAATATTTGATTTAAAATCCCATTTCTAACTGGTAACCTCACACAGTGGGACTTAGCTCTCAGGAGCAGCAGCAGCTGTCTAGCCAAGGCTGACTAACTAATATTTTAAAGCCAATAGCTGTCTCTTTGGATCATATCTTCCTCGTTTGAGGGCTCCTTTTTAAAAAACATATGTTTATGTTTGTACATATTTTTTCAAAGTATGTTAAGATCATCTTATTTATATCAGCACAGACTAAAAATGGACTTAAACTTTCATTTGGGAAAATTTCCTGTCATTTGCAGATGTGCGGGCACCGGGTCAAGGTTTCCCAGCCTCTGCCTTTGTGTCCGTGTTATTCTTTTCTGTGGCTGTCTGTAGACAGTTACCATGGCTGTCTACTGCTGCATAACCAACTATTGCAACATTTAGTGCCTTACATCAACCATTTCATTATAGTGAATAACTCTGTGGTTCAGGAAATGGGTCAAGGACCAGCTGGGTGAATCTTCTGTTTCGTGAGAGGTAGACTGGGTTCACCTGGTGATGTTTGCTAGTGGCTGGGCTAGTTTGGGGAGTCTGAGATGGCTCCGGGTACATGCCTGAAGTCAGAGCTTGGAGGGGTGGGACATCCGGTGTTTGCTCTCCATGTGGCTTCTCCATGCGGCCAGCTTGGACTTAGGGTAGTTAGATATCTTAGATGATGACTCAGGGCTCCAGGAGAAAGTGTTTCCAAAGACTGAGGCAGAAGTTGCAGGCTGTTAGAAACCTAGCCTCGTAAGTCACATAGCTTCACTTCCACGGCAATTTATGGGTCAAACAAGTTTCTAAGTTCATCCCAGAATTTGACTGCCATGTCCCAATGGTCAAAAAATTGTCATCATTTCTAATCAACCACACACCTTCCCAGAGATCAAGTAGATTATTTTTTCATTCCTGTTCTCTTCATTGATTTGAAGTTATTCATTTTCTGGTGCTTCCCTGCACTTCTCAGCCCTTTTGTTGCTGGGTAAGGCCAGGTGACTACTTCTGGCCAGTGTGAATTCTCCACTTTGTGTGTGAATTGGACAATGTGTGTTGAGTTGGAAGATCCACAGTTTCCAAACAGTCAAGGAAGCTGAGCTGATTCAGCACCTAAAGGACTAACGATCCTCCTATAGTGGAATTTATAGGGTCAAGAGATCTTGAACTCTGAACTGAACATGAAAACTCGAGAGGACTTGTGAGCTATCTTCCTTGGGATATATATGGGAACAAAGGGGTATTTGGCAGCCATAAAAATGGGTTGCAACAGTGATGGAATTTTCACCAAACGTTTTCCATGTACCCCTAGACTGCACTGTGAGTCCCTGCAGGGAGGTTATCCATTGGATGTCATTTCTCAGGCTAAGGTAGAAGAGTGGCTGTGAGCTCCCATGCCTGGCCCTCCCTCTTGGTGTAGAGTGGGGAAGCCATGTCAACATGGCCTGTGTGCGCAATCCATCAAAGCCCCCAGGATTGGCTGGGGCACAGCAGGCAGGGCAGCTGCCTTGGGGAATTGCCCAATCTACAGTGGAATTTATGTGAATAATGAATAAAGTGCACATGGAGGCTAGAGATTGTGGATTTGACTGTCACTCAGCCTTACCTCTCCAATACACAATTCTATTTTTATTGTGTTAGAGGCTACTCTTAAAATGGAAACATGCACACAGTTCATACAACAAAGTATAAAGTTAGCCATTGTCTCCACCCTCCTCCCAATAAAATAAAAAAGTGGTTTTGAATTCCAAGCTCTGATCGCCACTTACCCTCACAAGCTTACGTGTTATTGTCACTTAGCATTTTTGTTTCATCTTTATTTATGACCTCAATATTGGTCATTTTTATCATTACTAATATTCTTTAAGACAAATGTCTTTTTTTCAGATTTACCTATAAATTTAGCAAATTTTGCTCCCTTCTTGTTGTAGTACCTGCCTTTGATTTGGGTTTTATTTCCTCCACTGAAGTAAATAGTTTAACCCTTATTTCAAAAAAAAAAAAAAAAAGGAAGGTAAACTTTCTAAATTTTTTGTTTTTTGAAATATTTTTATTTTACCTCCTCCTCTGAAAAAAAAAAAAAAGTTCAAGTATGTATAGAATTCTAGGTGTCAGCAATTTTCTCTCAGTGTTTTAAATATATTATTTCACTGAATTCTGTTCTCCATACCAGGGGTCAGCAAACATTTTCTGAAACAGAGGGCTTGTTTAAGAATCAACCACATGCAGACCATGTGGTTTCCATCACAGGTACTCAACAATGCTATTGAAGAGTGGAGGTGGCCATAAAGACATGTGCATAAGTGGGCGTATCTGTGCCAATAAAACTGTATTTGCACAGGCAGCCATCCAGACCATGGGTTGTAGTTTGCTGATCCCAGCTCTACAGTTCAAGTTGAGAAGCCTGCTGTGAGTCTAATTGTTTCTTCTATTTTAAAGTAACCTGCTTTAGGTTCGGTTCTTTGTCTTTGGTGATCGATACCTTGGTGCGTTTTAGTTTACAAATGAGTCCTTCTCAGTACTAGTACTTCCTGAATAAGGAACAATATCTTTAATGAATTCTGGAAGAAGGATAACTCTCACTTCTTCAAACATTATCATCCTCTCTTTTTACTTTCACCTCTGGAACTCATATTAAATGTATATCAAAACTTCTCTCCCAACCAGTATGGTGCTCCTGTTCTGCTTCCTAATTTTTTTGTGTTTTTGGTAGAGACAGGGTTTCACCGCGTTAGCCAGGATTGTCTCTATCTCCTGACCTCGTGATCTGCCCGCCTTGGCCTCCCAAAGCGCTGGGATTACAGGCGTGAGCCACCACACCCCGCCCATCCTCTGACTCTTAGTCATCATTTGCTCTTAACCTTACTGAGCCCCAGTTGCCTCATTTATGAATCAAAATAATAATTCCCATGCTTATCACTCAGTTCAGTTGCAGGGGAAGAAAAGTTATTTTAATTATCTAAAGCAGAAAGGAATTTCATACAGAGAACTGGGTGCTCACAGAATTGTTGGCAGAGTCAGAGTGGATGGCTCCCGTCTTTGCCTCTGGGACTGATGCCCAGAACTGGGGAAACAGCCCCGTGGGGGAGCTGCTGCCTTCGGGAAGAACGGTGTTAGCTGTGCAGCAGGATCAGGAAGCCCTGCACTAAAATGCAGCTGTGCTGCACCTGCCGGTCCACATAAGCAAAATCAAACCCTGATGGATGCCCCAGCCCTGCCACTCGGCCTCCCCAAGTGACTGGGTGCTGTTGGTGATAGATCCATGAGGCCATGCTTACCAGCAGGTCAACCAGAAAGGCAGCCCCCACGTCATCCCTGCCCTCCGGATCCGCATCAGGGCTGCTTGTTGCAATCATAGATCACATTCAGGGCCCTCTGCAGTGTGGCGTAGAAAAGCAGGTTCCAGCTTGCCAGCGCCTGCAAGCAGGATGCAGAGCCAGCCAGTTCATGGTATCCTCCACAGATCTCAAAGGCCAGGCCCGGAATCAACGAAACAACCTGCACAACGTGCTTGGCACCGGGCTTGGCGTGTAGCAATTGCCCTCATGTCTTCCAGTGTCTTGTGTGCTTCAAGACCATCCGTTGCCCAGTACGGCAGAACTTGTGCCATCTCAGGGGTTCCTGAAGCTTCAGCACATGGGGCTCACTCACACTTGCAAACATCAGTTTCACCAAAATCTGATTGTTTTTCTAAAAACAACGTGGAGGTGGTGATTTAGAGATTAAACCCATGGTTCTCCTCCATGGGGCAGCATTACTCGGTCCATCAGACACAAAGATGAACTCAGCAACTATACAGCCACAATGTCAACCCTAAGAATCACCATTGTGTCTAACAGGGGGAAGCATGGCTGTGCCAGCACAGTGGCCTGCATACAGTGAAGAGGGCAGCAATGCCGCTCCTGTGTGACTGGCACACACCCCCTCAAAGCCCACAGTGTTCCCCCGTGCACTCGCCCAGCCAGAGAACTTGGTTAGACTCCTCACCTGGAGTCGTTTCTCCCTCCTGTTGTGTACGAAATGTTGCCCCAAGTACCTCAGTCTGCTAACAACCTATTCTTCATCCTGTTTAATGTGGAATTCTGCAGAAGGCTGGGGGAAAAAGATATAAGCACTCTTGTTTAAGGTATTTGATACAAAAGAAGTGAACTAAACTAAAACGATATAAAACTTAAAATACAATAAAACTTCTCCAGACAACCTTCTCCTGACACTGTGAAGGATATTAACAAATTATTATTAAGTAGGCTACTCAGGCGATTATGCATCCGAGTGTTTTAATGTAGGGGGATGTTAAGTGGACACGAGGGACCAGAAGTGGAAAAGGCTTCTCGACGACACATGACTTGGGGCACTGCCTGTCTCCTCTGCGAGCCACACCAAGGCTCCCTGAGTCGGAGTTGTCACGGGGAGTCCTCTGGTTCCATACTGCGGTGTTCATCTCACTTAATCCCCACAGTGACTCTCAAGGCAGGCCCGAGCTGCTGGCTGACACCTTGATTTGTTGCTGGAGAGAGCTGGAAGTCTGGACATTTTAAGGTGGATCTTATCTGCTGAGGGGCTAATAGCATACATGAGAAGTCTAGTCCCAGAAATCAATTTTATCCCTATTCAAATACTGAATTGATTACAAAAAAAATGATAAAGATATTCCAGCACTTTCAGAGGCTGAGATGGGTATATCACTTGAGGTCAGGAGTCCCAGACCAGCCTGGCCAACATGGTGAAACCTCGACTCTACTAAAAATATAAAAATTATCCATTCGTGGTGGCCGGTGCCTGTAGTCTCAGCTACTCAGGAAGCTGAGGCAGGAGAATCGCTTGAACCTGGGAGGTGGAGGTTGCAGTGAGCCAAGATCGCACCACTGCACTCCAGTCTGGGTGACAGAGCAAGGCTCTGTCTCAAAAAAACCAAAAAGATAAAAATAAGGTACAAACATATGCTTTGCAAAGATCTATAAAAGTCTTCTGGGCCGGGCGTGGTGGCTCATGCCTGTAATCCCAGCACTTTGGGAGGCCGAGGTGGGCGGATCATGAGGTCAGGAGATCGAGACCATCCTGGCGAACACGGTGAAACCCCGTCTCTACTAAAAATACAAAAATTAGCCGGGCGTGGTGGTGGGTGACTGTAGTCCCAGCTACTCGGGAGGCTGAGGCAGGAGAATGGCGTGAACTCGGGAAGCGGAGCTTGCAGTGAGCCGAGATTGCGCCACTGCACTCCAGCCTGGGCGACAGAGCAAGACTCCGTCTCAAAAAAATAAATAAATAAATAAAATTTTAAAAAGCCTTCTGGACAAATATTCAAGATATTAACATCACAGTCTTTTTATTTTTGAGACAGAGTTTCGTTCTTGCTGCCCAGGCTGGAGTGCAGTAGCGCAATCTCAGCTCACTGCAACCTCCGACTCCTGGGTTCAAGCGATTCTCCTGTCTAAGCCTGCCAAGTAGCTGGGATTACAGGCATGCACCACCATGCCTGGCTAATTTTGTATTTCTTTTCTTTTTTTTCTTTTTTCTTTTTTCTTTTTTTTTTTTTTTTTTTTTTTGAGTCGGAGTCTCGCTCTGTAGCCCAGGCAGGAGTGCAGTGGCGCGATCTCGGCTCACTGCAAGCTCCGCCTCCCACGGGGTTTCTCCACGTTGGTCAGGCTGGTCTCAAACTCCCGACCTCAGGCGATCCACCCACCTCGGCCTCTCAAAGTGTTGGGATTACAGGCATGAGCCACTGCGCGTGGCCAGTGTCACAGTTTTTTAAGGAGTTAGGAGTTTCTGCCCACACGAATCTGGCTGTAGCCTCTTATAACAAACCTGGTGAAACCAGACTCAAGATTACGTCTTCTCGTTCTGGTAAATCTCCTGAATTCAGCCTCCATTCAAAACCAGGATCATCATTGCAAATTTTCTTTGCCAGCAGGAAGTTTTCCCGTCTCCAAAATCAGAGAACCAATGGCAAATGCCAGGCTACTCCGTGCTTCCATCAGCTTCCCGTAAAATTTTTAAATCGGAACACATTTGCATCTTTGCTGAGCTTCCTTTCAGCGTGTCCACTGACTCTGCCATTAGTATTGGAGGCCTCACTTGTTATGGTTATAAGGCTTCTACCAGTGGCAGTGCACACGAAGCTCTGCTGAGTGAAGGACCAGCTGCTTCACAAGTCCTGTTGGATGTGTGGTGCAGTAGGCCGGCGGAGACATATAACTTGCCTAAAGTTTTCAGCATAAGTGTCACTGTGACCTTGACTTCAATTCTAACTAAAAATCTATCTTATTTTTGCCTCACTGTGAAAACTCTCTAATGATAATAATAATAGACTCGTTGAACACATGCAAGTTTCAGACATGAATAGACATGTATCCAAAGATATACAGTTGGCCAATAAGCACATAAAAATGCACTCAACGTCACTTATCACTAATGCAATGCAAATGAAAACCACCATGAGGTCCCATTTCACACCCATTAAAATGACTACTATAAACAAACAACAGCAAAAAAAAAACACATAAAATAACAAATATTGGCAAATATATAGAAAAATTAGCACCCTTGTGCATTGCTGGTGGGGATGAAAAATGATGCAGCCACTGTGGAAACAGCATGGAGATTCCTCAAAAAGCTGGACATAGAATTACCATGCGATCCAGCAATCCCACTTTGGGGAAATATCCAAAAGAAGTGAAAGCAGGAACTCACACAAATATCTGTACACCACATCCCCAGGCGCATCATTCACGATAGCTAAAAGATGACTAAACAGTGGAAACAACCCCAATACCCACTGAGGAATGAATGCATAAACAAAATGTAGCCTACCCATACCAAGCAATGTCATTCTACCTTAAAGAAGAAGGAGATTCAGACACAGATGAACCTTGAGAACATTATGCTACATGAAATCAACTAGTCACAAACGGACAAATACTTTATGATTGGATTTAGAGGAGGCAGCAAGAGTAGTCAAATTCATAGAGACAGTTGAATGATGGTTTCCAAGAGCTTGGGGAGGGGGAAATGAGGACTTGTGTTTAATGGGTACAGAGTTTCAGTTTTGCAAGACGAAAAGAGCTCTGGAGATGGATGGTGGTGGTGGTCACACAACTAAGTTAATGTACCTAATGCCACTATGCTGCACCCTTAAAAGTGGTAAAGATAGTACATTTTGTATCACGTGTACTTTAGCACAATTTTAAAAATAGCTAAAAAAAATGAGCCTGGTGTGGTGGCGGACGCCTGTGGTACCAGCTACTTGGGAAGCTGAGTTGAGAAGACTGTTTGAGCCTGCAAGGCAGAGGCATGGTGGATCATGCAACTTACCACCTTGTTTGTACTCTTAGAACATCCCCTCAAGACAGCTGTTATCAGCCTGTCATGACAGATGAGGAGATGCATCACACAGGCTGATGATCCCAGCGCCCACAGCCGGACACTGGACCCAGCACATCCAGACGACAGCAGAGATGACACTACCAAGAGCACAGAGGGTGGTGCAGGTGCTCCGACTGGCAATAGCAACTTGCTCCTTAGGAAATGGGCCTCAGACTCCTGTGCCTCCAGCCCTGAGACCTGAAAGGCCCTCCCAACAGGGTTGGAAGCGGGCAGGGAAGCCATTTACCATTTAGAAACTATGAGGCGCAGTTGCTGAAGTTTCCAAGCATCTCATTTCTGCTGTGAAATAGCCATGCAAGAAGGAAAGTGGAGGTGGAGGTTGCAGTGAGCCAAGCCGAGATCATGCTGCCCCAGCCTGGGTGACAGAGCAAGTCTCCGCCTCAAAAAAAAAAAAAAAAAAAGAAGAAGAAGAAAAAAAAGCTGTCTGCATGGCATGGTAAATGCTGGCAGTCTGAACCTTGCTCTTTGTGTGTCATGCCAGCAGACAGACAGCTGAGCTTCTGCTCAGGTAACTTGATATTTAATGAGTGTATATTTCTCCTCTTTGGTATTTGCCTTAAAGTCCTAACATTAATTACATGGTGTGATTTTATTCACCCAAGAAATGCTAACCGATTAACTACTACGTGCAAGAAAATCCTAAATGGTAAAAATTTTATATCTTATTCTTAAGAAATCTACATCCTCCTAGATTTGAATTTCCATCTTCTCTCTGCATTCTTTTAGGTAGACCAGATAGAAGAGACATGTGTAAAGATGGCATCTAAAAGGCAAACCAAAAAGAACAGGTTCTGCACAGCCAACACCCAGTACTTAGAGTTTAAAATGTGAAATTATTCTCTGAGGCCAGGCATGGTAGTTCACGCCTGTAATCCCAGCACTTTGGGAGGCCGAGGCAGGAGGATCACTTGAGGTCAGGAGTTGGAGACCAGCTTGGGCAACATGAGGAACCCCTGTGTCTATAAAATAATACAACAACAACAAAATTAGCCAGGCATGGTGGTGCACACCCGTAGTCCCAGCTACTTGGGAGGCTAAGATGGGAGGATATCTTGTGCCCAGGAGGCCCAGGCTGCAGTAAGCTGCGATTGCACCACTGTACACCAGCCTGGGTGATGCAGTGAGACTCGATCTCAAAAAAAAAAAAAAAAAAAAAAAAGGCTGGGGGCGGTGGCTCACGCCTGTAATCCCAGCACTTTGGGAGGCCGAGAAGGGCGGATCATGAGGTCAGGAGATCGAGACCATCCTGGCTAACACGGTGAAACCCCATCTCTACTAAAAATACAAAAAATTAGCCGGGCGTGCTGGCGGACGCCTGTAGTCCCAGCTGCTCAGGAGGCTGAAGCAGGAGAATAGCATGAACCTGGGAGGCGGAGCTTGCAGTGAGCCGAGATCACGTCACTGCAAGCTCCAGCCTGGGCGACAGAGCGAGACTCCATCTCAAAAAAAAAAGAAAAAAGAAAAGGGAAAAGAAAAATTGTTTGCAATTGTTTCCAGCCATTGTAGAGGCTCTTAAGGAGATTTCCCTTTCGAAGTCAATAACAACAACAGTAGTAATACACCTGAGGATGGCTAGCAGGGAAGCGTGAAGCGTGGTTAACGTCAACACAGGAAAACAATTTCCTCCGTGATCCATCAAAACAAACGAACTTAGAAATAGACACTGTAAGAACCCAGAATACTGAAAGTATTGGGGTGAGAGCCACACTCTAATGCGGGAATCCCGTGGCTGTAAGGAAGCCTCTTTGGAAGTCTTGCCTTCTGCAAGTAGAACTGGTGGGGGTAAATGTGAAATTGGTGAAGAAGGAGGCGATCTGCCATTTTTGGAAGTCTTTAATTGCAGGCCAGATTCTGAGTAATGATACCCTGTTGCCCTACCAATCCTCAGATATATTTAACCACAAATTTATTTTTATCACTTTTGTTTTAGCCATTTCAATGGGAGGAAGTCATCTTTTGTGTCCTCTTGTGATCTTCTGTGATATGTTTTGGAGAAAATAGCTTAAGTGCATTTCACACCTATAATTTTATTGCTTGGAAAGGACCCCAGGCCTTGGCAGACCAGGTGATGAGATCCTGTGCTGACGAGCCCGTGGTCACCCGGGGTCCTGCTTCCGCAGCCAGGCTGACGTGGAAATGACCACATTCACGTTTCTCCCACATAGAGACACTTGGATTCCTGTTCTATTTTAGGCTCATGGAAGGTTCCAAGGGTGATTGATATTCCCCAGCATGTACATGGGATCTCTTTTCCATCTCTTTCTATGCTACCATTCTATCCATTCTCATGCCCACTCCGCGATTTATTCGTATTTATCAAAGGCAGATTTGCATTGCCGTTTCTAAAATGCCATTTCTTTCAACCTAAGTTACCACCCCCACTGCCTCTGCCACCTTCTGATTGTGGGTTGATTTGTGTGTCTCCACGTTCACTCACACGCCTTATGTCATCAATCCTTAACTGGGGTGGGCTGTCAGTCTCTTTTTTTATTAGTAAAAGTACATGTATGATTATTTCTCTCCTTATTTGATGTATTATTTCAAACTACTAATAGTTATAGGGCACCTATCAGCTTCTGTCTTTATAATGAGCATTGGAAGTTCAAAGATAAAAAAAAATCTCGTGGAGTTTATATTCCACCCTTTCTTTTGGTGCCGTGGCATTTGGTGAAAATAAGCATGGCTCTCTTTCTCCTGTGTGAAGGCTCTCCCTGCTCCCACACAGAAGGCACAGCAAGCAATGTGGCTGAGACAGGCCGCCTGACTGGAAGGGGCATGGCCGCGTCATGGCCTTCCAGGATCCTGGCAAGTCTTGTTTCCCACGTACGGCCTATCGTTTCCTTCCCGTCCAGGAACCACTTCCCTTCACAGTCACCTGGAGCATTACGCAAAACCATCCCACCTTGAATAAGTGTGAGCATCCCAAATGGCTGTAGCCTCCCTTCTCTGGGCATTCCTGGGTCAGCCTGTTGCCCACAAACCCAACAGGAACTCAGTTTTTCTAATCCCTGTACTTTCTTCACCTTCCCAGTGAGCAAGCTTAGATTCCATGATTCACCACCTCCATCACATATCTCTGCTAGCCTTACCTCCCTTGCTGCTGGTCTGTCTTCCTGTCACACCAGCAGACACACACACTGCACCAAACATCTTTGATTTCTGTACTCTGACGCTTCGACATCTGGGGCCCTGCTGACCCTGCAGGGACTGCCCCTCCCAGGGCGAGCTAATTCCAAGACAGGGTAAACAACCTGCCAGTGGGTATGCTTTTCAAATACGAACAAGCCAATCCCAGCCAACACCCCCGACCACGTCCAGCCATGACTGGACTCTCACACTGGGCCACCATCCCCCTTCCCACATCACCCCAGGGCTGGGTACCAGACAACAAGGGAGATTCTCTAGGCCCCAGAGCCCACAGAGATTGTTCTCACAACTCAATCTAAACCTGCTGACCCTGCCTTGCCTGTTCTTTCTCACTAAAAGTGCAGTAAAGGTTTCCATCCACAGTCCCCACTTGCCGTCTGACTCCTGGCTGCCCCAGTGCTTCTGTCTGGCCCCCACCAGCATGCAGCATGTCATGCTCCTCCCCTTGGGAACCACAAATCACAAACTATCTTGTCAGTGACAACCATCACCAGATCTGCAGCCTCACCATACCTGAATAATAATAAAGCCTGTAAGGCCAAGGCCAGTGGATCACCTGAGGTCAGGAGCTCCAGACAAGCCTGGCCAACATGGTGAAACATCATCTCTACTAAAATATACAAAAATTAGCCAGGCATGGTGCACGTGCTTGTAGTCCCAGCTACTCGGAAGGCCGAGGCAGGAGAATTGCTTGAATCCAGGAGGTGGAGGTTGCAGTGAGCTGAGATCGAACCACTGCACTCCAGCCTGGGCAACAGGGTGACTCCGCCTCAAATAAATAAATAAATAAATAAATAAATAAATAAATAAATAATAATAAGGCCTGCATTTTAAAAAGCAGACTGCCACCCCAAGAAAACCAAGTATTTCCTTGCCAGGAACTGGCTTGGGAGCAGCCTGGCGATTCTGAAGAAAACCACCTAATAAGGCTAACTGTGTTCACAATGAATTTACAATGACTAACAGGCTTAACACTCCTGCAAACCCCACTCACTTCTGCCAATGACACTAAGACAAGGGCTATTTCAAATCTTCTGCCTCTTCCCATGTCTCCCACCTGAAGGAAATAATGTATACAGTGGTCCATTTCCAAGACAAAGTGCCTTGAATGGGCTTAGGTCAGCAAACTACAGAAGAAAGAGGATATACTAGGCCGCTGCTTGGATAGCAGATGCCTGCTTGTCAGCCTTCCCCTTCTTCCCCTTCTCCTGCACCTTAGTTGCCCTCATCCAAACCAAAGAGGTTTAGTCTAAGATAAAACTTTACTAATCTGCAAGATAGCTCATTTTGTCTGTTCTTACCAGCCTGCCCAGCTACTTAGGTCATAAGTCAAATACTTGAAGAGCCCCTGAGCTAACTAAGATTGCAATGCATTGTGGGTTGCAACAAAATGCAGTAAGACAACCCTAAAGAAACACCTAAAGCCTCTACCCAACAATCAATAGATGACATCCAGGAAGATTGTGACCTCATAGTAGTCAGCCTATGAGAAACCTGGGGAGGGACCTGCGTGCTAGGGCATAAATTGCTCGTTGAAACTATGCTGGGTATGCCTCCCCACCAGACACCTGGTTTTACAAGTCTGTCATTAAAAGTCTCAGTTTCGCTAATGTTTTGGAAGACTTAAATGATGACTAGATCCATTACCTTATTTAATAAGAAGATGAGCATATCTTTTATTTATTTATTTATTTTGAGATGGAGTTTTGCTCTTTCGCCCAGACTGGAGTGCAGTGGCGTGATCTCAGCTCACTGCAGCATCCATCTTCCAGTTTCAAGTGATTCTCCTGCCTCAGCCTCCCAAGTGGCTGGGATTACAGGTGTCCACCATCATGTCTGGCTAAATTTTGTATTTTTAGTAGAGACAGGGTTTTACCATGTAGGCCAGGCTGGTCTTGAACTCCTGACCTTGTGATCCACCTGCCTCGGCCTCCTAAAGTGCTGGGATTACAGGCGTGAGCCACCACGCCTGACCAAAGATGGCCATATCTTAATCATATCATTTCTTCAGCAATTATTACTTAGATTTATTCCACACAAAGAACCTTTCATAATCAAATATTTACCTACCCTAAGGCATGGTTCTGAACAAGAAAGGTAGAGTAAATATTTTATTTTTTTCAAGTCTGTTTCCAGAAGAATGAATTTTCTGCATTGTAAACCAACTTTTAAAGTTTTGTTATAATCCCATCTTTGATGTAGTTTGGTCCATTGCCTTTTGCTCTTAACTGCCTCCTCCGGCCATCAGCCTTGGATGTGGATATCAACAAGCACAGTTCGTTCCCTAGCTCACCCTCTGACAGCCAAGCTCTTTCCTAGGTCTTGGGAGACTAGCCCAGTCAGTGATCTTCCCTTCCAATGAAAGAGATTTTCATTTTTATACAAGGGTTCATGCTAAGTTCCCTCTCCCCGATGGGTCAACCCAAAGCTGGAGTCTGCAGAAGTATGTGAGGAGTCCATATTCAAACACCTGGGCGGGCCTTTACCTGGACTAAAACCAGGGTTGTGCAGGAGCTGGCTTGCATAGGCTCACAGGAGGTGACTCTGAGTACCTCTCCCAAATTCTGTCTGCAGGGACAGCACTGCGGTAGCTGGAAAACAACCAAGATGGAAGTAATTATACCGTGGAAATTGGCAAACACTACAAATCAGAGCTGTTCCTCCCTGGAGATCTGCTATTAAACATTTACTGCACACTCCTGCAAAACCTCCGCAGGCCACCCCACAGCAGCGTGGGTTTCTACCTACCTCTGATTTTTCTTTCTGTTTTTGGTTCCTGGGAATTTCCATTTGCTTGTTTCAAATTGGCTGTATTTTTACATTTAATGACATATCAAATTCAGAATGCATTTGTATTGGTAGCAGGAAAGAAGGCCTTCCCAGTGTGCCACGTTGTCAGAGACACCTCTAAGCCACGGCGAGAGGGTCTGGAGGTTGATGGCGTGTGGGTTGGGGAGGGAGTGGCTGAAGAGGGCCGAGAGTGTTCCGGGACTGGGGAATCATCTGTCTGCTGCTCCCTGCACACAAGGGTTTCCATGACGCCCTGACCTAGTGGCCTACATTCCGATAGGTTTTGAAGTTTCAAAAGACAATAGTAACCACACAGCATGGAGAAAAGTGCTGGGAAAGGCACCAGAGAGTGCAGAGTCCAGCTCAGGATACACCGGAATCTACCATATGGTAAAGGGAGCTTTGCAATCAGTGAGGAAAAGATAGGTTAGGCCTCAAATCATTATTTTATTAAAACAATTTTTAAAACAAAATATTTAACTCATTCCTTGCAACAGATAAGCTCCAGATAAAATACATTTTAATTTTAAAAAAATTATAAAAGTAAAATAATACAAGCTAATTTAGGTGAATATTTTAATATTATTTTCACAAGCAGCCAAAGTTTAAACACTGACACATCATCAAAGCCAGAAGCTATAAAGAAGAATATCCATGGGGTTTATCTATAACTTTTTAAATATCAATTTTTTTTTCTCATGGATAAGATTAAGACAAATAGCCAACTGAGTTTAAAATATCTATAATAGGCCAGGCGCGGTGGCTCATGCCTGTAATCCTAGCACTTTGGGAGGTCAAGACAGGCGGATCATTTGAGGCCAAGAGTTGGAGACCAGCCTGGCCAACATGGGGAAACCCCGTCTCTACTAAAAACATAAAAATTAGCGAGGTATGGTAGTGTGCACCTGTAATCCCAGCTACATGGGAGGGTGAGGACCGAGAATCACGTGAACCTGGGAAGGCAGAGGTTGTATTGAGCCGAGATGGCACCACTGTACTCCAGCCTGGGTGATAGAGCGAGACTCCATCTAAACAAACAAGCAAACAAAAAAACCCCTAAAAAACTACAGTATTATATGGATTGTTTTCAACTTTCATTTCAAAATTATTCTAAAGTTTATGAGACAATAGAAAATAAAACTTTGAAAGAGAAAAATGATACAGAACTTGCATCAGTGCACATAAAGTTTATCACGAAGGTACAATTACAAAAGTATTATTCCAGCACAGAAATAGATTGGCACCCGGTAAAACTGCATAAAAGGACAGATACTGACCCCACTGTATCCAGGGAGTTATAAGTAATAATTTTTGCTGGTGGGGAAAGGAAGAGTCATGCAATAAATGATGCTCAGCCAATTGGTTAATTCCAAGGAGAAACGTTAAGCTAGATTTCTCTGTCACAAGAAACACTAAAGTTGGCTGGGCATGGTGGCTCATGCCACCATAGAGCAGGCGGTTGGGGGTTGGGGAGGCAGTCTGAGGTGAAGCCAGCTGGATTTTTAGTTCGGGTGGGGACTTGGAGAACTTTTCTGTCTTACAAGAGGATTGTAAAATGCACCAATCAGCACTCTGTAGCTAGGATTATAAAACGCACCAGTCAGCACTCTGTGGCTAGCCAGAGGTTTGTAAAATGCACCAATCAGCACTCTGTAGCTAGCTAGAGTTTGTAAAATGGATCAATCAGTGCGCTGTAAAATGGGCCAATCAGCACTCTGTAAAATGGACCAATCAGCAGGACATGGGTGGGGACAAATAAGGGAATAAAAGCTGGCCACCCGCAGACAGCAGCGGCAACCCGGTGGAGTCCCCTTTGACACTGTGGCGTTGTTGTTCTTTTGCTCTTCACAGTAAATTTTGCTGCTGCTGTCTCTTTGGATTTGGGCCATTTTTAAGAGGTGTAACACTCACTGTGAAGTTCTGTAGCTCCATTCTTCAAGTTAGCGAGACCACGAACCTGCCGGAAGGAACCAACTCCGGACATAGCAGATCAAGAAGGCAGTCAGAAGTGGGTAAGGACGTGGCCATCAAAGAGTACTGAGTGTTAACAATAAGACCAAAAGTAAAGGAACAGTGTAGTTCTACGGTTTTTGCCTAAAAATCTGTATATGCAGCGGGGATTTTTACAAAGCGTAGGAGATAAAGTATCTATGTGATACGAGGGATTCTTTTTTGGTGTTGAGTTGTTTGTGATTTTAGTATCTTCATGATATTGTGTTTCCTACAATGTTTTGAGTACATCTTTTTAGTAAACAAAAATGGGTTTATTGGTTTCCTTTTTTAACTGTACGTTGAACATATATCCTGAAACACCATCATGCTGAAATCAATGAAAAACAATAGAAAAGTTAAAAAGTATATTTTAAGTGAGTGGGGAAAATCATTTCTGAAAGTGCAGAGGCTGGAAAAGAAAACAGGGACCAGATTGGCAAGAGCCTGTAGCCCCGCCCCCTTCCTCAGGACGCCTGCGACCTCCAGGGGAAGCAGCCAGGGCATGCTGAGGCTCCAGGCCAGGGACCTACCCAAAGGGCACAGACCGGGGCGGGGACCAGTCAGGAAGGACCACCGCAATCACAGGCTGGCCTGGGGCGGGTGCTCTGAATTCATCGTGGCCTGCTATCTCAGAAATCTCCAGGGGAGCATTTACCCCAAAGAAGTCCCAGAATGACAGTGGGCTCCGGCCAGATTAACCCTGGAAACGTCATGGTGAGCAAAACAAGCAGGAATGAGTAACCGGAAAGAATAAATGTGTGTGTCCATGTCGATGATTTCCAAAAATATGAAAATTTTAATCATAAATTGTTTACAGGTATGTGTGACAAAAATTTTTTTTAAAAATACGTATAGCTTCAAAATGTAGAACTCCTAATTCTACATAGTGGTAGCTCTAAACTTCTCTCAGAAAGAGACAGATCTAAACCATTACCAATGTAAAGGCTTCAAATTCACAATCCCCAGGACTGCATTTATTCAGGAGGGCATATGCTTTGCTTTTGAACACACATGTAATTTTTAAAATAAATTATTCTCAACCACAAAGGCAATCATAAATTTCAAGAAGTTAACACCATTAAAACCACATTTATTTTCACAAAGCAATAAAATTAGAAAACAAACAAACATTTACATAACTCTTAATTAAAAATGAAATAGAAGTAGAAATTGCAAACCTGTGTAACTGAATAATAAATAAGAGCGCCTCTTCAATCCTGTGAGATGAAGGAGGCAAAAGACACTTTGAGAACCATGAGTATTCTTAAATGCATTAATTAGATTCAAAGATGCATTAAAAATAAATTAAGCTTTCCGCTCAAGAATCCAGGAGAAAGAACAGCACAATAAACCCAAATAAATTAGAAGAAAATTAATAAGGAGAAAAACAATTTAATTCAATAAAAACCCACAGACATAACTTTGAGATAATCAGCACCAAAATAATATTTTATGAAATCATCAATAAAACAAACTTCGAATAAGTAGAATAAACAACAGGAAAGACATAAGTAATGTAGGAAGCAAAAGGTACCCAGCAGGGTCAGGCGTGATGGCTCATGCCCAGAATCCCAGCACTCTGGTAGGCGGAGGTGGGAGAACCCCTTGAGCTCAGTAGTTTGAGAGAGGCCGAGGTGGGAGGATCCCTTGAGCTCAGTAGCTTGAGACCAGCCTGGGCAATATGGCGAAACCCTGTGTCTACTAAAAATACAAAAATTAGCAGGGCCTGGTGGCAGGGACCTGTAGTCCCAGCTACTTGGGAGGCTGAGGTGGGAGGGGACAGAGATTGCAGTGAGCCAAGATCATGCCACTGCACTCCAGTCTGGGTGACAGAGCGAGAGCCTGTCTCAACAACAACAAAAAAGCACATAGCGGTGCCGAGGCAGCAAGGATTTATGTGTTATAAAAGATTTATATGCAACTTTAGTTCAATAAAAATAAGGGTCAGCTTGGGAACTGTGGCCTATGTTGGCAACTCCTCTCCATCCTATTTTATTCCTGCAAGAGGGTTTCCTACTACACAACGATTAAATGTGTCTTTTTTGTGATAACTCACACTGAAAAGTAGACATTTTAAGTAAAGAATATGATTGAAAATGAGAGACTTTAGCAAGAGACAAAGGGCAGATATATAAACTAGTGTGCTCACACCTAGGAGGAATATTAGCGTGGGTCACAGCCTTTCTCCCTATTTACATTCTACTTAAATAAACAGGAGGTACATTTATGCCAATAAGAAGATGAGTTGTGATTTGGAAAACCGTGGGGCAGGAGAGGGCATGCAGCATCGTCAGTCATTCCTGCCAGTCAGCACCCTGATTGATGACCTACAAAGCCGCAGCAGCCAGGAGAACACAGGAGCACGCTAGAACGTCCAATCCAAAGGAAAAACAACCTATACTGTAAAGTGATCGTGCTCATCTCAGTGTGTGACAAGGAAGACGATGGCACCTGGTTCCAGGAGCCGAACGTTTCCACATCCCTGTGAGGTAGCTGTCTTCTGCACATTCTTTCTGGGGCATCAGCATCCCACTGTCCTCAGAGGCTTTGAAGTTAGTCTGGTACAGAGGACGTCACATGTACAGCAACAGGTAACCCGGCTGGGGAGGGTGCGCTTCCCGGTCACCCACCGCCATGGCACGTGGCTCTGGCACCACTGCCAAGTCTCTTGAGTTCTCTGCAATTCCTCAAGGGACTCTGTGCTCAGTTTCTCTGCAGAGAAGACTGCAGAGCAGGAAGTAACTCCCAGAAAGGATCACTTTAAGGACAGATTTTCCTAGCAATGACCGCCTCCTGGTACACAGGCTCCGTTTAAGCCTCGTGAATTTTCAATACAAAATTTCCAGAAGAAAGATTCAAAAGCTGCCTCCATGGCTCATTCTTAGATGTTCAATAAGCACCGTGATCTCGGCTCGATTAATTGGAGAGTATTTGGGGCTCTGGCTCAGTGACCTCCTTAAAGCAGACCAGGAACACCTCCTTGAAGGAGGGACAGTTGGCACCCCTCAAACTGGCTGTGCCCACCCATGAGGTAGAGATCCCCCAGCTGTAATATCCGTGGCCAGAACACTGCCTCCCATTTAATATTGAACGGTTATGTGTGTGAATCCCTTAATACCTGGGGTGGCGAGAAGAAAAGCACATTAACAGCTCCAGGTCAACCTAGGGGATATTTTAGAATTATTTGCCAGGAAAAGATTTTTATTGAAAATAATTCTTACTTCGGGGAGTTCACCTGCTCTCCCCAAGAGCAGCCCCCTTGATGAACCAAGGAACCCCAAACTTTCTTGGCCTGTCCTACATCTGCTCATTCACTCCAGGTGTCCCCACTCCCCTACAGATGGTGGACCCGCTGTGTGCCTGTCTAACCCTAGCGCCCAGACCGCTGCACTCATCTGTTGCTGACCAGGCAAAGTAAGCTCGCAGCATTTACCAGCTCAAGGTGATGGTCACATGTGGCCTTTTGGTGTTGGGGTACAACAGGATTTAATCTTAGGATGCAGGTTTAGAAAGTCGCCTGTGTGTTGTTGCTTGCCAAGTAACTCAGATATGAACATTGTGCTGATAAAGACCATGTCAAGCTTCTCATTGTCATTCTTGAGTTCTATAGGGGAATTGATCCTAAGTTGTAAGGCTATATCTGTTTTCCTTGGGACTCAAGCATGTTTATTTCAAAATATAATCTTTCATAAAATGTATCTCAGTATATAAATACTGCATCAAATATCACAAGCCATTGTAGAGACCTACAGAGAACATGGTCATGAGCCCTCCACCCTCTCCTCCTTCTTATCTCTAACAGTTCTACTGCAGGGCTCATTTTAACCTGGTAAATACTGTTCTAAAACTGTTCGTTATAAAAATATGAATACATATATGTGTAAATAAATGCCATCATATATTCCCATCTGTAAACAGATGTGTTTTTCATAGTTTTTAATGACCTAATTTATGTTGAAAGGGTGATAAATATACATAGTATAAATTTCAAATGCTCCAAAAGCATATACACAGGTGTATTGGGTTGAACAATGTCCCTTAAAAATTCGCATCCACCCAGAGCCTCCGAATGTGAGCTTTTTTGGAAAGAGGGCCTTTGCAGCTGTAACTATTCTAGAACTTCAAGATAGCATTATCCTGGATTTAGCATCAGCTCTCAAGTCGTTGACCGGGGACCTCATAAGAAGAGGAAAGCGCCCGGAGGATCACCGAGGGATGATGGCCATGTGAAGACGGAGGCAGAGGCTGGAGAGACGCTGCTGCAGAACCAGGAACCCCAGAGGCCACCAGAAGCTGGAAGAGGCAGAAGGATCCTCCACTGGGGCCTTCAGAAAGCTCCGGGCCCTGCCGACACCTGGATTTCAGATTTTAGCCTTCAGAACCATGAGAGAATGAATTTCGGTTGTTTTAAGGCCTGAGTTTGTGATCATTTGTTATGGCAGCCACAGGAAATAAATACAAAAGGAAAGAATGTAACACACACAGCCCTTGTCTCTTGTCCCCCACTTCCTTTCCTGAGCACTCACTGAGTAGTTTCTCATCTATCTTTCTAGAACCTTCACCTCCACGTGCACTTTCAGCAGATGGTGACAGTACACTCTGTTCTGCCCATTACTTCATAATAAATCTTGGCTTTCATCACGTATTAATTCACTGTTTCACTCTTTATGGTGGCCGCACAATCTTCATTTAATTATTTTTCCTAATCTTGTGCTGCCACAAATAATGCTACAGCAAATGCCCCTGCACACATACCATGTGCACATGTCTGAGTGTATCTATAGGCTACATTCCCAGCAGTGGAATCACTGGGACAAAAAGTGGATTTTTTTTTACATTCTAGTAGTTTTGGCTCAATTGTGTTCTGCCTGCAATATATACAAGTGCCAAGGTCCCTGCACCCTTCCCAGAAAGGCGTGCCCTCACCCACCTTGATCTTCCATAATCTAGGTGAAAAGTGGCATGAGCATTTGAGTTGACTATTTATATAGATATGAACAATTTTTAATTCTTTTCCTGAAAAAGGTTAAAATCCTTTTTTATGTTTCTGTTTGCTGGTTGAGGATTTTATTGAGTTATAGGAGCTCTTTGTTCAGTTAGGAAAACCGTATTTTTCTGTGATATAAATTGTGTATAACTTTCCCAGTTATTTGTCTTCTGATCTTGTTTATGGTGATGGGTGATTGTCAGGATTTTTTTTAGCTGTATGTATTGATTTTTTCAAAGTTTTTGTTTTATGCTGCTATGTGTTATTTACTATGGCAAAATATACACAACATGAAGTTTACCATCTTAACCAGGTTTAAGCATACCATTAAATGTATTTAATACAGTAGTAGTAAATATAGTCACATTGTTGTCCAGCCATTAACCACCATCCATCTCCAGAACTTTTTCATCTTCCTAAGCTGAAACTCTGCACCCATTAAACACTAACTCTCCATTCTGCCTCCTCCAGCCCCAGGCAGCCACCATTCTACTTACATTGCTGTATTTTTATAACATATTTTAAAAGGCATTCACCACTCCCTACCAACATTCTCTTATATTTTATTTTAATTTTTTGTTTTGATTTTTAGATAAAAATATTTGCCTATCTCTGGTTTACTTGGTGAAAAATGTAAATTTATTTGGATATGCAGATTCTCCAAGACCACTTATAAACTTATTCCCTATTAATTTTTTAAATATTCATATTTAATTAAAAAATAAAAATTGTATAGATTGAGTACAGCATACCTTGAAACATGTATACATTGTGGAATGGCTAAATCAAGCTGATTAACATATGCATTATTTCACATACTTATTATTTATCATGGTGAGAATACTTAAAATGTACTCTCTTTGCAATTTTCAAGAATAGAATACATTGTTATTACCTACAGTCACCATGTTTTTATTCCCTACAATTTTTACCCAATTTAGGTACTATCCATTCTATTTATCTTTCCTTTCATGAGTAGGCACCGCACTCTTTTCATTATTAACTTTAAAAAAATGTATTTCAACTTCTGATAAACCTGCTTTTCCACCATCACTCCTGCTTAGAATTTTCCTAGCAATTATTATTTGTTTATTTTTTAATACAAGCTTTCTAATGAGCTTGTCTAGTTCACGCAAATATATTCTGGTGGTATTTTATTGAAATTATTTTAAAAATACCAATTAATATAGTGGTAATCAATATCATCGTGATGTTAATTCTTTCTACCCAAGAAGGGTTTGCTAGTATCTTGATTTGTACTTCTCAGTGGTATTTTAAACATTTTTTCACATAGGTTTTGTACATTTCATATTAAGTTTATTCCTAAATACATATTTATTGTTGCTAAAAAATAGTTTTTTCTGTCATTAAAGCATTTAAATAGTTGTAGTTTGCACACATGAACCCAAATATTTCTGTTTTAATTTTATTTTTAATTAGCTGATTGCATCCTCTATTTGTAACGTTGTCTTGTAACTTTCTTAGAATTTCCAAATATAAAGTATACTATCTGCAAATAATGACCACTTTGTCTTCTCTTTTACATTTTTTTTTTTACTTTTTGCATTGGCTAATAGTTTTGAAATAATATTAACTAGTAGTGATATTTCACATCCTTGTTTTTTACCTAATTTTAGTGGTTGGAAGAGATTCTTGTGTTTTCTCATTAAAAATGACACTGGCCTTTAATTTGAGATTACACACACACACACACACACACACACACACACACGATTTTTAAATGTTAAGGAAGTATGTATTCTTATTTTATTAAGGGTTTGATAAAAAATGGCAAATATTTAAAATATCTCTTTTCAGTATCTACAGAGATAATATTTTTATAGATAAATGATAAATTATATTAATAAAATTGTGTTATATTCAGAAAATTATATTAAGAGATTTTCCAGTATTGAACTACACTTGCATCCTTTAAATAATCCAGAAATTGGTCAGTCTTTATGGGTCAGGAGAATAGGGAATTAGGGTAACCAGAGATTAAGACATAAGCACAAGAACAGCAGGTGCAGCCATTTCTAGGCAAGACTGGGCAGCATACAGGTCACATCTTCACTCCTGCGATAATAAGACAGAAGTTTCCACTTCAGCCTCTGATTCACAGCAGGCCAAGTCTCCACTTCAGGCTCTGATTGGTCGCCAGCCAATCCTTCATAGGGTGTAACCAAATGGAGGCCTCTAAAGGGCACCTAGGGTTGTTACCAAATTCTTTTAGCCTAATAAAAACCCTAAGGAACATTGCAATTGGGGATCTCAAGCTGCTTGCTTAAGCCTGCTCCCACTCTGTGGAGTGTACTTTTGCGTCAGTAAATCTGTACTTTCATTACTCAGTTCTTTAGTTGTTTTGTCTTTTGTTGCTTCCTCCTTTGGTTGTTTTGTTTGAGCATTTTGTTCATTTCTTTGTTCAACACACCAAGAACCTGGAAAAGTCACAGTCAAGACCTTCTATCTGGTAACACGATATTGTCTGCTGAAATATTTTATTAATTGGGATATATTACCTAGAATTTTGCATTGACATTTGTGTCAGCTTAGTCTGATTTTTTTCTGTTTTGTTCTTTTTATTGTTGTTCCATGTTTGGTAAATTTTATTTAAATACTTCAAAAGATTTTCTGCTTTTTCTGCTGTTGGGTAGTTTAAATAGACTTAGAACAGCTTCCTGTTCTTTTAAGGTTTTGGTAGAATTTCAGTGAATTCTATCATAATTTATTTTGTGGTTCCATTTTTGATTTCTGGTGTTTACTTTTGTGTTGGTGTGTCTTTTTCCAACCTGGAGAATTTTATTTAATTTTTATTTCAGCAATGAACTTTATGGCTTTACCATTATTCAAAACTCACTCCTCTGTCTGTTCAAACAGCACAGATTATTTCCCTGCTGTAACAATGAACATAGTGTATTCCCACTGCCAAACACTGTTCCTGTCTCCCTTACGCCACTGTATTTTAGTTGATTATTATTTTAGTGTTTACTTTTAACGTTTAAAAATACTTATTCCTCTATTATTTTATTTGTCAGTTTTGAAATTATCTTGACACCAGCTAGGAAAACAAGAGCATCAGGATTTTTCTTTTTTTCGTTTTTTTTTTTTGAGATAGAGTCTCACTCTGTTGTCCAGGCTGGAGTGCAGTGGCGTGATCTCGGCTCACTGCAACCTCAGCCTCCGGGGTTCAAGCAATTCTCCTGCTTCAGCCTCCCAAGTAGTTGGAACTACAGGCACGTGCCATCACGCCCAGCTAATTTTTTTTTTATTTTGTATAGTCTCAATCTCCTGACCTCTCGGTCCGCCCGTCTCGGCCTCCAAAAGTGCTGGGATTACAGGCATGAGCCACCGCACCCAGCCCAAGTTTCAGGATCTTTAAATCACCTTTTACCCTTTCTTTTATTTCCTTTGAAGGAGCGCTTCAACAGCACCGTCTGCAGCATCAGCATTCTGATATGCAATGTTTATCCTAATCATAAATTAATTCTCTAATCAGAATTCTCACATTGGCTTCAGTCAATTCCAATCACCTTTTTTCCACATGCTTTATCCATTTATCTATTGCTTAGCTGAAATTAGCATTCAGCACTTTCTTCAGGATCAGCTCAAAGGTGCTATCAGATTTGTAAAGGTTTGTCCTCTTGCCTTTATAACTGAAAGACTCTACCTTGGGATAGAATTTTGTCTATACCTCCTTTCCATAAGAACTTGAAATTACTTCTCTACTGCCTTTTAATACTGAATGTTTATATGGAGTAATCTAAGATGTAAAGCCAGTCATGTTTATAATTTTTTAAATTAAGTGCGACAATCATATACATGAATGCAAAGGGATTGTTTCTCAATTCTTGAAGTTCACAAATTTTGTTGGTATAAATTTGATATGTAATGTCCCATATCAGTTTTTTTTGGACAATAAATTTGTAGACTTGAATTTGTTTTTCTTTATTAATGTTTTCTTTAAATATGTATTTAAGTATTCCCATAGGTTTGTCCTTACATTATATCTCTCTTCTGTCTGAACAGTCAAACAATTAAAACATACAGCAGTAGTTCTCCATCAAACTATAATTAATTTATTTAGATTTTAGATGCTGGGGCCAGCAATCTTCTTACTTGTCTTGAGATTTCTCTTCTGATTAAAGCACTACCTGTTTCAGAAACTTTCACAAGTATTCTCCTCAATTATAATAGTTAGGTAATATAACCTAAATCAATGCACATTCAAAAGTATCATTTTTAGCCCTGGCAAGTGAATGCTATTTTAATTGGAGATATGTTCTTAGCTCACAATCCTCTCCTTTCAGTATTTTGCAGATGTTATTTCAGTGTTACCAGAGAAAAGTAGTTTTAAGTAGTCCTTTTTTTCAGTTTGAAGCTTAAACAATTTATACTTGGAACGTCAGAATTTGAAATAGGTATGTCCAGGCATCTTTTCAATTATTTTTTAAGTTAATCTTTTCACTAGCATGTGAGCCTTTTAAATCCGCAGACTCAAGACTTCATCTCAGAAATTTTTCTTTATTATTTAGTTATTATCTCTCTTGGAGCTGTTTATTTTTATCTCTTGGGACTGCTAAATTATTTGCTGGTTACAGTCCCAAAAATTACTTTCAGTTTCCAACATCTTTAATTTCATTATTTCCATTCCTTTGGCATTTTTGTTCTAACATTGTGAAATATTTTTCCAGTCTGCCTATAAAATTTAGAATTGGGGAAGTCATATTTGTGCTCTATTGTATCTCCTCTTGAGTCTTATTGCTTTTAAGCTAAATTGTGGACAGGATTTTTCGCTGGTTCTGATTCAATTTTTTTTTTTTTCCTTAAGACATAGTCTCACTCTGTAGCCCTGGCTGGAGTGCAGTGGCACAATCTCCACTCATTACAATCTCCACCTCCCAGGTTCAAGTGATTCTCTTGCCTCAGCCACAAGTAGCTGGGATTACAGGTGCCCACCACCATGCCCAGCTAATTTTTGTAGTTTTAGTAGAGGCAGGGTTTCACCATGTTGGCCAGGCTGGTCTCGAACTCTTGACCTCAGGTGATGACCTGCCTCGGCCTCCCAAAGTACTGGAATTATAGGTGTGAACCCCCGCGCACGGCCACAGTTCCTTCTCTTCTTTGGCTGCTCCTGAGCTCTCGGCGCCCTCCACTGCTGGGTCAGAAGGGTCGGCTGAGAAGCAGTGAACCACTTAGGAGGGTGGATCTGCTTCCTCTCCTGTGGACTGGCAGTGGGCCAGCTTGCAAACTACTAAGCTCTCTTGAGGCAGAAAGACAAAGTTTATTCTGGGAAACTACCCTTCTTCCAAATCGGTCCTTAAACAAACAAAAATTACCTCCCCAGATCTATTTCACAGTCTGACCCTATCCCCATTTCCTTGATCCTCCCTTCCACCCTGTCCTCCGTGTAACATGCCTCCCGTATTCTCCAATCGCAGCAGTGGACAGAGGACACAGTAGCTAAGTTCTCGAACAATCTTGGGCAAATAGCCTGAAAAGAGGAAAGCTTATCACATGCATTATTTCTGTCATCCTCACAAAACTCTGCAAAGCGTAGGCGATGCCCCCAGTTTTGCAAATGAGGCTACAAAGGCCCAGAGCGGTGGCCATGGAGAGGCTGCGGTGCACATCTGCCTCTGCTGACCTGGAAGGTGGGGCTGTGTGTTCCACACCCTCCCTTGGTCTTGCTTTGTGACTAAGGACGTGTTTCCAAGATAGCTGGAGAAGCAGTTTGAGGCTGTGACTCACACTAAAGTGAATCGTCACTGAGGCCGCAAATGAGTACTTTACAAAAACTATTATAGGAAACTAATTTCAAGCATAATAAAGAATGTTCAAATGTGCTCATAAATTAAATACATCAAAACTAGCACAGGATACTAGGTGGGGCTGACAGCCTGACAAAGATGAAAGCCACTGCCCCTCCTCCGTGCTGGTGGGGGCGTGGCAAGGAACAGCTTCCTCCCCTGCCTGTGGAAGTCACATGGCAGCAATTTGGTGAAAACACAATTTGGATATGTGTATTAAAGAACCTTTGAAAGGCGTTAAAATTTTACACGTTAATTCTAACTCTAGGGTTTCATCTGAAATGAGGTCAAAGATTTGTGAAGCATGTGGTTTATTTCGGCATGATTTTAGATAAGAAAAAGTTGAAAATAAACTAAATGTCCAACACAAAGAAAAAATAATCCCATGAAGGCCAAAAGGAATTGCAACAAATCGGTTGAGTTGGCTATTCCTGGTTGGAAGTGTGGGTAGGCATTTATTTTCATAATTACATGTTTTCAGAAGTTTCTACCATGTGTCATTGGATCATCAGGGTTAGCAGGCACTAGCCTGGCCTGCTAGAGCCTATAGCTGAGTAAGAAATGGCACATGGAATTACGTATGTGCCATAAGGCAAGACTGTGCTTTTCCTGCAGTAGGGACGCCATCGAATGCTGACAAAGCAAAAAATCAGAGGAGAGTCAGAGAACCTAGCATATTGCAAATAAGCATATGAAAAGGTGCTCAGCATCATTTGTCATTAGGGAAATGCAAATTAAAACAATGGGATACCACTTCCCATCTACTGGAATGGCTAAAATCCAAAAAACTGACGAAGTCAATTACTGGCAAGAATACAGAGCAAGAAACACTTTCATACATTGCTGGTGGAAATGCAAAATGCTACAGCCACCTTGAAAGACATTTTGGCAGTTTCTCACAAAGTGAAACATAGTCTCATCATGTGATCTAGGCATTGTGTGCCTAGGTATTTATGCAACTGATTTGAAAATGTATGTCTACACAAAAACCTGCATACAATGTTTATAGCAGCTTTATCCAAAATTGCCAAAAACTGGGTACAACCAAAATGTCCTTCAATGGGTGAATGGATAGACAGACTGTAGATGAAATACAGGAATATTATTCCATGATAAAAACGAATGAACTACCAAGCCACACAAAAACATGTGAATCCTAATGCACATTGCTAAGTGAAAGATGCCAGTTTGAAAAGGCCACATACAATGTGATTCCATTTATATGACATTCTGGAAAAGACAAAACTGCAGAGACAATGAACAGTGGTTGTCAGGGATCTGGGGAGGGAAGGTAGGTGAAGCACAGAGAATTTTTTAGGGTAGTGAAATCATTCTGTGTGATACTGTAGTGACGGATGCATGAAACTATGCATTTGTCAAAATGCATAGAACCTTATAGCACAAAGGGGAACTTTAATGCATCAAATTTTAAAAAATCATTTAGGAGTTTGGGGAATCTCAGGATGAAATGCGGACTGTGGCAAAAGAATCTAACAGTCTTACAAATGTATGACGGACCTCACTGAAGAGAGTTAAGGAGAAAAGTGCTGACCTAAGCAATTTTAGAAATGAGTAGAGATTGCAAGACTAATGGTAAAAGTAGCTATACATGGCACTGTACTCTATATGGTAATTTTTTCCCAAAGTATGAGTTTACACACCTGAAACTATTACACACTATATGGAATTAAAAAGGAAATGAGTGGTGAATGGTGGGTGCCAGGTTTCTCACTGTTAAAGGAGGAGGTTACATATAAGCAAAAGCAGGCTAGAATGACCCATAGGTAATAGATTAGAGTTGGAGACATCAGTATGTACTCACATTTAGCTTCATATATAAATGGATATGTATATATATGAATATATAAGCATATATATGAATATATAAGCATATATATGAATATATAAGCATATATATATATATATATATATATATATATATATATATATATATATATATATATATATATATATGCTTAAGAACCCAATTGCAATGTTCTTTAGGGTTTTTATTAGGCCAAAAAGAATTTGGTAACACCCCCAGGTGCCCTTTAGAGGCCTCCAATTGGTTATGCCCTATGAAGGATTGGCTGGCGACCAATCAGAGCCTGAAGTGGAGACTTGGCCTGCGGTGAATCAGAGGCTGAAGTGGAAACTTCTGTCTTGTTATCAGAGAAGTGAAGATGTGGCCTGGATGCCGCCTAATCTCGCCTAGAAATGGCTGCACCTGCTGTTCTTTTGCTTATGCCTTAACCTCTGGTTACCCTAATTCCCTGTTCTCCTGCCTCATGAGGATTAAATAAACCCTGTTCTGGTTTATTTAAAGGATGCAAGTGTGGTTCAATACTGGAAAATCTCTTCATATAATTTTCTGAATATAATGCAATGTTATTAATATAATTTATACATTTATATGTAAAAAGCCATCATCCCTGTAGAAAATGAAAAGATATATTTTAAATATTTGCCATTTATTTTTTATGAAACCCTTAATAAAATAAGAATACATACCTCCTTAACTTTAAAAATCTCTAGCAGTATCTATAAATGCAAACTCATACGTAGGGTGTGTACACACATACATGTATATACTCTTTTTGTTAAGAGGGCCTAGAAGCAGTGATGCCCCAGGAATAATGAGCGCACCTATCACACAGATCTTGATTCCTAACACGGTTCTCCAATAAAAGAAACCAAAGCTCCCTGAAGAAATGACTGATTCTAGGATTGGGGCAGGGAAGATACAAGATGAGCCTGGTACGTTTTATTGTGCCAAAAGGTAAGAAAAGTGCCAAAACTCACATGCACACAATAAATGATTAAATGAGTAAATAATGGAGAAGAATAGACAAATTTCCTTTGCAGAAGAATCTTAAATAATTCATGTAGATAGTCCACACAGTGAGATGGAGCATAACTCCTGCCTCCCTAAGCGTGGGCTCCATGTAACCCAACGGTGAAACCTGACAGGCAGGACCTCAGCCAGGCCATCAAGGTTAAGGTCGACAGTAGCAAGTCATGTTGTAATAGAATGCAATGAGAATGGCACTTACTTCAGCCATCTTTCCATTAAAAACACATAAATCCAGTCTAATCATGAGGAAAACATCAGTCAAATACCAATTGAGGGGCATTCTGCAAAATACCTGACCAGTACTCCTCAAAACTGTCCAAGTTGGCTGGGCTCTGTGGCTCATGCCTGTAATCCTAGCACTTTGGGAGGCCAAGGCAGGAGGTTTGCTTGAGCCCAGAAGTTTGAGATCAGACTGGGCAACACAACGAGACTTCTCCTCTACAAAACATGCAAAAAGTTAGCTGGGCGTGGTGGCGCGGTGGCGCGTGCCTGTAGTTCCAGCTATTTGGGAGGCTGAGGTGAGAGGATCACCTGAGTCCAGGAGGTCGAGGCTGCAGTGAGCTGAGATTGCACCACTGCACTCCAGCCTGGGCAGCAGAGCGAGACCCTGTCTCAAAACAACAATGGCAACAACACCCAAAACCTGTCAAAGTCATGAAAAGCAAAGGAAGTCTGAGAAACTCTCAGAGCCAAAAGAAATCTAAGGAGACATTACCACTCAATGAAGCGTGGTATCCTGGATGGGATCCTGGAGCCAAAAAAAGACATTAGGTAAGCAACTAAGGTGGTCTGATTAAAGTATGGACTTTAGTTGATAATAGTGTGCTGATATTGGTTCACTAATAGCAACAAATACACCATACTAATGTAAGATATTAATAACAGGGAAACCCACTGTGGCGTAATGGAAATGCTATGTGCTATCTTCACAATGTTTCTGCACATACAATACGATTCTAAAGCTAAAATTTATTAGTAAAACGACATCATCATTATTACTGTATTCAATTGAATACAAATTTATACGTATAATTTTTAGTTTGAAGCAAGTTATGAAAACAGTGGAAATTTAAATTAGAAAGCTGACGTGGGAAATTTGAAGCACAAGAAATTTAACCTTGGTCTTGAACAATCCAAGTATTGTACTAACATTTTTTACGGTAAGCTAATTGTTGAAGACTGTGAATCATGCCAAGGTTTCCTTTTATTTTGAAACCGAAGCCTCTTATTGTTATCTTATAGCTGTTGTGACAAAGGCTATCTTGTAAATGAACTTCTCAGTAGCCACAAAGAGAAACATAGCCTGATAACTTGTTTCTGTCTCTTTTAGACAATTTTGACTGTTTATCTGAGTTAAATCTTTCTAGAGTATATGCATACAACAACTGAATTTTTTTTATCAGTTAATGGGTAAAGTTTCTCACGAGATAAGAGTGTGACAGAATGAAAAAAGGAAGTGCTCTTCAGACCAAGCTAACTATCTTGTTTTAGTAAAGAGAGGAAAGAAAGTTTATATGTATGAAAGAAAGATTTGGACATATTCACACTCAAAAGAGTGTCATCTAGCTGGTTTCCACACAATGGGGATCATTAAAATTTTTATCAAGCCAACCGATCAAAAAGGTCAGACTTAGTCACGAAAAAGATGAAAACGAAGGTAGCGATAGCTCCCATGTTAAACAAAATGCTTTCTTTTAAGCAAGACAATTCCCTCATGAGGGTTTCAAACTTTTTAATATCTCAAGTCTCTACAAAATTTTCAGTCAAATAGTGAAGATCATGCAGTAAGGTGATTTCTTAGCCAATTTTAAATTTACAATCGTCTGCAATTTGTGGCTTCAAACCATCAACAACAACAATAACAGAAAAAGAAGTCTTTGGAAATGTCAGCAGTAGCTAATCCTGAATACTGTGTAAAGATGTTGTTTAGAGAGATAGTTTCTTATGTTTTTCATTAACTGTAGCTAATGAGTATCTTAGTGCGGCAAATTTGGGGCCTAAATTGGATTTAGAAGCTTCCTCATATCAGGTAAAGAGAACCGACTATTTTTCTTTCTTTTTTGTTCTAAAGTGCTACTCGATAAACAGTTTTCTAAAGTGGTCACTGCAGTTTTGAATTGTTTTGGTAAAATTGTGCCACTTAAAAAGCTATGCACAAGAGTAAGAGTTCTAGTAATAAAACATAAATCTGCAGTTCAGCCTGAAGGGGGGTGTGTGTATCTTGAAGAGAGTCATGAAACCTACAGCCTGTCCCTACCGATGGCTGTTGTCTTATTCTGTCTCTGGAGCTTGGCAAAGACCCATTGTCATCCATCAGGGGCCAGACAAAATCTCCTGGTTCCAAGCAGACAAAATTAAATAAAAACAGTTCTCAGGGACACAAAAGCAAGACTGAGGAAGAAGTACTTACAAGATTTTGAAATGGTAATCCAGGGCCAATAGAACACAGGCCTGAGAAGAAACCTTCTCAGTTTCTTCTGAGGTTGGCTTTGATGATGGACTCTCAGGCTTAGAAACACTGTCTTCTTACAAACTTTCCCCTCAGAGACAAATAACTTTCAGGACACTAGACAAGCAGACAGACAAACAGCTGGTGCATTAGACAAGCAGGTGTTAGGTGCCATGAAACAATTTTGCCAAAGAATAGTACAAATTAGATCTGATAACTAAAAATCCCAAGGGACATAACGCCTAGGAAAACAAAATAAACCCATTGCCCAAAGGCTAGACTGAAATACAGCAGTTCAATGTAGCATGAACTTACCTCCCAGCCAGGAAAGGTGGCACCCAAGGCGCAGGGCTGTGCAGATGCGTGCTCCCTCACTGAATGATATGCTTTGGGTCTCTGTCCCCACCCAAATCTCATCTCAAATCGTCCTCCCCACGGATGGAGGAAGGAAAGTGATTGGATCCTGGGGTCAGCTTGCCCCATGCTGTTCTCGTGATCGTGAGTGAGTTCTCATGAGATCTGATGGAATTATAAGCATCTGGCATTTCCTGCTTGCACTTCTCTCTCCTGCCACCATGTGAAGAAGGTCTTTGCTTCCCCTTTGTCTTCTGCCATGATTGTAAGTTTCCTGAGGCCTCCCCAGCCATATGGAACTGTGAGTCCATTAAACCTCTTTCCTTTATGATTTATAAATTACCCAGGCTTGGATAGTATTTTTATAGCAGTGTGAAAACGGACTAATACACAGAGCCCATCATCCCAGTCTGAGGCAGTGCGGATCTCAGCTGCATCTCAGAGGAACTTCTATTTCTATCAGTGTCTTTGAATCAGAGAACACCAGGAGCACCCTTGTGATTGAACAAGGTGGGTTTATTGCTAGTTGCAGTGAGCAGAACACACACCACAGAGAACCATGGCATCTCAGCAAGGAGGTGTCAGAAGCTTTTATATGATTTGGGCTTACGTTGATGAATTGAGGAAGATTCAAGGGAAGGGTTTGCTTTATTTTGGAAATCATACAAAAGCAGAGGCAACTCAGTCACTCGGTGTCTCAACTAATCTTATCTGTGGGGAGGACAAACCAGACTAGTGCAAGTGTAAATATTGTAATTGATAAGGAGCTGTCGTCACTCATTTTAGCCAAGAGAGAAGGATGTTTGGTATTTTGTGGGTGGCACAGCAAACTTGTTTTTGTCTGTGCTTAAATAAAATTATGAAATGGGCTTATTTTGTCTCACTGTATCATGGCCTCAGAGTAACCTTGTCTGAAGTTGGTGTTTGCAGGATTGAGTGTGTGCACAAGGAGAACAGGATGGTCTAGTTGGGAATACCAGGCCAGCTTTTCAGACATCAGGCCTGTTTAGTTTGGTCTGTTTTTTTTCTTTCTCAAAAAGTAAAGTTTGGGGGAAAATAGATATAAGCAAAGAATTAGCATTAACTAAGCATACTATGGGATGGGAAGTGAATTGCAACAACGTGTACAAGGTAGACTGGTGGTGTTAAATCAAGTTTAGCCCAAAGCTGTCTCCTTACATATTTTAAGTTCAGTCTAAAAGTTTCTCTGTACATCGTGAACTGTAACGGGTGGAGGTGTAAACAGACGGCAGCCTACACTTGTGCCAATCACTGAGTTTTGGCCAATCAAATGTAGGCAACTGTTTAAACCATGTTCAAATAAGGCAAACGGCAAGCTGTACCCATTCCAGCTGTTTCTGTACCTCACTTCCATTTTCCTTATGTTACTCTCCTTTTTCTGTCCATAAATCATCTTCTACTACGTGGCTGCGCTGGAGTCTCTGAGTCTACTCCGACTCAGGAGGCTGCTCGATTCGCGAATCATTCATTGCTCAATTAAACTTTAATTTGGCTGAAGTTTTTCTTTTATCAGATGGCGTCAGAACAGATCGAGGTAGAGCTTCTAGCGACCCCCGTGAGCACTGAGTGACCAAGCGAGGGACCCGCCGGGCTCCTTGTGCCCGTTGCTCTCTCAGGGCAGCAGGGGGCGGTGGTAAGATCTCGCTCAGATTCCAAAGCTCCATGGATTTGTATTTTGAGCTCTCCGAGTTTCTTTGAGCAAATTTCTGATGTAAACTTGGTTTGGAAGTCGTGACAGAAACTGCACTGCGTGCGTAATTGGGTTGGATGCAGTAATTAACTGACTTAGAGGCCTCTTACATCTGACTGGGGCAGAAAAACAAATGGTGGTAAATGGCAATATTGCAGGGAGTGTAAATTTGGCTTTTTGGAATTCGCAGGGATTTTTGTGTTCTACTCCTTTGTGTCATTTTTCTTGAGTGCTTAGATAGGAAAAATCATTGGCAAAGCTGATAAAGGGTACCTGAGAGAAAGCCAATATTTTAGGTGAAAATGGGATCCTTAATTTCTGAAGAACTGAGTTCCTTCTGGCTTATACATGCATAAGTATTAGGCCCCAGAAGCCACAAAGTCTGACAGAAATGGTGAAATCTTACTAAACATAACTTATAGTGGAATGTTCCAAATGAACAACACTGCACTGAAGTGCGTTTGAAAATGAGGGCTCCCAAATTAGTCTCATCTAGAGATGCCTATTGATAGGCAGAAGCTTCTAAATGGATTTCAGTATTTTTATTTAAAGACTTTATGAAAGTCAAATAAAAAGCTTAAGTCAAATAAAAGCTTTGATTAAAAAAAATTAAATCTGCTAACTTTTGGCTTAGTTGTGATCTCGAGCCAAAGGAAATAGGCTGTAGCACCAACTGGCTGACTCTGGGAAAGTAGTGGGGTACATTTTACCGGGGTAAAAGATAGGAATGGGTTAGAGGCTCTCCCTTCAGTAAAGTCCCTCTCGGTTAAAAATGGATTTGATACTATGGGATGTTAACTGCTATTTTATTGGGATTAATCTGCCTTCTACTTTTTCCTGATGGCTGTGGGGGACAGGATTAGGCATGTACAGGCTCACTGGACATGGGGAGCTTTTTCCTTCCCAAAGGGGAAAACTTGAGAGCTGATGGGACTGCTGGAAAAGATCCCTTCATGACCGACGAGTGGCCGCCTGAACTTCTGATTCAGTATCACTGCAATGGGTGGGTCTTTCTCTGGGTTCCCTGAGTTCCTCACCTTCCCCACCCTGCTGCAGGCAATTCTTCTGTCTTTCTCTGTCTCTCTGCAAACCAGTTGTTAGAATGGTTAAAAATCACTCTCTCTTGCAAAGTTTTAATTAACGGGCAAAAGTATTCGTGAGGCCAGTCTTAAGCTGTAGCGAATCTGGTATACCTTGTGCTATGAATTTGTCTTTCTGTGTCATTCTGTCATGAAGAGGGGAACCTTAGGATAGAACGCAGGCTTAGGACCTTGTCCTTTCACAGTGGTGGCCCAGGTTCAGGATTCAATTCTGGCCCAAGAGAATGAGTCCTTTCTGGTTTGATGTCTGTGTAACTTTGGCCATTTGTTGATCTTCTTCCCCTCCATGGACAATTTCTAGCTTCCCTTGTAGAATCTTCCTTTCTCTGATCCACCTTTGGAGAGTCTAGATTTTTTAAAAACTGCTAACCACCTCTTTGAAAATACCTCATACAGTCGTGGTTAAGTCAGAACCTTAATTGAGGCTTACTGGTTTTGCCTGTGAGGTTAGTTTTGATAAAGCTTAAAAGCCAGAAATATTCACCATTTGGCCTGGCTAAAGTAGGGTAATAAGAAATTTTAAAAAGCGCTATGGTTAAAAGTCAGCTTAATTAAAAGCAGATATCTAAGCCACGCATATATTTAAAGGGTCTTTATGATTTTTTCTCTTCTTGAATCTTCTTTTCTGGAGAAAAAAGGTTTTTTTCCTTCTCAGTTGGCTGAATAGCTTTTCTCCATTTTGTCTTGCCACTCTTGATGCACACAAGAGAGGATCTAAGAGAACTTCTTCTAACAGCTTGGGACTCCTTGGGGAAAATGGAGGAGGTGCCATAGATCCTGCTTTGGGAAAAACCTGTTTTCCTCGTGAAACCCCAGGAATTGAAAGTAGATAGATCCCTCTCAAAATCTATGGCTAAATATAATTTTAGGGATGGCTAATGGTAACTATGGGGGACACACAGCTTTTTGCACATTTGGATCAGAAAAGCATGCTCACGGCCAGCTAGAAAGTATGGAAATGCCCCCACCCCGGCTGAGAGATAAGACTCCCCTGGGGGATGGGCTGATCACAGAATGGACTGATCAGCTTTGGGTTACTTTGCAATCAAATGCACAGGAAAATGATTGCACTGTCTTGTTCCACAGCATTTCTCTTTTGGGGATCCAGGAGTCAGTATGATAATAGAACCCTGTATTTTGGGGGATCTGTTTTGCCTTCCAGCTGTGCCTGTTTATTAGACCCTAAAAAATAACTGCGTGTTTTCCTAGCCCTGTTCCTCCAAGGACTCCACCATGAAGCCAGTAATCCAATTAAGAAACTTTAAAACTGGCAAATGAAAAATCTTACAACTGCTGGATCTTCTTCTGTCTTTCTGTGTATTTATATTATTGCACATGTGATGTTTATATATGAAAGAGCTCTGATTAATTGGCTTAAAAATAATAAGTGCTTAAATCAAATATTTTGTCAGAAAAGTAAAAAATGTAATGCTTTTTAGTTCACATGACTTCAGTAATCTTTGGGAAATAGAAACAGCTATAAAGGTTATTGGTAAAATAAAGACATTTGGTCTAAATTAGGCAAGTCAGATATTAGGTTTACTAAATACTTTAAGGTCATAAACTGCTTTGACTTTTGAAAAGTGTTCGACTGAACTGCTTCAGAGCTATTAGATTCTAAATAAGGCCTGGGGACAAGTGGAGTTACCCATGCCCCTGGCTATGCTGGAAAGAGTCAGACTTTATCTGCACTTCTGTCTGGTGTTCTAGGTTCCAGACTTGGTACATAATCAGAATCGCTCACTTACCAGGTTTTTCACCAAAAATAAAACTTGCTAAGTGAGGCTGGGTGCGGTGGCTCACGCCTATAATCCCAGCACTTTGGGAGGCTGAGGCTGGCAGATCACCTGAGGTCAGGAGTTTGAGACCAGCCTGGCCAACACAGAGAAACCCCGTCTCTACTAAAAATACAAAACTTAGCCAGGAGTGGTGTGAGTGCCTGTAATCCCAGCTGCTCGAAAGGCTGAGGCAGGAGAACCACTTGAACCTGGGAGGTGGAGGTTGCAGTGAGCCAAGATCATGTGACTGCACTCCAGTCTGGGTAACAGAGCAAGACTCCATCTCCAAAAAAATAATTAAAAAAAAAAAAAAAAGTTGCTGAGTGTTAACATTGTAACATATAATTGAGACTACTGAAGGAACAGTTTTACATGCAGGGGGTATAAAGAAAGTGAAATGTGTTTTTAGTAAAAGATCATAAGAAGTCATGGGAATGTGGATATTTTTGCCTAGATTAAAGGGTTAAAGAATTGTTTTAGGTTAGATAAGGATAAAGCTGAAGGTTTAAGCAAGTTGTGGAAGGTTTGTGAAAAGTTAATCTTGTAAAAGTAACTCTGTGTGTGAACTTACTGAGTAAAGTTAAAGGGGTTTTATTCAGTTTTTCCATAAGTTACATATTGGAATAAAAGCTCAACAGGGTTTTCTTAGAGCACTGATCTGCTCTTTAACAAAAATTTGTAAAGGGTTATAAAGGGTTTATGAGAATCTCACCTTATGATCAAACTGATTAAGATTAAATAGATTTGTCTATAAGGTTTTATTAAAGATTGGGGTTGACATTAATAGTATCCTAATTCAAGGGTGAAACTTGGCTTTTTCTCTTCAACAAGATTTTCATGTAACAATAACGAAATTGTTTCATATAAACAATTGTTTCATGTAAACAATTCGTAAAAACGAATTGTTTCATGTAAACAATAACGAAAGATTTTACTTTGCCTTTTGAATAAACTACTGAATAAAGAAGGGAAAAACAAGAGACAGATGGTTTGGAAAGCTAAGTCTTCCTTCTATCAATAAGTGAAGATTTTTGCCTTTTTAAAAGTTTCGAGTTAGTATTTTGACTAAATGAATGATTTATGGTGACCTAGAATTCTATTTCATAATATCAAGTGTTTCAAACCGTTAACATATTTTATAGGTGAAACCGCCATTGCTAAATTGTCACTGAGATAGTGAAAGAGATCTGACCTAACCGACTCCATCTTGCTTCTAATCTCCAAGCTGTCTTTGTTCATTCCTGGGTGTAGGCTGAACTATCTTTGGGAGAAACTTTGTTTATAGTTTATAATTTAAAACAAACATGGTAACAGTCCTTTCCCAAAAGAAACCCCTTTCTTGCCTGGGGACTAGACTGCCCTTATAGTCAAATTAGCAAATTAGCCACAGATTAGAAATTATGGCTTAGGAGTCATGCAGCTGAGGCTACAAGAGTCTGACCCTCCCTAAACTGCTCCTAAAATCAGTGCTTGAGGTATTTTGCAGCCCCTGCACTTGATGGATCAGCTGACACCATCCAGACTGACAAACTGGCTTATCTGGTCTTGTGGTCCCCACCCAGGAAATGACCCAGCACAAGAAGACAGCTTCAACTCCCTATGATTTCACCTCGGACCTGACCAATCAGCATTTGCAGTTCACTGGCTTCCCCCGACTCACCAAGCTGGTCTTAAAAATTCTGATCCCCGAATGCTCAGGAAGACTGACTTGAGTAATAATAAAACTCTGGTCTCCCACACAGCTGGCTCTGCATGAATTACGCTTTCTTGATTGCAATTCCCCTGTCTTGATAAATTGGCTTTGTCTAGGCAGTGGGCAAGGTGAACCCACTGGGTGGTTACACAGGCTTCCCAAAATCAAATTTCATCTTCAAAATCGTCTCTTCTGACCTCTAACTTTGACATGCTACAGAGGGCCCCTGAAGACTTTAAAAGAGGTCAACAGGATTATTTGACATGTTAAGTTACATGGGAAGCTCTGTAAAAGTAAAAAATAATGTTTAACATTCTTCATGTTATATTTTAGTGAATGATGTTAATATATGTTCCAAAATTGTATGGGATTGCTAAAATTCGAATATGTCTGGTATATGCTATCAATCATAATATGTTAAGTTATTTTAGACCACAGAAATAACCAAATTTCCTTGTCAAGTGTGGCTTTAATTATGACTATTTAAAGCCATTTCCACAGTTAATTGCTTAATGCTGATGCAGTTTCTGAAAACTTCACAAGCACACCAAATCCTAGAATATGGTGTCTTTTGGGAGGTTCATGAAAGGATGGAAAAGACCCTGAAAATCACTCTTGTATACAGGTTTCTGGTAACTTTAAAATCATATCATTTGGACTGGGTAATAATTCCTGGAACTTTAATGAAAAGACTGACTGGGTTACAAAACTGCTAACCCAAGTAAAATAAAAATTAATTGAATACCAAGAAAATACTTTGCAAGATTTTCACGCTAAATCAGCCAATACTGAAATTGTTTAGATATACAAATTGAATGAACTCCATGGTCTAAGTCAAATTACCTATGTTAACCCATCAGTTATCAGCATTATGTATCTAAATTGGAGAAGTAACTGGTATTCGAGAAGACATAAGTCCAATGTTAAGCATGGACTCATGGAGAACCAGGACAGTCACCTTGTCCTTTCTGACTCTTTAAAGATTTTATTAAAAGCTCTGCATTCCATGACTCATCACAGAAAAGATAAAATGACCCAAATTAAATATACATTGGCATGAATTCTAAATTGCTAAAATAGTTTATGACCAATGTTTGGTTTTTCAAACCTATACTCCTGGGAAGACAATCAAAGCTTCAGGTACATTTGGCTACCCAATGGGTCATTTAAACATTTATGGAGGGATTTCATTTAATTGTCATTTTCAGTGAATATTTTCTGGTTGTATGAAAGCTTTACCATGCAAGAGGACTGATGTTATAACAATAATTATGTCACAGGCAAAAAAACTTTTTATGGTTCACTGAGGACAATCAACTCCTTCACAATCTAGAACCCGAAGATTGGATCCTCTGAGACATCAGAGAAAGATTGCTTTAGCCATCCTCACTGCAGTAAAACTTCAGGACCTCGAGCCTTGGGTTCATAATCTCACAACTGAGAAGGGTCCCTCCACACTGTTGAACTGTACACCCATTGGAACCCTTAAGGTAAAGCTAACCAGGGAAGTTTCTCCCTAAGAAGAAGATGGCATCCTTGATGCAAAAAGCTTTTCCCAACATCACAGATCAAGACTTCTATTATCATGAGACTCTTATCTTTGAATACTTTTCCCCTTGCTTATGCCTGTATGAACAATACAAGTGGAAAAGGGGTCTGTTGTGTGCACTCATGGGGTATACTTTTAGTTATGAAGGATTTTGCAGCCAGCCTTATACATGGATAACCTTATATCTTGACAGATGAAAGATGAAGGCCCGATGTAGGTGAGAAACAGAAACTTTAATGGTACACACTTTGCCTCGTAATCAGTCAGAAACAGAGCATTGGTTCACTCCTCTTAACCCACATCATGGGTTAAAGAGAACATTACCAGGAGAGCTTCACTCTTCTAGAAGGGCATCATTTGTTAGGTCCTTTTTTCCATGGTTTCGAGTAAAAAAGGCAATGATGAGAAATGTTTCCCTCATGATAGGCTCTATAGCAGATTCTACTGTAAAAGCCATGGTTACACAGCAGACTTTAAATTATCTTGTGAAAATTATGCTAAATAATAGAACTGGCTAAACAGAAAACTATCTGTGTCACTGTTGACACTTGTGGCCTATAGAGAAATATATCAAAAGTAGATTACAGAGATTCAGTTGTAAAGGATTAGCAAAGAGACCACTTAATTAAGCAAGTCGACTCTTTAGCTCATTCTTTGATCTATTTAATTTTAGGTGATTTGGTTTATGGGGGTCTTGGGTAGGGAGGATACTCCAAACTCTTGCTATTATCCCCCTGATAGTTATAATAGTAGTCTCCCTGGTATGCTGTATTCTCTCAAAAGTTTTAAATGTTTGCATGCAGCCATCTCTAAAATGTCAAATGGTCTTTCTTCAACTGGAATGACAAGAACTGAAAGAAATGTGTGACCATGACGACATCGTAACCTATGAATGACCACATTGAGACCAGAAACCCAAACTGATGGTACTGAAAGTGGCACTAAAGCCCTTAGTTTTGGTCACACTTTCACCTAAGTGAGAACCTGACCCAAAAGGAGGAATTTTTAAACAAAATTATGAGAGGCCATTGTTTTGGACTGAGCTCATGCACTAGGCCCCAAAAGGACCAGACCAAACCAAAATGGAGTCACTCACGTTAAATGTGATGTAATCAAACTAAGACTTTAAGGAAACACACAGATCCTAGAACAGATCAGGTTTTGTTTTTCTCCTGTAAACAGGACGTTCCAGCATAAGGAGGTACCTTCTACTCAGTCCTTGCTCCTACCTTGCAAAACCCACTGTTCTACCATTTCCCAGTGGGTTTAAAGACCAAATAAGTATATTTACAATGGTTACAGTGACATCAATGACTAAAGTTTTGATCTCTCTAATTTGGGGTGAAATTGTTAAATCAAGTTTAGCCTAAAGCTGCCTCCTTACATATTTTAAGTTCAGCCTAAAGGTTTCTCTGCACATGGTGAACTACAACAAGTGGAAGTGTAAACAGACCGCAGCCTACACTTGTGCCAATCACTGAGTTTTGGCCAATCAAATGTAGCCAACTGTTCAAACTGTTCAAATAAGGCAAACACCAAGCTGTACCCAATCCAGCTCTTTCTGTACCTCACTTCCATTTTCTGTGTGTCACTTTCCTTTTTCTGTCCATCAGTCTTCTTCCACCCCATGGCTGTGCTGGAGTCTCAGAGTCTACTCTGGCTCAGGAGGCTGCCTGATTCATGAATCATTCATTGCTTAAACCCCTTTACATTTAATTCAGCTGAAGTTTTTTTTAATCAGTGGTATGATGAGAATAATCCTCTTGGGATGGGGATGGAGGCACCATGGCACAGAAGTCAATTCCGGGAGGATTTCTTTTTTGAACTATTCATTTATTTAGGAGTGCTTCTATAATGAAGTTACATTCAAGCTGAGTCTTGCTGACAGGTACACATTTCTTAGGTAGAGAAAAATGGACAAATAACATGCATAAAATAGGGGAAAGAAAGGATTTTAGGAAGAAACAAATCAGACAAAAGAAAAATGTTTTCAAGCAGTTGGGTGTGTTAGGAGAAGCTTCAAGGATCTGAAGCAGAGAAGTGAGGCTGTGGGTTGGGGCATGAGTCAGATGCTAATAACCTTCCCGAATTGCTAAGGAATTTGAACGTGATCTGATATGATTAATGCCATTAAAGGGTTTTAAACTGTGGACTTGCCTAATCGTATTAGACAGAGGACAAACCTGGGGCATGAGAGACCAGCGAGGAAGCCTATCCAACAGTTCTGGAGGGACCCAGTGAAGACCCACACTCACTGATAATAGGACCTAAGGGAGAACATTGACAGGAATGTTTAACTCTTTCCTTTCAGCCGGAGGTGAAGTCTCACAAAGTTAATGAGGCTTAAGCTTCCGGGAACCTCAGTTGTTCCGGCCTTTTCTAAGCCCTGGGAGTAGCTCCCGGAATATCTTCTTAGAGTCATATGTTTTTGTAAAAATATGCAAAATAAAATGTTTTAATTGCCATCAGTTAAATGTCTCTTTCCCCTGAAATATTCTTTCACTTTAAAAATCAAAGTATCTGTAATTTTGGAAGCAAGTACAATTTTTTGTTGTTATTGCTGTTCTTATTGATGTTGGAGAACCTCAGATTTTAATTAAACAGTGAGCTTTCCATTTAGTCTCCCCTGTTAATATAATAGGTAGATCTGACACTCACAGTTAGGGGTAGAGGAATTAAGTTGAACGATATGAAATTTCCATTGTAGTAAGTCAAAACCAGTGGATTCTTGACAATTTCATGAGGTTAAGCTAATATAATTAAACAGTTACTTTTTAAAATAGAAGTTTTGCTTGGCTTAGAGAACCACCAAAGACACTCTCTGGAAGCAATGTCAATTTTTGTTTTGTTTTGTGTGTTTGTTAGAGCAAGAATAAGGGTAGTCATCATCTTCCTTCCCCACTGGACACATTTATTTAACATGAGTTGAGAAAGTTGGACTTGCCAAAAATTATTTCTACAACCTTAACTATCATTAAAAAGGAAATAAACCTATCAAAAAAAATTGTTGCACTCCAGCCTGTGCAAGACTGTGAGACTCCCTTTCTTTAAGAAAAAAAAAAAAAGTAGTTGCATTTCACCTGTGTACTACGCTCCATGCTTTTCCACGGACAGGGCAGAAAACCAGTGCAGACATGACTCTTACCCAAGGAACTTGCATTCAATTTAAGGTTTTTGAAAACATACATTTAAGAAACTTAAAAACTGGCAAATGAAAAATCTTACAACTACTGGACCTTCTTTTGTCTTTCTGTGTATTTACATGTGTTGCACATGTGATGTTTACATATGAAAGAGCTCTGATTAATTGGCTTAAAGATGATAAAAACCACAAGGCCTTAAACAGTTATCAAATAACCAATAAAGACAAGAAGCACTGCCAGATTCCAGCAAAAGAAAGAGAGCTGAAGAGGAAAGCACACATGTACACACAGAGAACACACGATATCTTTCCCAGCAGCTTGGCCAAATTGGCTGTGTGCACTTAAGCAAGTCCCTTCAGCTTTCTGGGGATGATACTGTTACAGAGGTCTGGGCAGACAGAATGGGGTGAAATGCAGGTAATTTGCTCAGTCAGAACCAAACACCACTGGAGAAGTGATCATCCACAAGATCTGTCACTGGAGGAGCCATGGGTCCCTGCTAACCCCTGTTCAGTAGTTGAGTGGAGGTGGCCAGACTGAGGCTTTCCACAGAACATTTGTAGGGTGAGAGTGGACACTGGCAATTAACCCACAGTAAGTACTACCTTCATTTCAGGCATGATACTAAGAACTCACCCTCGCAAGGACTCAGTGCTCTCACAGAGACTCTTTTTATTATAGAGGGAAATTCAAATTCAAAGGTTCAGTAGTTTTTCCAAAAATTAGCTAGTCAGCTTTTATTTATTTATTTATTTTTATTTTTATTTTATTTTTATTTTCGAGACGGAGTCTTGCTCTGTCACCAGGCTGGAGTGCAGTGGCACGATCTCAGCTCACTGCAACCTCCTGCTCCCAGGTTCAAGCGATTCTCCTGCCCAGCACTAGTCAGCTTTTAGAAGTAGCATTTATGCCAGGGACATCTGACTTCAAAAGAGGGAGGAAACTTATACACATGAATATACACACAGACACACATACACAATCCATATTATTCTACTTTAACTCTCAGGTTGCTCAAGTTAATAAACCATTGATTACCAGTAATAATATAGCACCCAAATTACAACTAATAGACACTGGTTCAGAATGTTTGTTGTCATGGAACTTTCCATTCCTTGATGGAAAAAATGCTGTTTAGACTTTCATTCATTTCATCATATTCCAATATTATTTTTATCATGGGACCAATACAGGATGATCTGCTAAAAGGATTTCACTAAATCTCTCAGTTGGATGATTTGGGGCCAGTGATTTCTACCTCCTGGATATTTTTCAGGTTCTAGCCTTGACAATCCCCAGTTATCTTTCAGATCTAAACATTTCTGAAATCTAAATTCTAAATTATTAAAATACATCAAGTGTCCAATAAATTATAGAAATGTATGATTAATTCTTATTTTTAAAAATTATTTGGATTAATATTACCAAACTGAAGCGAAGGATCCTGATATACTTCTCTGTAAAATGAAGCAAACTATTCAAGCCTTCTTGTTGTACTTCAGTTTCTACCATACTTTACCCCCATGTCTCCCCACCCCACCCCCATCATTGCTAAGGCACGTAATCATCTACTAGAACATTTGTTTCATTTTTGTGGTGCTTGCCCTTTTTCCACGATCCTGTTGTGTCGCTTAGGGTAGTGATAACAAACAAGCCCCAAATTTAAATGATGAATGCAATAAAACTTTATTTCTAGCTTTAAAAACCCGATGTGTTCATTGGTGGTTGGAAGGGGCTTCCACGCAGTGACTCAGGGACCCGCTCTCTTTCCATCTGTGGCGCTGGCTCCTCCTGCAGCCTCAGAATCCTCTACATTCAGGTAGTGGACTAGCAGAGTGGGAAAGGATCGCCAGTTGTCTAAGCATCTGGGCCTGGAATCAACACTCACCCCTTATCCATCCATGGCACCACCGAGAGAGAAACAGCTGGGGAAGACCGCCTCTGCCTGGGCAGGCGATTCCCAGCAAAACTGCGCAGCACAGCAGGAGAAAGCCAGCCGCTCTATTCATTTGTCAGAAAGGTGAATGGCCTTGTCCTGGTGTAGGAGCAGCAGACCAGGATGTAGAGGCCTCAGGGTTCCCAAGTCCCCACTGCTTGCTACTGCCCAGAGTTGTCCCCTCACACTGACTCCTTTAAGACCTGGCCATCACAGGGCTCCTGGCCTTGGGCAACACTGAATTGAAATTTCTAGATTGAAGGTGCACCTTCCTATTTTGATAGGTAATTGTCAGGTTGCTCCTGCCCCAAACGGGCTGTACCTATTGTCATTGTCTGAGATTGTGGCCTCACTTCCTCCCTAATGCTGGATATTTTAGAACTGCTTTAAATTGTGTTGCTATGGTACCAGCAAGGTAGAGCTGGCTCCAGCCCCCATTTGCTGACCAATCAGAACCCCTCTCCTCTAAATCCTCTATTCACAGCCTCAGCCCCTTCTGTGGGTTTTTCTTGCATGCTTAGATTCAGTCGTGCCTTAAGGATAGTCACCTTTTCCTATCAAACATATTTCAAATATTTTCTCCCAGCCTAGGGCTGGCTGTTGCATTGTTTATAGTGATTTCATCCCATAAACGTTTGAAATACTTAAGAATTATTTAATTTCATCACATAGACCTTTGAAATTCTTACAGCTGAAATTAAGAATCTCTTAACCCCTCCATCCTTTTGTGCTTTTTGCTTAGGACGGTTCTGCCGGCTGCAGTGTGGTAGTGCTACTGTGCCTTAGGCTGTGTCTGACACAGGTATTTTCAAAGCAGTATTTCTTCGTGTTCCGTGTATGCACAGCAGTTCCAGAACCATACTGGTTTTGCAAAAAATTTTTAAATGGAATTGCTTGATCATAGGCACGTTTAGGAAATCCTGACAATCTCCCTCCCTGATCAAGCTTTACAAGTTTCTAGGAAATTCCTTTTCTCCACATGCTTGCCGGTACCTGACATTTCCACACTTTTGCTTGTTGGCCAAATGCTGGCTGTCAATCAGTGAGGCTGAGATCTTTCTCAAATGCCTTTTAGCCATAGGCTTCCTCTCCATGAAGGGCCTGGTCTCATTAAGTTCTCACTTTAATATAGCAGTGTTTGTCTTATTATCATTCATGTGTAGTTTCTGATCTATTTAATATCAGTCTCTTTTTTTTTTCTTTTATGGGTTTTACATGTTTATCTGCCATTCAGCAGTTTAGTTTTTTACTTTTTTTTTTTTTTTTGGCCATGGAAGTGTTGTTACCATAGTGCAATTAGTGGGTTCTTCCCGTATGATTTTAGGTGTTTTGTTTTTATTTTTGTTTTAATAATGTAAGGCCATCCCTAAACAAGATTTTTTTTTTAAGTTCAGGGATACATGTGCAGGACGCGCAGGTGTCTTACGTAGGTAAACTTGGGTCATGGGCGGTTGTTGTACGGATTATTTCATCTCCCAGGTACTAAGCCTAGTACCCATTTTTCCTGATCCTCTCCCTCCTCCACCCTCCACCCTCCCATAGATCCCAGTGTGTGTCGTTCCCCTCTATGTGTCCATGTGTTCTCATCATTTAGCTCCCACTTACAAGTGAGAACATGCGGTGTTTGGTTTTCTGTTCCCTGCGTTAGTTTGCTGAGGATAAAGAACTCCAGCTCCAACCACGTCCCTGCAAAGAGCATGCTCTCTGAACAAGATCTTAAAGCCCGCAGTTTCGGAAGGCCTTTCGCTCCAAAACATGTCCTATGGGTTATTCGGGGTTTCATCCATTCGGGCTTGGCTCACGAAATTAGAATTAATCTAAATGCAAAATTTCAGTTAAAATGGCCTGACTGGCAAAATGGGGTCTAATGGCAGGCTCCGCTCGGCGCCCGCTAGGGAACTCAGCCCCGGAGCCAGGCCCGCGCGGCTCGGTTCTTCAGCCCCTCTATTTTCAACCATTCAAACCGTGCTCTTCCCAAATCGCACGGAGGAGCTTTCTGGAAACTGAGGCCGGGCTGCAGTTTCCTAGGGACCAGGGCCTGAGGAGGTCTGGTGCCGCCTCCCGCGAGCCGGGGGGCGAGGGGCTGGGGGCCTCCAGGCACAGCGCTGCTGAAGAACTGGGTAGTGCCAGCAGCCACAGCGCCCAGCCCTGCCTCCGCCTTTCGAGAAGGAGCACACCTCTATCAACAAGCGGTCAGCACCGAAAGCCCGCGCAGGCGCAGGCGCAGACAGGGATTTGTTGTCGGAGGCGTGGCAGAAGGCGGAAAGCAAGGGCAGGCGGAAATGATTCAATTGGTTTAGAATTCAACGGTTACTTGTCATCTCCCACATGGTCTAGCGGTTAGGATTCCTGGTTTTCACCCAGGCGGCCCGGGTTCGACTCCCGGTGTGGGAATGACTGGACCTTTCTTTTGGAACACAGTGAAACTCGTAAATTTATAAGCCTTAGCAAGAAGCTTAAAAACACGACTGTGAAAAGCTACATAATCCTTAAGGATGTGTGGAGACCTGAAGACTCACCTCGTAGGTCACAACCCCGGCAAAACGGGCTGTGTAATCAGCATTGCTGTGTTTGCATACCAAATTTTCACAACAAATGATAATATTTAGGGGTCAAATCTTACAAAGGAATTCTTACGTTCTAGGCAATTCACTGTTCTCTATGCCCCCAGTGAGTGTTTCCGGCCGGCAGATAGCGAGATGGTGAACAGGATGGAGGGACAAGAAGGAGCATGGAAGATCCCATGCCACAGGAGCCTCCCTCTGAAGTTTTTTGAGGACTGAGAAGGGAGGGGAGGCGCTTCCTGAAGCAGGAGTCACTAGGGCTGGGATATAAAGAAGTGAGAGGTCTGCAAGTAGAAATATAGCTTCAGTAGAGGTTTGCACAGGGACGTAGAGGGCAAGGACAGAAACCAGATCCCATTCACCAAGTCAGCTTTCACAGAAGTTGGGGAAACTGAGGCACGGGATCAGCCTCTGGATAGAATCACACATGTGGCTAAGTTGAGGTCAATACTCTTAGCAAATGCACATTTTCAGAGGTAGAAAGTTCTTGAAACTTTCTTAGCTTCTAAGCCATTTCCCAAATGGGATTAAAATATTTCTTTCCGTGCTTAGGCCTGGATACTCTTAACCATAATGTAAGCCTGTGTGAGTAGTGGAGAGCCAACCGCTTCCAGAACAGGCAGGGGCATCCTTTGAAAGTTCTATTGTTTGAAACAATCATTGTGCCACTCACTTGGATTGACCAACTTGTGACTACTCCCAATGCTGATGCTTCAGCCTAATTCGGACAATCAAAATCAAAATCAAAATCAAAATCCGTCAAGAAAGCATGAACATGAACCAGTGAGAGCCTGGACCATTGATAAACCAACAGCATGGGTTGCAGACAGGGATACGATTTTATGTGGGGGGAAATTGTATTATTCATGCAGAGATAGTCACTTCCATTCCTTGACCGAATTTTAATTCTATGCTCTCAGTTTGTGTTGGAGGCAATATAAGATTTGGTCCAAAAGATCATTTGAATCCTTGCAATTATTGCATTAGACATTTCTATTATGTGACATATGACAATTCTTTTATGATTGAGTTCTGAAAAACTTCTCCTGTAAATATCTCTCATACTGGTTGCCATCTGAGACATACTTACAGGGGATGCTTTACAGAAACCCCATCTCTACTAAAATACACATACACACACACACAAAAACTCAATCTTAAAAGATTGTGTAGTGGGAGTGGGAGGCAACTCTCCATTCCCACTTCCATTACACAACTCCAGGGTACCATTGGCTTTGGCCAGAACTAACTTGTCAGCCTCATCCAGGGTTGGCTTCAGGGACAGCTATAGATGGGACTTTGTGCCCCACCTTTTGAAAAAGTAGATGAAAATGTTTCACTTGTTTCATAAATCCAGCAAGCTACTCTGAGCGTTGTATTGTACAGAAATGAAACTCAAGTGGAAGGCTGGGAATGGATGCCAAGTAGCCAAAAGGGTTGACTGCTCTGGTCATTTTCTTATTTGTTTGTGTCCTCTTTAGAATCTTTTATAGTATTCTCCTTTTTGAGGGGCCTGGATCTCTGCAAACCCCATTCCCCAGACTCCCTTTCCAGTAGACATCGGGTTAGCACCTGCCCCAGGGAGGTTCTGTTGGAAGATTGGAATATATCAAGAAAGCAGAGCTTCTGATGGTGTCCTTGGCAGCAGACATTCCCTGATGGCTGCCAGCAACTATGCAATCCAGTGGCACTGAACATTCTGACAGGGATTGTCATCAGCTAAGAGCCACTAGCAGTGGCAGTAGTGGGCAGCCGTGGGCTCCACGAGCCAGGAAGCTTCAGCAGAGCATAAGTGGATTTGACAGTGGTGTGGTCCCAGTGGCAATGGTGTGCCCAGCAGAGGTCTTGCATGGCAAACTCCTACCTGCAGGTAATACCATCCTCCTTTGTTGTTCTTTCAACCCTAAGTGAATGGTGGCATCTGCAGTTACTAATAGCTGAATAATCTAATTGTTAGCCCCTTTTGCTCCTCTAGCTCCTCAAAAAAAATTAGCAACCAATTTCCTCTGTTAGATTTACCTGTTTGAAGTATCTGTTTTCCTGGCTTTAGACCAACCTATGCAAGTGTTATTTTTGTGTAAATTGTCATCTACCATTATGCGCTCAGCCTTACTGACTTTTGGGGGAGGGGGAGGGTGTGCACAACTTATTCTATGTGTCAGAGAAGTTTCTCAGGGAAATGATATTTCAGCTGAGACCTGAAGGATGAGTTAGCAAGGTGAAGGGGGCTGTAAATGTGCATGAGTCAAGTTATTCTCAAGATCTGTTTGTCTTTTGCACAGGTCAAGTGGACAAGTGAATAATTGGGTAGATGATAGGAAAATCTCTGCATCTTTCAAGTCTTTGTTGGTGGCACAAATCTCTCTGATTCCCTCTGGGAAGCAGGATCACTTTGGCTTTACCATTTTGATAAGAAGGGGGAAGTTCTGGGAACACCATTTGTCTTTTCTCACCATAGTAGTCCTCACTCCAAGATTCCGGGAGCACTACAATAATGTCAGTTGCCAAGTATGTATATCTGAATTGTACATAATGGAATCAGGTTGGTCTGCAACCCACAGGAACCATGCTGAGATAGGTTGAGGCCAAAACATCATTTACTTACTAAGCTCCAAGGAACCACACAAAAGTATTGGAAGAGAAGGAGGAATAAATAACAATAAAAATTCTGAGCTTCCTACCTGCAGCAAGGGATTGAAGCAGTGCCACATCAAAATCAGTGTAAATTAATAGAACAAATGACCACAGGTCCTCTGGAGAATGGGGAAGGGGGATCTTTACAACATATTCCTGTTGCAGTGTAGAGGGGCCATTCTTCAAGTAGACCAAGTCTCCCCTTCCTCCAGTGGAACTTTGGACTGTGAGCTGACTCAGTTCTTGGTACTGGATGACACAAAACATCTCCATTCCAGTAAATCGAGTCATGTTTCTGGCCACCAGACTTAGAGTTTTAAAACTGCATAGACCACTCGAGCATACTGGCTCAGATCTATAATCCCAGCACTTTGGGAAGCTGAGGTGGGAGGATTCCTTGAAGCCAGGGGTTCAGGGCTGTAGTGAGCTATAATCGGGCCACTGCACTCCAGCCTGGGTGACAGAGCAAGATCCTGTCTCTTAAAAAATTAGAAATCAATCAAATAAAATTGCATATATCAAACAATCATTCGGTAGACCACCCATTTATTTCATTCTTAGGACATCACTGCCAAAGATCCCTGCTGCCCCATCAATACTTCCGTAACTGAGCCCATTTTTTCCTGGTGGTTTTGCTGTATCTAATACTTAGACCCTGCCACTCTGAGATTCCGTGATTCCCATTGAACCAGGAAGCACTGTGGATTTTCTCACCAACCTGGCTCATGGAAGATTGCTACAAAAGAGTTTTCAAGCATCTGGTGCTCTCCTCACCAATGCATTTCTCAACACTTTAATGAAGAAAGTCTGGTCCCATCTGGGAAATGCAGTGAATGGGCAGGTTTGTGGGTCACACTTGATAAATCTCACTCCAATGTAACTGTGTGCCTAAGCCTTTAAAAGTGTTAGTCCACCTCGCACCATGGGTGTACAACATTACAAACCCCAATGAAAGTGGTCACTGTTAAGTCCACGTTTCAGTCAACTAACGACGGAAGCTGGGAGGTAGAACTACTCCCTGACTCTCAAACTAACATGTGGAATCTACTTTGATAAATTTGGCCTAATTCAATGTTATCTTCTTTCTCCTTGGTCTAGCAATCTTAGGACCCATTTCCTTACATCTTCTTTAACTTCCTTCTAATATAAATTGGCACGTTGTTACAACTCTTTCAATGCTATCTCATGCTTGGTTACACTTTATACTTGACCTCCTAATTTCAGGTCTGGAAATATTGACAGATGGTGAGGATAGATCTGGTAGAGAACTGGCATTCTTTTCAACTGCTATGGGGAGGCACTTATTGAGTCCCTTGGTGTGCCAAGTGTGGTCTGTGAATCAGCAGCCATGGTGTCGCCTAGGAGCTTGCTAGAAGTGCAGAATCTCAGGCCACTCTCAAGGCCTAGTGAGCCAAAATGTTGATTTTGACAAGATCCTCAGGTGATTCTTATGCACACCAAGGTCTGAAGAGCACTGATCAAGGCTTCAAGCAAGAGAAGACAATCTTTCTCAGACAGAGGAAGGGGAGGCCGCTTCTACTGGCAAAAAGCTCAAGGAAATTTGGGGCTTCATGATTCTCAGATTCATCTGAGCCAACCGAAATATCCCCATTCCATTTCTTGGAGGCCCCATTCTTTCGAAATTAGAGCCCTGACTTTCACTTCAGCGATATGGACAGGCTATGAATCTAACTTATATTGAATTCTGTGACTTGCAGAATCAGATTATGGGCCTGATTTTCAACTACATCTCTTATTTCTTGTGGCTAACAAAGGACAATGGATTGTCTGAGGATCATCTGAGAGCCATCACAAGATCTCTTATTCTCTGATCATATATTGAACTGAGAATTTAAGAATTTTTGTAAACCCTCGAGTGCAGTCAGAAATAGCCAGCCCCCCATCACAATGGTTTATTGTAGCAGTCTCTTGGTTCCAGTACCTTAACTTTCAGAGACCCTTTATCCTACGTAATGCCAAATTATAATTTAAATAAATATTTGGCCAGATGCAGTGGCTCACACCTATCATCCCAGCACTTTGGGAGGCTGAAGTGGGGGGATCACCTGAGGTCAACAGTTCGAGACCAGCCTGGCCAACACGGTGAAACCCCATCTCTACTAAAAATACAAAAATTAGCCAGGCATGGTGGTGGGCGCCTGTAATTCCAGCTACTCGGTAGGCTGAGGCAGGAGAATCACTTGAATCTGGGAGGTGGAGGTTGCAGTGAGCCAAGATCACGCCAGGGCACTCCAGCCTGGGCAACAGAGTGAGACTCCATCTCAAAAATTAATTAATTAATTAATTAATATTTTGCCACTACATATGTGAAATACCAGTATCTCATTTTCCCCAGGTAATGAGGTCATTACTGTATTTATGCCCAAGGAAAGATAAACAATCTTAACTTTTTCATCATTTGGGGTCTGTTCCCTGAGTACAGTGTTGCTTGCAAAAGCTGTATCCATGGATGTCTCACTAGAAAAGCAGAATTCACTTTATTTATTTATCTTTTTGAGGGGACAGAGTGTCGCTCTGTCACCCAGGCTAGAGTGCAGTGGTGCGATCTTGGCTCACTGCAAACTCCGCCTCCTGGGTTCAAGCGATTCTCCTGTATCAGCCTCCCGAGTAGCTGGGACTACAGGCACTTGCCACCACACCTGGCTAATTTTTGTATTTTCAGTAGAGACAGTGTTTCACCACGTTGGCCAGACTGGTCTCGAACTCCTGGACTCAAGTGATTTACCTGCCTCAGCCTCCCAAAGTGCTGGGATTACAGGTGTGAGCCACTGTGCCAGGCCAGAATACACTTTAGGTATTTCTAGTAGAGGAAGTGACCAAAGAGCAAAGAGGGAGGAAGTGGCACTAGCAGCACTGGGGAGCATCTCACCACTGACATTGTTAGAGTCTGCAGATAATACTACTGGAACTACCCAGGCTGCTGATGTTGCAGTCAATCAGCTGCTTGTGATGGCCACCGTGAGAGCAGGCCACTCACTACACACCATCTCAGCTTCTGGAAATGCTGAATCTCATAGGCAGCTCTGGCAAATTCTGCTGGAAATGCCAAAGTTACCAGAACCTGGAGTCAATCACTACTCTAGAAAAGAGAAGGAAAAAAATTGTCTCTTCCTCCTACCTTCCAACCTCCCATCAATGATCCCAAAGGCGAAATTGACAGTGCCTGCAATTGACGTAACCTAATCAGGAGCCAGCTGGTCAGGTGAACTGGAAATATTTGTAAGATTACAGCTCCCTGAAATACAGAGCAGAGGAAGCAAGCCTAACATGTATCATACTTTCTGTTACTACTTGTTTGTCTGCTGGTCTTCTCTGAAACTGTAAGTTTTTGGTTTTGAGCTTATGTAATGAACTAGTCCCAAAATATACTGCTTACAACAAAACAAAACAAAACAAAAAACGTTGTTCTGCTTATGATTAAGGAAGGGCTCAGCTGTGTGGTTTGCTGCTCTTCCCCGCAACATTTACCACGGTCACTCCCTTGGCTGGATTCAGCTGGTAGTTGGATGGAGCTGATGCTAGTACCTCACCATGTGGCATCTTGTTCTCCAGCACTTCTCCACATGCCGTGGGAGTGTGTCTCTGGGTAGTTGCACTCCTTACATGGTAGCTGGCTTCCAAAAGGAAGAAAGCAGGAATTTTCACTTTTCTTAAAAAGGTAGGCTCAGAACTGGCCTAGTGTGACTTATGCTATATTCATTCTATTGGTCAACATACTCCCAGACCAGCCCAGTTTCTGGTTGGAGAAACAGACTTTATCTCTCAACAGACGAGGGACATGTGCTTGCACAGAGAGGAAGAATAATGTTGGTCATCCTCAAGACAAGCTACCACATCTACGCAGGTGTTTGTCTTGTTTACAAATCTCTTCCAAGCCTAACTCTCTACATAGCTCATTTTGAGTGTACAGTGAATATTTCTTGAAAGGACAAATAAATGAAGGTCTGGAATTATTTCTTCTGTGGAAGGAATAGCCTTCCTTCTAGCAGGCAGTGACATCCACAGAACTTATCCAATTTTCCTTTTTGCTTTGGCTACTAGGAAGTTGAGTACTAAAAATTTAGTGCCCAAGCACAATAACAATGTTACTCATAGCTTCTCAGTATTGTCTCTTCTTGTCCTCTCTCTGGGCTCTGATCTTCCTGCCGTGCTTTGCCTGTGAGTGCCCTGTGCAGGTATGAACAAAGGCTTTATTTGCTGCCTCAGTAAAGGAAGCTTTATTTTTGTTGATAAAGCAAAATGCTCATAGATAACAAAAAAGCAATTGACCTTTTATTGAAGCTTTCTTTATTAAAAGATATGAGTTCCTCTTAAGGTTCCCTGAGGGAGGAGCAATGCAACTGACATTGTCTTGTGGCAAATAATCTAAAATGGGAAAGAATTGGATGTGACTCATTTTTCTAATATTTGCATAAGGTGCAAAAACCCTAGGTACTCATCAGCTGATTCATCTTCATGGTTTGCATATCATACTTTTCCTTATAGACCGATACTTATTTTGCTGTTTGTTTTTTGTTTTTTTGTTTGTTTGTTTGTTTGTTTGAGATGGAGTCTCGCTCTGTTGCCCAGGCTGGAGTGCAGTGGTGTGATATCGGCTCACTGCAAGCTCTGCCTCCTGGCTTCCTGCCATTCTTCTGCCTCAGCCTCCCAAGTAGCTGGGACTACAGGTGCCTGCCACCACACCTGGCTAATTTTTTGTATTTTTAGTAGAGATGGGGTTTCACCGTGTTAGCCAGGATGGTCTCGATCTCCTGACCTCATGATTCCCCTGCCTCAGCCTCCCAAAGTGCTGGGATTACAGGTGTGAACCACCGTGCCTGGCCTGTTTGTTTTTTTAATAAAAATAAATGATTCATGGCAATGTATTAGCAATTCCTGTGAATTATTTAGAAAGGGGGTTAATATAATATTCACATTAAGATGTAAATAAGTATACAGGAAATATACTACCCAAGAGAGGATGCAAAAGCATAAACGTATCCTGAGGGCTAAATTCCAAAATTCATGGCCTCATCGCCGCACTGTTTTTGACTTTGACTACCCAGGAGCAAAACCCTGAAAGCACACATCCTCTTCCAGAAGGTCCAGATAGATGGTGAGAATCTCAGTGAACATGTTCTGTTCTCTCAGTTTAATATACCCAGAGATGATTATCAATTACAATGGAGCTAAATGTTCACAGTAATGCTTATTGTAGGTAAGACCAAGAGCTCATCCAAGAAGCATGGAATGACTGTATTCTAATTGTTCAGCACTATCAGTATGTGAACAGCCCAAAGAAATGACCCAATTCTTACTCTCCAGGATGTTTTTGCAAAGTGTAGTTATTAGAGGAAAGAAAAGTTAAAATATTAATAATGCATACATTCATTTTGTATTTCACCCACACCCACGTAGGAAAACCTAAAAGAATCAGTTGTCTTCATTTTTACTCATATTTAGTATGTTATCAATCATGGTGTTCCCCTGAGTGGATCTTCTAAAGGGCTCCCTGCAATTTCCTCCTCCTCTTTCTCACTATCATGGCCTCAGTTCTGCTTCCAAAACATCCCACCTACACAGTCGTCAGCCTTCTGGATGTCTTCAACATTCAGGGAGAATTTGGGTTGGAAGGGGGTCATGTGGCAGCCCCTGACGCATCCTCTCTGATTTTCCACTGCTGTGTCTACGAAGACTCCTTAAACAGAAACATCATGGCCAGAAACTATGACTCTTTCCAGCATGCGCTTTTATCTCTGATGACTACACTCCAAGCATCCTCCAAGCATGATCAACAGGCTGGGTGATGCCACCAGAGATGGAGTCTGTACCCCTCCAGCAGGTATTGAGATGACAGTCACAGGGTGATTGGCTCTCCTCTGCCCCCTGTCTTCTCTCCTCTCCACCTCTCTGTGCCTCCTTCCCTCAGCCACCACTTCCATTTAAATTAAAGACACATGACCTACAATGGAGCAGCCGTCTCTCAACAGCAGGGCAGGACTGCACGAGAGGGAGACATCACCCTCTGGAGGGGGCATGATCAAAGTGACTGGTGGTATTTTCAGGTACACTTGCCTGGATCTTCCAATGTTTTCATAATCTATCAGCATTTAATATTATTCTGTTTTAGCACTTGCCCTCATTTTATCTATTGCTATCTTGAACAAGTCTGAATTTGTCTGATTTTGTTGTAAACATTGTACAGATTATGTTATCAACTATTTTTAAATGTTCTTAGGGAGAGAACAAAATGTAAAACAAAAAATGTTAATGAAAATCTCTGAACAGCAGTTACGGATGACTTTCCAGTTCTTCTCTATACTTGTCTGTATTTCTGAATGCTGTTCAATGAACAAGTATCATTTTCTAGACTCAGAAAAGGCTATGCTAACAAATTAGTGTATAGCTCTTCATCTTATGAGGTGTCAGGGCAAGAGTGGGGTGGGAATGTGAGAATGGTATCCACGTAGAGGGTGGGCCATCATGGGGTTTGGTGAAGGGAGTTTCCTCTTGGAGGAGTGGCCAAGCCTGGAGCATAGAGATCAAGCAGCATTAGGAAGGCAGTTATGCCTGGGAGGGAGAAAATGGTGGCAGAGATGGAAGACTGATCAATAGTGGAGGATTGAACAAATCAGTACATATATAAGGATAATGGGAAATAGGTTTCTTACTCTTAGAGAAGAGAGTTACAAATATGAGAAAGGGAAAAACTATAAAGAACACTGTGGATTTGGATTGGTATTGGAAGTATTGGTGTGAACTCCTGGTTTTTAATATGGATAAATAAAAAGATGATGGATAGATGATAGAGAGATAGTCTAATGATAGAGAGATAAATAATAGATGATAGATAATAGATGATATAGACTGATAGATGATAGACAGAGAAATTAATAAAGATGTACATGTGTATGTACATACATTTGTTCCCTAGCTCTGTCCCCTGAGAGAGCTTGAGAACATTAGCACCCTAGTACCAGTGAGCACAGCTAGTGCCCATGTGTAGTGAAAAATTTAGCCCTGCCCAAAGAAAAGTTCTGATCTTTGTCCCCCAGCTTCTGAGAGGCAATCTCTGGATCCCTGGAATATGATGCCTGATAAGATTGTGTCTGTTTTCCTGGGGTCCTTGGATCATACTGGATAGCCTAGCAATGTGATTTAGGGCAGGCACTGACCACATCCATAATACTCAACGTAGGGCTGGCCATCCTAGAAAGAACAACAATGTGGCTTAGGGTGAGAGCTTTTGGTCAAACAATATTAATCTATTTGGAGACTGAAATTAGCCATATGGGCAATGAATAATCGATCATGCCTACTTCAAGCTCCCATAGAAACTGTGGACACTGAGGCTCAGGTGAGCTTCCCTTGTGGGCACTACTCCTGAGTATTGTCTACACAGATACCAGTTCAGCAACATATCCTGATTGCATGAAAAGAGGAAAGTAGGAGCCCTGTAAGAATAGCTATGCTGCTGTGAAAAAAACTGTATTAGAGTGTGTTAACACTATTCCTGGTGTGAGACAATTCATGTTTCTTCCTCTGTTTCTACTACTTATATTTTCTAAATGTTCATAGTAAGCATGTGTTAATTTCAGAGTCTGAAATACACGCATGGAAGAACTAGAGGTTTCCCATTAGCTGCAGAGTCAAGCCCTCCTGGGAGGCACATGGCCCCATGAACTACATGCTTACAGCTCCCCAGCCCCTGCTTGTCCTGCTTCTCTGCACACACCTGCTTTATAGCCATGCTTCATGTCTCAGATTCAACGATATCCTGTTCTGGTTTGTGACTCTTTGCTCTAAAACAATCTCCTCTCTTTTCTGCCTAGTTAACACTTGCTTCTTAAGCTCCCATTCACATTTCATTTTCTCCTGGAAAATTGTCCCAAAGCCCCCAATTCTGAGAGTTCTCTATCCTCCCATATTCTACCGTACATATACCTCTGTTATAGCGTGTTTCCCCTGACGTCTTGTGGTACTGATTGCTCATGCTGACCTCTAGATGTCAAAACTTTGGAAGCGGTTACTAGATCTTACTGTCTTTGTGTTACCCACACCTACCCAGTCATCGACACAAGGCCAGTCCCTAAAGTGTTGATGAGTGATGGATGAATTAACTGACATAATTATAATTCAGTGAAACTCAGCTAAAATCACCTAGATAGGCAGATTTTGCTTCGTTTATTCATTCCTTCATTTACAAAAATGTAGTGAGCCCCTTTTATGTGCCATGAAATGAGTTAAGAGAAAAGATATTTTCTTTGCCTCCAGGAGCTCACAGTCTAAAAGGCGAGATGAGCTATTAACCATTAACATAGGACATGGCGAGTGTGTACAAAGACAGAAGCGTGGGGCGATGGTATCACATAGGAGCACACCTAACCCATCCCGGAGGTGGGGGATTGAAGCACCCAAAGCCAGCGCATGGAAGCCCATAGAAGCCAGGCCTGGAGTGGATGGTGTGAATGCAGGGCCTTGGGAGGCCTGGGTCTTCACCTCAGCTTCCTGTGCGGTGGACATGTCATCTCCTTATATTGTCCGAATTTCCACAACTATAGAAAGAGTCTGTGTCTCTTCTTTTCCATGCATATCAAAAGTAATTGTCTGCTGTCTCCTCTAGACATTGCCAGCGCGTTTTCATATCTGTACATACCTGGGTAGGGGGGCTACTGGGCCTCCTGACATGAGGTGTTAAGAACCAGAGAATCTCCTGCTGAAATAAATAGGTTACCAAAGGAAAAAAAAAAAAAATATATATATATATATATAATATATATATTCATCCTACATAGCAGACATTAAAACACTTAACAAAACCCACCAGCAATAAAAACGATGTATTAAGATTTTTTAAGCCAGTGGTATTTTTGATGTTACATGACAGCCTTCCTTTGTGGTGACTGCTGTATTTTTTAGCCTTGCTTTGATCACGGCTGCTGGAGACAGCTGTTTCTATGCTCCCCGAAAGCATGTGGCACCGACATTCGTCATGTGGTTCTGGATAGCCGCCATCCGTCATCTCCTCTCCCAGTGAGTTTCACTCTCCCATCACTCTCTGCATTCTCTGATCAGTTATCCCAGTGTGGGAAAAACAAATCTGCAAGCCAGCCTCCTGATTTACCACATTAATCTATTATTCAATAATAACGTTCCTTACAGAGCTGCATTAATTAAAAGCAAGCACCACAAGAAAACTGTCACTTCGAGTGTCATTTGTCACAACAACCTGATGTTCTTTTCTTTCTGTCATTTTTAGAACTTTGGTTGCCATGGTAACCCATAGCAGCTTTTATATATAGCATCACTTATACTCAGTTAGTTTATTTTATTTCATTTTTTTGGTACCATCAAGAAGACAAGCTGTTTTTTTCCTCCTTTTAACAGAGCTTATAATGTGGTGGAATAATCAGGCCTAATGACAGGTTAATCCACAAAGGAATATTACATGTTAAATGAAAAATTATTATTCTACATCTGTATATTAAAATTCACTGTTTAAAAAATACTCTCTAAGAAGAAGCAAGTCCAGGTTTAGTCTCCTAGGTACTGGCTCATTAGAAGTTCGTAGCCCTAGGATGCAATTAGTATCCTATAAAATAGCAGACAAGCAAAACAACTGCAGATTCAAGGGAAATCCAGGTATGCATAACAAGCAATACTCAGCTTCGAGCTGGCTTCTTTGCCTCTCTGGGGTTGTGGGGCTCGCTGACCCTGCCCAGGCTTCTTCTGGGGCGCTCAGTTCTTGCTACCCACCCACCAAGAGCCAACTCCAACGTGTGCTGAGAGCAAAGCCTTCCTGGAGCTGGTAGTCAGAAAAAGTGGTCTTCAGCAGGGTACAGATAGCCTTCTAGAAGAGTCCACACTACTTGCCAAGCAGGGAGAGACTGAGTGGGAAGCAGCACAGGCAGATACTGTGTCTGAATGTGGTATCCAAGCCAGTGCACCCTGTGTCCACAGGCCATTCTCAATTTTCCCCTAAGCCCCTTCACCTTCTAATCCTGCCAGTCTCATTATTTCTAAGCTCATCCGAGTCTATTTTCATTTTGTTTCACCTTCTAATTGTAAGCCCCTGGCCTGAGCTGATCCTTCTTTTTTCTCCCATTCAAATCCTACTATCCTGAAACAATCCAAGTCCTGTTTCCTTGGTGACTCCTAACACTTTAGCTCTTGGCAACCTTTTAATTTCTTTCTTAATCTTCATTTCCCTGAAGGACTGCAGCACTCAGCAATTAAATATATGCCCACATTTCATTTAATTTGACATATACTTATTGGGCATTTACTACATGCCAAGCCTTTTATGAGGCACTGTGGAAAAAAAAGATGAACAAATTGAGGTTCAGATTCAAAAGATTTTAGTATAGTGGGAAAAAAACAAAATGAGAACAAGATCATTCCAGTATAATTTAGTAAAAAAGATGTTCACAATGCAGACAAATGTATAAGCCGTATGTAAAAATATCTGGAGTTTCCTGGAGAAAATAATGCCTGAAATGAGTCTTCAAAGATGAGAAATATTTACGAAGCTAAGAAAGAGGACAAGGGCATTCCAGGCAAGGGAACTGCATGGGTAGGGATCCAGAGGCTGGGGATGTCAGAGGCTCCACAGACAATGCAGCAGGCATTGCAAGAAAATAAAAAGAAGGAAGGAGGAAGCTAGGGACAGGAACCACGTACTAAAGATTCTTGTTCATTTTGTACAAGAACTTGGGCCTTATTTGGAAAATAAGAAAGAGCCATTAAAAGGTTTTAGGCTTGGGAATGACATGTTTGGATTTGTGTTTAGGTTGGAATGTTGTATATTTCTGAGTCCATCAATGTTTCCTGGTATACTGTTATATTAAGCTTATTTCTTCTATTAGGTAGAATTTGAAAATATAATTCTTTTTTAACATTTTTTTATATCTAGCACAATTTAGAATATATAAAAGTAAGAACTCTAGAAATATATGAATCTTCCAAGAACCACTCTTCCTGATTTTCTGTGACTTACTCAGATAGCCACAAGAGTGGTTTACACAGAAGTCCTAGATACAAAAGCATGATGAATGGAAACAGCTCACTGTCAAAAACATCTAAGGTAGATTGATCGAAATGTTTGGGATGCAGCAAAAGCAGTGCTCAGAGGGAAATTTAGAGTTGCAAATGCTTTCATAAAGAAAGAGAAAAACCTCCAATCAATGACCTAAATTTATACTTTGAGGAAATAAAGAAGCATACTAAACTTAAAGCCAGCAGAAGAAAAAGAAAAATGAATATTACAGCAGAGAGAAAACTTAAATAGAAAATAGAAAAACAATTGATAAAATCAAGAAAATCAAAAGCTGGTTATTTGAAAAGATCATCAAAATTGGCCAACCTTTAGCTATGTTAAATTAAAAAAAAAAAGAGAAAAAAAGAAGACTGAAATTACTAAAATTAGGAGTGAGAAAGAGTACATGGAGTCTGGCCTTACAGAAATAAAAACGATTATAAGAGAGTAATGAACACTTTTACAACAAATTATATAACCTATCTGAAGTGGGAAAATTCCTAGGAATACAAAAACTACCAAAAACAACGCAAGAAGAGTTAGATAATCTGAAAGTACCTATAACAAGTAAAAAGATCAAATCAATAATAAAAAACCTCCCAGCAAAGAAAAACCCAGGACCAGGTGACTTCACAAGTGAATTCTACCTAACATTTAAAGAAGAATTAACATCAATAATTTTCAAAAACTTTCAAAAAATAAAGGAGGGAATACTTTCTAAGGCATTTGATGAGGCCGACATTAGCCCTCATACCATAGCCACACAAAAATATCACAAGAAAACTGTAAATCAAAACACCTTATGAATATAGATGCAAAAACCAACAAAATACTAGCAAACTGAATCCAACACTATATTAAACAGATTATGCTTCATGACCAAGTAGGATTTATTGTAGGAGTTCAAGAGTGGCTCATGTAAAAATTAACCCATTTATGCCTGAGGTTGCAATTATTTGAAATTTTGCAATCAGATTTTGGCAATGACTTTGAGCAGTAGGATATAAATAACTCCCACATGCTTAGCATTCCAATAGTGGAACACTAGGCATAAATTGCTAATATGTCATATTAACAGAACAAAGGCAAATAATCATATAATTATTTCAATAGATGCAAAAAAAAGCATTTCATAAAATTCAGTAGCCTTTTGTGATTAAAAAAACATTTAAAATCTAGGTGGAAGGGAACTTCCTCAACCTGATAAAGGACATTTATTTAAAAACCCACATTCATTACTTAAGCACGAAAGTCTGAAAACTTTCCCACTTAGGTCAGAGACAAGATAAGGATGTCCACTTTTGATACTCGTACAGTGTACAGGAAGTTCTAGCCAAAACAATTATGCAAGAAAAACAAGTAAAAGATATTCAAATCATTTTTCAGGAAGAAATGCAACAGTCCCTATTCATAGATGGCATAATCACATACAGAGGAAATTCCACAGAATCCACCAAAAACTGTTAGAACCAATAAACAAATTCAGCAATATTGTAGCATACAAGATGTATATTTTAGTAATGAACAATCTGAAAAAAATTAAACTAAATAAGTCACCAGGGATCAGTTCTGGAGAAACAGAGATATATGACCTTTCAGACAGGGAATTCAAAATAGTTGTTTTGAGGGAACTCAAAGAAATTCAAGATAACACGGAGAAGGAATTCAGAGTTCCATCAGATAAACTTAACAAAGAGATTGAAATAATTAAAAGGGATAGAACAGAAATTCTGGAGCTGAAAAATGCAATTGGCATACTGAAGAATGCAACAGTCCTTTAACAGCACAATTGATCATGCAAAGAAAGAATTAGTGAGCCTGACGACAAGCTATTTGAAAATACACAGTCAGAGGATCAAAAGAGAAAAGAATAAAAAATAATGAAGCATGCCTACAGGATCTAGAAAATAGCCTCAAAAGGGCAAATCTAAGAGTTATTGGCCTTAAAGAGGAGACAGAGATAAAGACGACTTTATTCAAAGGGATAATAACAGAGATCTTCCCAAACCTAGAGAAAGATATCAATATTCAAATACAAGGTTATAGAACACCAAGCAGATTTAACCCAAAGAAGACCACCTAAAGACATTTAATAATCAAACTCACAAAGGCCAAGGATAAAGAAAGGATCCTAAAAGCAGCAAAAGAAAAGAAACAAATAACATAAAATGGAGCTTCAATACGCCTGGCAGCAAACTTTTCAGTGGAAACCTTACAGGCAAGGGGAGAGTGGCATAACATATTTAAAGTGCTGAAGGAAAACATCTTTCACCCTAGAATAGTATATCCAGTGAAAATATCCTTAAAACATGAAGGGGAAACAAAAACTTTCCCAGACAAACAAAAGCTGAAGGATTATTATCAACACCAGACCTGTCCTACAAGAGATGCTCAGCCCGAGGCCCTGTTCTCCTTCACATGTGGACTCCAGGTTCAGTGTGGTTGGCTGCAGGGGGAGATGTTCCCCTGTGAGCTTGGCTGTGTTTTGGAGTCTAGAGAAGAGAAAGGCTGTGAGGAAACAAAAACAAAGCAGCTGAGCAAAGAGAAGCAGAGAGGAACTGGGACAAGAAACTATTGACTACAGATCACTCCTAAGGGGCAATTCTTGCCTGAAACTCAATGGATCCGCAGAACTTGGACTTCATCAGAGACCCTGTAACTCTAATTTTTTTCATATAAGCTACTTTAAGGGAATTCTGCATCTTGCAACATCTTGCAACCTATGTACACCTCTTTTTTCACTGCAGATGAAAAACCAGGGATCTGATATGATTTAACTATAATAATTAGTTTTTAAGTGATATTTGTTAAGCATTCATGAGAATGCATCAATTCTAAGAGGTTTAATCAGGGAGACTGATACCAAGAAACAATAATGTTGGTACTGTTATATTTTGTTTTTTACTGTCACCAGAAAAACAAAGTGTGCTTAAAAACAGGAGGAACAATTCTTTGTTTCTGTCCACAAGGCCCTAATAATCTAGCAAGAGGGCAGAAGATGGCCACAAGACATCTCATGGTCCAGTCATGGAAAAAAAGTGACAAAATCCTGACAAAATGAATAATTTCACCTTAAAAAAAAGACTATGTAAAGAAAACTTAAGATTATAAAATATTGGTTTTTGATTATCCAGTTCATTAACTATACCTTCACCTGCAGTTTATAGATAAACATTCATTGAAGTTTTTTGTTGTTGGTTTTTTGTTTGTTTTTTTGTTTTTGAGACAGGTCCTCACTCCATTGCCCAGACTGGAACACAGTGGCATAATCATGGCTCACTGCAGCCTCAACCTCTAGGCCCAAGCGATCCTCCCACCTCAGCCTCTCAGGTAGCTGGGACTACAGATGCACACCACCATGCCTGGCTAATTTTTGTGTTTTTTATAGAGAGGAGTTTTCGCCATGTTGTCCAGGCTGGTCTTGAACTCCTGGGCTCAAGCAATCCATTGGCCTTGACCTCCCAAAGTGCCAGGATTACAGGCTGGAGCCATCATACCCAGCCTCATTGAAGGTTTTATTTAACATTGTTATAATAATTTTCTGTGCATATATTTTTTATTTTCCATATTCATTAGCAAATGCTAACATGCAGTTACATAAAACAAGAGATTATGTTTCACAAAAATTCTTGACATTTGATTTACCCCTGTAATATTAAAAGAAATCCAGGACACAATTTTTTATTTTTGATTATAGTCCCTTCTATGTAGCAAAGCAGACTCTTTCAGTCATTCTATCTCCTAAAGCTCTGACAAATTTATAAAGTCAGAAGAAAGCTGTTTTGGTACAGGACTTACTTATAAATTATATATAGCAAACTTCAGTTCTGTTTTTAAGGTTAAGAAAATGAAAAACTAGCTGGGTGTGGTGGCGCACACCTGTAGCCCCAGCTACTCTGGAGGCTGAGGTGGGAGGATCACTTGAGCCCAGGAGTCAGAGGCTTCAGTGAGCTGTGATTGTACCACTGCACTGCAGCCTGGGCAACACAGCAACACTCTGTCTCTAAAAAGAAAAGAAAGAAAGAAAGTGAAAAACTAGAATTTATATTAATACGTCTGTCAATAAACTGGTACCATAGTCTAAATCAGAGAGTGAATGAATGAAATTAACTTGCACCTGACTGTTGTTCACATCCAAGTCCATTTGCTTATTGAAAACTCAGTGAAATATGATGATACAATTGAAGCTGAATTTGTAGAGAGGGTGTTTCTGAGCTGTGGAAATGATTCAATTTTGTATATGTCTAAGTCTGCTTCACGATGAAGGTACCGATTCATAATTGATAAATATTTCCTTCTTGAGTGTTACTTTCTAAGACAACACAATAAAATCTGTAATAGAAGTACAGGCTTTCTCACAACCTTCATCCAATTTCAGTGAGAATAAAGAGGCAGAGGTAAACATGGGAGGAGAGAAAGTCTCATAATTTATTTCTGTATGTGTGGGTGTTTATGAAAGTATGGATGGAAGAACTGGGCAATTGAATCTATCCTAGAAATGAGGGATCCCAGAAAATCATAGATTTGTAAGAGATTGAGTTTGGAAAATCCAAAAGTTTGCTTGAGGTTCTAGAATTCTAATTCTAGTTGTTCAAAGTGCCCAGTGTGGTGAGATACTTGTTTATTCTATCACATGTTCTTCTAGTAAATACATCTAGTGTCCAGAGACACAACACAAACGCCTACACTCTGAACAAATATAAATAAATAAATCTATGATCATGCAAACTAACCATCCAGGTGTAGCTCAAGACCTTGTGAGATGCAGGAATAAAAGAGAAGGAATTTCATTTACCCCGACATTGCATCTCTTATAATAATTAATATACTGTTTTTACCTACTAGTGCTGTTGAATTGTGTTGAATTGAATTGGTCACCATAGTTTAGTATCTTCAGTGGTTACAATATAAGATCACTGGGCATGGCATACGTAAAGTCAGTCTTGTTTAGTAATCCCAAGACTGTCAGCCTATCTTATTTCATTCTTGTAACTGGAATTCGAGATGTACAGTAGCACATTTCTCTTCCAGACACAGGGATCCACATGCATAATGTCTGGATCATCATATAAAGTCATCATATAGAGCTCACTCTTTCCAAAGGTCATTCAGGAACATATTGATTACATAGCTTCTTGTGGGGCAGGATGAATGCATATAATAAGATGGGGGGTGGTGGATAAAGCCCCTTTAGTTCTGTTTCTACCACATCCGCAAGATGCATGCTTTGTCAGTGCCTGTCTTTCCCTCCATAAGAGACGGTGTTGGTAAAACCTACCACTTGGAACCTGAAATGGATAGGAGGAGTAACCAACACACCACTCCTGGAGCCCCCAGCCTCACCCCTTGTAAGCCTGCAGAGCCTCATGGGGAAGGACCCACACCATCTGAGGGGAATATGAAGCTGCCTCAGCCACACAGCCCAGGCCAGGAAAGTTAACAGGTCTCAGAAGCAAATGAGATGATTTTTTTTTCTACCCATAAATAAGCAGAAAGGTTCCATAAATATTTCTTCTCCAGGCAAGCCGATAGTCAATTTTACATTGTTCTATAAGAAAAGTATTTCTGTCCCCAAATTCAGAAAACCAGAACCCTCCTCCAGTCTGGAAGATATGTGCCATATGTGAAGATTCCCTGTGGCTAATCCCCTTCCAAAGGAGCTGACTTTTCATGTCATACTCAAACCAGGAGGCAAATTGCAACATAGCTCCCATCACCCCAGAGTCTTCTTGGCAAGTGGTAAAGCTGGTGTCTCTGGTCCTGTTTTAAAAATTTCTCAGACTTCATTTAGAAGCCAGCATTTTTTTCAAATGTTATTCAAAGTCAAACCATAATCTATAGTTCAACATTTCTTGCACAAGCTATGTTAGCCCCTCTTGTTTGAAATGAGGATTTATTTTATTTCATTTTGCTTTAATGCTGGTTTTTGTTGTTCAGATCCTCCTAGAAGTTAAGCTATTTGCATTTCCACGTCCTACTTGAACATTGGGGAAATTGGCTTGATGTGACATATAGAAAATTATGGAGATGGATCTCTCTTTGGGGGTGGATTTAGAAGAAGTAGAAGTTGTGGAAGCCTTAAACAATAAAGAATAGCAAACATTGCCACAAACATTAATAGTAGATAAGGTGTAAAAAAGACAGAGACAATAGATGAAGGGAGGGCTGTTTCAGAATAATCCTTGCAGGGTTTTATAGGAGGGATCTGCTGATTATTAAAGTAAATGGGGACAAGTGTAGGTTTTGAGAAAAGACTGATACTATAGCGGCATTCTCCCAGGGCTCGCAAATGGCCCTCTGAGTTCCATGAAAAGCAGAAGAGTTCAGAGGCATCTGCTAAACCTGACATATGATGCCTGATTGCATGACCCACCAAATGCCTCCTGAACAGTCTCCACTGGGAGCAGTATGTAGTTGATTAATTTTAAAAATTAATCAAGTAAAACATTACTGAAAGTATTAAAAGATACTCTGAAAGAATGTTAAGTCTAAATATATAAATACACATTATTCACAAATCTTGTGCAGTAGAACAAGATCTTTCTTTACTTTGAGTATGGTTATAATTCTTTGTTTTGCTTGCATTAAACATGCCCATAGTATTTCAACTCTAATGATCAGTTGGGGACCATTTAAGTGAGGTAAAAGATTTACAGACATTTGCAGAGCAATTTGAGGTAGAATCTTTCCAGATTTTTGTAAGTTTCCCCTCCCCTTGATGCTAACCTTGGCCATTAAATTAGCAGTCTTACCCATTATTCAAAAAGATTCAACTAATTTTTCACAGAAACAACTCTCTCTTCACATGTGTTTTTCTAGGGCTTATGTACTATTGCATTATATTGCACAATTACAAGAAAATGTAAAATGAGCATATGTAGGTCTGAGCTCAGATAAGACTCAGTGGTTGGACGCACCCAGTGGCCTTGAGAACTCCCTGTATGTGAAGTCTGATTGCTTTAGGAGGTGCCGAAGGGATCTGTGTGTTCAGGCTCCATCACATGGAGGTTGACTGAGGATACATCTACTGCACCAAGAGAGGGGAGCGGGAGCACCTACTCTCATCAGCTGTGTGCTCCAATGCAGAAACAGAGAGCACCCAAAGACAGAATGATACATAAGAGAAACAAAGAATGACCAACCGATTATGAGGCCAGTGGACAGCACAGAGAGAAGCAAGAGAAATGTCACAAAGCGTTCACAAACATTCAGGAATTTTAGCCATGGAATTTTTTTTTTTTTTTTTTTTTTTGGTTTATACAATGTTTAAAATTACTTAGGTTGGGAACAAGGGAAGTACATTTTTATCATTTGAATTACAATACAAGACTGTAATAGATTAAAAGCACATTTGCCTCTCAATTAACTCTCTGTGATGTTTTCATGCTTGTTTCTCTTGGAAAAACACTGTTGTTGAGTAAAGGTGAACCATTGACCAGGCATTACTTAAACAACAGCACCAGGTTAAAGGTGACAGAGAGCATAGGTGATACACTGCTCCACTCCCCACCTGCTCTAGGGAGACACAGCTCACTCCCAGGCTTCTTAAGAGTATCACATGAAGTAACGCATCTGAAAACATGTTGTTCTCCTCCCTTACCATGTGCCACCCTTGTGTTAGATTGTACCAAGATGCATAGCTAACATGGTGACTACAGGCACACCATAGAGATATTGCAGATTCGGTTCCAGCACCACAGTAAACAAATATCCCCAATAAAGCCAGTCACACAAATTTTTAAATTTTTGAGTACATGTAAAAGTTATGTTTACACTACACAGTCTATTATATATTATTATGTGTGTATTAGTCCATTCTCAAGCTGCTATGAAGAAATACCTGACACAGGGTATTTTATAAAGAAAAGACGTTTAATCGACTCACAGTTCTGCATAGTTGGGGAGATCTCAGGAAACTTACAATCATGGCAGAAAGCACCTCTTCACAAGGTGGCAGGAGAGAGAATGAGTGCTAGCAGGGGAAATGCCAGGTGCTTATAAAATCTTCAGATCTCGTGAGAATTTGCTCACTATCATGAGAACAGCATGGTGGAAACCACCCCCATAATTGAATTACCTCCCGCCAGGTCCCTCCCATGATACATGGGGATTAAAGAGAATTACAATTAAAGGTGAGATTTTGGTGGGGACACAGCCAAACCATATCAGTGTGCAATAGAATTATGTCTAATATAAATACTATGCATATCTTAACTAGAAAACACTTTACTACTAAAAAATGCTAACAATCACCCGAGCCTTCAGTGAGTCATAATCTTTTTGCTGGTGGAGGGTCTTGCCTTGATGTTGATGGTTGCTGACTGATCTCGGTGGTGGTTGCTAAAAGTTAAGATGGCTGTGGCAATTTCTTAAAATAAGAAAACAGTGGGCCAGGTGCCATGGCTCACGCCTGTAATCCCAGCACTTTGAGAGGCCTAGGCGGGTGGATCACGACGTCAGGAGATCCAGACCATCCTGGCCACATGGTGAAATCCTGTCTCTACTAAAATACAAAAAAATTAGCCAGGCATAGTGGCGGGCGCCTGTAGTCCCAGCTACTCGGGAGGCTGAGGCAGGGGAATTGCTTGAACCCGGGAGGCGGAGGTTGCAGTGAGCTGAGATTGCGCCACTGCACTCCAGCCTGGCAACCGAGCGAGACACTAAAATAAACAAACAAACAAACAAACAAATACATACATAAAATAAGACAACAGTGAAGTTTGCTATGCCGATTGATTCCACATATTTCTCTATAGCATGCAATGCTGTTTGATAGCATTCTACCCACAATGGAACTTCTCTCAAAATTGGAGTCAACCGTCTCAAACTCTGTCACTATTTTATCAACTAATTTATGTAATATTCTAAATCCTTTGTCGTCATTTCAAAAACGTTCTTAGCATCTCACCAGGAGTAGATTCCATCTCAAGAAACCACTTTCTTTGCTCATCCACAAGAAGCAGCCCCTTATCTGTTCAAATTTTATCATGAGATTGCAGCAATTAGCCACATCATCAGACCCCACTTTTAATTCTAGTTCTCTTGCTATTTCTATCATGTCTTCACTTACCACCTTCACTGAAGTCCTGAACCCCTCGAAGTCACCCATGAGGGCTAGAATGAACTTTTCCCAAACTTCCATTAATGTTGCTATGTTGACCTCTGCTCATAAATCACAAACAATAGCATCTATAATGGTGAATCCTTCCCAGAAGATTTTTAGTTTCTGTGCCCAGATCTATCACAGGAATCTGTGGCAACTATAGCCTTACAAAATGTATTTCTTAAATAATGAGACTAGAAAATCAAAATTACTCCTTCACCTATGGGCTTCAGAATGAACGTTGTGTTAGCAGACCATGAAAACAACATTAATCTCCTTGTACGTCTTTATCAGAGATCTTAAGTGACTAGGTGTATTGTTAATGAGAAGTAATATTTTGAGAAGAATCTTTTTTCTGAACAGTAGATCTCAACAGTGGGCTTAAAATATCCAGTAAACCAACATTTAAATAGCTGTGCTGTCATTTAGGCTTTATTTTTCCATTTACGGAGCACAGGCAGAGTAGATTTGGCATAATTCTAAGAGCTTGAGGATTTTTGGAATAGCAAATGAACACTGGCATCCACTTAAAGTCATCAGCTGCATTAGCCCCTAACAAGAAGATCAGTCTGTCTACTGAAGCGTTGAAGCCAGGTGTTGACTCTTCCCCACCAAAGAAAGTTCAAGATGAAACTGGTCATGGTGGTTCATCCCTGTAACCCCAGCACTTTGGAAGTCCTGTGCAGGAAGATTGCTTGAAGCCAAGAGTTCAAAACCAGCCTAGGAAATTTAGTGACACCCTCATCTCTGCAAAAAAATTTAAAAATTACCTGGGCATGGTTTAATCATTTCTCGCTTTTGATTTAAAGTGAAGGATGTGCAACTCTTCCTTTCACTTAAACACTTGAGGCCATTATAGGGTTATCAATTAGCCTAATTTCAATACTGTTGAGTCTCACGGAACAGGCAGGCCTGAAGAGGGAGAGAGATGGGTGGAATCGCTGGTTGGTGGAGCAGTCTGCACACACACATTTATAAATTGTTTGCTGTCTAATATAAGCATGGTTTGTGGCACCCCCCAAACAATTACAACAGTAATGTGTCTGAAATTGGTGGGCTCTTGATCTCACGGACTCCAAGAATGAAGCCCAAGACCCTGACCGTGAGTGTTACAGCTCTCAAATGTGGTGTGTCCGGATTTTGTTCCTTCTGACGTCCAGAGGTGTTAGAAGTTTCTTCCTTCTGGAGGGTTCACGGTCTCGCTGGCTCAGGAGTGAAGCCGCACACCTTCACAGTGACTGTTATAGCTCCTAAGGCTGCGCATCTGGAATTATTGTGCGTTCCTCCCCATGGGTTCGTGGTCTCGCTGGCTTCAGTAGTGAAGCTATGGACTTCCACGATGAGTGTTACAGCTCATAAAGTCAGTGTGGACCCAAAGAGTAAGCAGCTGCAAGATTTATTGCAAAGAGCAAAAAAAACGAAGCTTCCACACTGCAATACGTGACCCAAGTGGGTTGCCACTGCTGGCTAGGGCAGCCTGCTTTTATTCTCTTATCTGGCCCCACCCACATCCTGCTGATTGGTCCATTTTACAGAGAGCTGATTGGTCCGTTTTGACAGGGTGCTGATTGGTGCGTTTACAATCCCTGAGCTAGACACAGAAGTTCTCCACATACCCACTTGATTAGCTAGATACAGAGTGTGGGCACAAAGGTTCTCCAAATCCCCACCAGAGTAGCTAGATACAGAGTGTCCATTGGTGCATTCACAAACCCTGAGCTAGACACAGGGTGCTGATTGGTGTGCTTACAAACCTTGAGCTAGATACAGAGTGCCGACTGGTGTATTTACAATCCCTTAGCTAGACATAAAGGTTCTTTAAGTCCCCACCAGAGTAGCTAGATATCAGTGTCCACTGGTGCATTCACAAACCCTGAGCTAGACACAGGGTGCTGATTGGTGTATTTACAATCCCTTAGCTAGACATAAAGGTTCTCCAAGTCCCCACCAGACTTAGGAGCCCAGCTGGCTTCACCCAGTGGATCCTGCACTGGGGCCGCAGGTGGAGCTGCCTGCCAGTCTGGCGCCATGCACCTGCACTCCTCAGCCCTTGGGTGGTCGATGGGACTGGGCGCCATGGAGCAGGGGGCAGCGCTCATCTGGGAGGCTTGGGCCGCACAGGAGCCCACGGAGCGGGGGAGAGGCTCAGGCATGGCGGGCTGCAGGTCCCGAGCCCTGCCCCACAGGGAGGCAGCTAAGGCCCGGCGAGAAATTGAGCACAGCGGCTGCTGGTCCAGGTGCTAAGCCCCTCACTGCCGGGGGCTTGCGTGCCGGCTGGCCGACCTCTCCGAATGCGGGGCCAGCTGAGCCCACGCCCACCCGGAACTCGCGCTGGCCCTCAAGCAACGAGCGCAGCCCCGGTTCCCGCCCACGCCTCTCCCTCCACACCTGCCTGCAAGCTGAGGGAGCCGGCTCTGGCCTTGGCCAGCCCAGAAAGGGGCTCCCACATTGCAGCTGCGGGCTGGAGGGCTTCTCAAGCACGGCCAGAGTGGGCACCAAGGCGGAGGAGGCGCCAAGAGCGAGCGAGAGCTGTGAGGGCTGCCAGCACGTTGTCACCTCTCAGTAACATCAAAGATTACCAATCACAGAATTACAGATTACCGTAACAGATATAATAATAATGAAAAAGTTTGAAATATCATGAGAATTACCGAAATATGACACAGAGACATGAAGTGAGTATCTGCTGTTGGAGAAATGGTGGTGATGGACTTGCTCGAGGCAGGGCCCCCACAAATCTTGCATTTGTGAAAAAAAAAAACAAAAAAACAACTGCAGCATCTGCAAAGCACAATAAAGCAAAGCGCATAAAACAAGGTATGTCTTGAGGAGAGGAGGGAGGCTGTCTCAATCACTTTGGGTGTGAAATACACCTATGAAATGCCCTCTCCATTGTGCATACTCAACAACGCTTGTTAGGTTAAATTTAGAGACCTTCTGATGCCAAGACTATGCCTCTTGTATACACACTTTCATGATTCTAATGCTTTTTGATGATTGTATAACGATGGTAGGTGTGCAATAAATTGTAATCAAAGACACATTAATGGCTTATACTTACAGGTTATTTTCTCACAAAACACCAAAGGCGCTTAAGAACAGAAAGTTAGGGAACAGGAAAGATTATTTGACATCACATAAGTCTTTGTAGATAAATTACCCTTATCTTGTTTACAATACACATCAATTTTAATGATACCAATTTTTTTAAAGTTTCATTCACATCAGAACGAAAATTTGGGATAAGAAATAAGTATTGAAGATTTTAGTCTCATTTGAAGTAGATGTACAGAAAGTCTTCCACCTTCAGATTGGTTTACATATGCTGTGTATAACACTTCCCACAGCTGGGAGCTCAGGAAGCAGTGTTGGTGATCAAGAATCCTGTGTTGTCACTCACCACTCCTTAAGCTGCCCTGCATATTTGAACAAGTCAGGCAATGTGTTTCTTTTCCTCTATTTTACTTCACCTTAGCTATCATTTTTTTAAATGATGTATAAGGTATCGCTATTAACTTAATTAAATTTATTATATATGAGAAAGTTCATGGGTACCTGAGAAGGTAAAGAAAGTATCACAATTAAGAGGGTAATGAAATCCACTGTAATGACAGCTTCTGGATGTATAATAACTGGAGTATATTATAAATACCAGCTTCTTCATTGTACATTAATATCTTCCTGGTACTTCTCATAAATCTCCATCCCTTTTCTCCATCAATAATGGATAATGAATGAAGGTTCTTATTCCAAATTCTAGACTTCAGAAAGCTTATTTACAGAAAGGCTGAGCAGTTAAGTTTTTATCTTTCCATAGCCTGTCATCCAACACTTCCATTCAGTCCACCACTGTTGTTTTGGTGCTGACTGTTTAACTCATAAATTCCTGCTAGCTTTATCCCCTTTCTTCAGGGGACTCATTTATTCATTGGTACCCCCAAGCAGAAGAAACAGAGGAAAAATACTAAAATGAAATTTAAACCCATCCGTTTTCTTCTTGCTGAATGTAAATAAAAGTTTCTAAACCCAACCTTCTCCTCACCTCAATATCATGTCCAAATCTTACCCCTTCTCAGGGCTCCAACAATTTCCTCTCTCAGTGACTTCAAGGTGGCACTCATTCGTCATCTGCTGCTGCTGCAAACACTTGGCCCTGGCGTCTTGGAAGCAACTCAGGTTTGGTGTGTCAAAGCCATGCTCATACTCATCCCCCAAGCATCTGGACTTCCTTTTGGCTTCTGTCTTGGTTAGTGAAGCCACTCTTGCCCCAGCAGCCCAAGCTAATACCTTGAGAGGAGTCTGTGAAGTCTGGGTAGAGAGCAGGCTGTGGTGAGGTGGATGGAGCTCTGCCCCTGCCTGCTGCCCTCTGCCCTGGATCTCCACGTCCATTCCAGAAGACCAAGGCCAGTCTGCCCATCTCGGGTTCTTTCTGGCAGTTTCATGGTCGTCTGCTCAGCCTATAAGTGGCCTCCAATAGCCTACTCTATACTGTGGCCAGACTTACGATCCTAAAACACAGAGTGGATGTAGTGGGGTTTCTTCTTAGAGCCTTACATGAGTTGTCAGACCCAAGACAAGGGCTACAGCCTCACCCTGCCCCCATCACCCATCTCATTCCTTGCACCCCCACCACACCCCGTTTTCCTCCCTCCAGCCACTTGGAGCCCCAGGCATTCTTCTCTCCACTTGGAGCCCCAGTCATTCTTCTCTCCAGCTGGTGCCAACCTCCACTCTTCTCCATCATCCTTTCCTCCTTCTAGGGAGGTGCTGTCTCTCTCTCCCTCTCTCTCTCTCTCTGCCCAATGTTCACTGTTCATGTCAAGTGTCACCCATGTCCCCCCTTCTTTGATGAATGTATGGACTTTCCAAGGAAAATGTAATTGCTTTATCCTCTGGGCTCCCATAGCATTGTGTCCACACTGGCCATGGGGGGGAGGGGGTCCCATGGGATGGGGGCTCTCTCCTCTCAGCTGAGTGAACTCATCCCTACGCTAATCTGGAACATAGTGGTGGCAAGTAAATGTCTGTTAAGTGAATGAATGGAATTAATTTTTTAAAAAAGAGTGAATGCACAGCATTATCTATAAACAACAACAGTTGTATCAGGAATGCTGATTTGGGGGTTATTTAGAAATGTGAGCAATTCCCAGGCACTCTCTCCCCCATCCTCCCTCTATGCCCAGCAGTATACTACTGTTTCTGTAGCTGAACCATGGGCCCTGCTCTGAGGCTTTGGGGCAAGGGTAGGTATTAGAGAAACTTGTGTGGATGAGAGCGATGAGGACTCAGTGGAGGTGGGGAGCCTAGTGGAAGTACAGGTGTGGACAAAGACCTCTGTCCCTAAGAAATGTGGAGTTTCAGCCAGGTGTGATGGCTCACACCTGTAATCCCAGCACTTTGGGAGGCCAAGGTGGGCAGATCACCTGAGGTAAGGAGTTCGAGACCAGCCTGTCCAACATGGCGAAACCCTGTCTCTACTAAAAAACACAAAAAACAGCTGGGCGTGGTGGCACAAGTCTGTAGTCCCAGCTACTCGGGAGGCTAAGACAGGAGAATTGCTTGAACCTGGGAGGTGGAGGGTGCAGTGAGCTGAGATCCCTCCACTGCACTTCAGCCTGGGCCACAGAGCAAGACTCCATCTCAAAAGAAAAAAAAAAAAAAAAAGAAAGAAATGTGGGGCTTTGAATCCCCTCCATGCTTTGTGACTGTGGTCGTAGGATGTATTTCTCAGGGCCCCAGTAGGGAAGGACTCTCATTAAATCATCTCAATAAAGTTGGAGGGAAGGATTGATTCTATGAAACTCTCCACATTACAGACCTCAAAACTTCATTGGGAATATAAGACATAGTTTCTCAGAATCTGCCTTTTCTCTTCTTTCCTTCTTTATTTTCCTTTTTCTTTCTTCTTTCTTCCTCCCTCTTTCTTTTTCCTTTTTCTCTTTCTTCTTTCTTCTCTCTCTCCCTATCTCTCTCCCTCTCCCTTTCTCCCTCTTTCTCTTTCTTCCTTAAATCCTACCCACCAGTACTCAATATTCCCAATAGCCTGACCCCAGCAACAGCAGCTCTGACTAGAGACCAGCTCTCCAGTTCTCATGAACAGGTACCCACATTATTAATGCAGGAGCTTCCAGCTGGGATCTCTCTAGTTAAATAAAACACAAATCCAGGCTTGGTAAAGAGAGATTTTATTTAAAAGATGTTGCAAGGGACAGAAGGGACTCTTGCAGTAGGGGGGACACTCTGGCCATCATAGCAGTCTGCAAGCAGGTCCGGGGTTAGGCAAAGAGGGTTCATCTTTCACAGGGAGGAATGAACAAAACTAGAAAGAATGGGGTGTGAGGATGTAGGGTGAAAGGGTGATATATTTGGACAATGGATCAGGGAGAGTCCGAGGTCAGCCTGCTGCAGGAGGAGCTACTAAGGAGGGGTGTGTGCTGGCTCAGGATGAGGACAGGACACAGGGCAGGTACATGGGGAGGGAGAAGAGCTGAACCAAAATCTGGTTAGCAAGAATGTTGTTCCGATTGACCAGTGGGAACAAAACAGCTCATCAGTTATGAAGCAAAGAATCGGAATTTGGAAGGGCTGTGTGTTGGCTCATCATAAATGAGGGGACATCATGAGTCCTCTACGTCCTATAAGGAAGGCTATTTTTTGCAGTGGGCCATTCCCTAGAATGCAGATGGCTCCTTAACTTCACTGTTTTCCAGGATCACAGGGCTTGGGCAGAGCTCAACACAGTCTCCATCTGGCCAGTCAGGGGTTGCTCAGCTCCTGAGCCCAGGCCGCTCTGCTTCTTAGCTATTTTTGCCAGGTGTTGCTATTGGCAAGTGCAGCCCAATGACTGCAGATCCTGGGAGGTGTCACGAGGCCGCTGAATGCCTCGCCTCATGAGTCAAGGAACTTCTGCGGCCCCTTCCACTGCCTGCAAAGGAAGATTTTACAAGGATAAGAAAACACAGTGAGTTAGGGGGAACCACAACAGTGGTGATATTTTATTTACTTCTCAACATAGCCCAAGCTCCTTGATGTAAACAGTATTTTATTGCAGTGAGTGTGCATACCTGAAATTCATTGAGGGAAAGGATGTGGCACGTAGCACAGGTACCATCAGAGAAGGCAAGAGAGAATCCTGTCAGCAAAGAGCCGGAGGGGAGGAGAAGGGAAGGGGGTGCCCCTGCATCCACCATGTGCTCTGGCCTGTGCCAACAGATAGGGCACCTCAGGCAGGTCATTTGATCCTTCTGCAGCTCATTTTCCTCCTCTGCAAAGGGATAAACACAGCATGAACTTTATAGGGTAATTACGGGATTAAGTAAGTTACTATACGTGAAGTCTTTAAAACAGGGAGCCACTTCGCAGGCATTACATAAGCACAGCCAGGAGCAGCAGACGCAGCAGTAGTAGTACTAGCTAGGAACTTCATATTAACGCTGCAAATCTCTGCAGAGGAGACGCTTCCTGCACTTATTAGGAAGGACTGTAACTGGTCACATGTCTGCACCCACCTGAGACTGTGAACTCCATAAGAAACAGAGACCATGATGCTCTTATAAATGACTGCATCCCCGGAACATAGCACTGGCCCTGGAACATCACAGCCAATGAAAATGTGTGTTGAATGTACACTAGTGGGTAGGTAAATGGATGGACAGATGAATGAATAGAAGGAGGGAAAGCAGGAGGAAGGAAGGAAGGAGGGAAAAAGAAAGGGAGGGGGAGTTATACAAAGAGATGGATGGAAGCAGGTACAGCACAGAGGGAGAAGGACAGGGAGGAAGAGAAGGAGAAATACTAGAAGCCTCTCTATTTCTTAAATCATGTGGCAGATAATGCTAGGGTTATTGCCTTTTATCGTGAAATATGTTTTGCAGAAGAGGAAAAAAGGGAGGTGTTTTATAATTGGATTTGACTAGTATTCTGACCTAATTTTTAGATGAAATATACCTGCTTTTTGCTGGGTAGCCAGGTGTTTAGACTGAGCACACAAGGCTTCCTGAGTCCTTCCTCCCTGTTCCCTTTCAGCCATAGTACCTTTGTTTCGCCTACGTTGTCTTACGTGATAAACTGTTTGATTGGCTGGCCTTGCATTTCAACTTGGCTTCTCATTGGCAGCTTGCAGTTTCCAGGGAAAGCTCAACAGAGTGGGATGAGGGGACAGCTTGTCTTTCATTTTCCCATAAATTCTTGCTTAATGGTTTCCAATAACATTTTCCTTCAGTGATTATTCTGTCACTCGTTCCTGAATGCAGTTTTCCACCACTGAATTGAAACTGTTTGCCTTTTCAATTGACAAATTATATCAGATAAATGCCACCCATTACTGCATAAACAATTAAGATCCTAGAAAGATTTGCTCAACTGCATTTTGTTTGTGACTGGTTTAGAATTTTCTGATTTTGTTTGTATATGGCAATCGCAGTCACCTTCCCTGCCCTGGGTTGCTTTTTCTCTCAACCATATATTTGCAAAAGGTTTGCTGGCCTTGCCCCCCCAGGATATGAACAAAAAATTGCAAGGAGTTGAGTGGGCCTGGGAGCATGCAGATAAGAATGCTGGACATGACCTTGGAAGTTCTCCAACCTCCCCAAGTTGAGTCTTTGTTTCTACATGTGAAAAATATGCACAGTGAACCCCAAGCCACCAGGGTGCCCGGAAGATTGGACTGAATCTTGCATTTAGAGAAAGCACTCAGGAAGCAGTGGGACTCAATAAATGGACATTTAATCTGGATCTGAGTTGCACTACCTGCTTTTAGCAGCTGGAGAAGCACGCTGGAGCTGTCCACGGAATGCTCCGCTTTGCTAAGATAATCATCAAAAAAGGAAAGTGCAAAGCGGGTATCCATTCCATAAATCACCAGTTTGTCAACTCACTGTCCAGCCCTACAGTGATTGTTTGACAAAAACAAAAAGGTTCACAAAAGACTGCACATGCCTCAGAGAGCAGGGCAGTGTTAGCAGGGGAAGCTCAAGCTCCCAAAGTCCGAGCTTCACTAAGGGTGCTGTGAGTTGTCAATCACACATCCTGTTCCATATAGTTGTGGCGTATACCCTCCAGGAATTGCTAATTTTTAAAATTTGAAATGCAATAAAATCACTTAACAGTAAAACTGCACTGAAATAATTGCTTTCATTCATAAGGCATTTCAGTGTCTTGCAGGGCCTCATGTGCTCATTCATCAACGAGCCTCCGGCTTGTCACTGTGAAAATCAATTACCTCTGTACTAAAATGCTGTCATCACCACCATCAATAAACAAGCATTAGGTATCTACTGGGTCTGAAATGCTCCTAATAGGAACTATTATATTTTAATGAGAGAAGAGGATTTTTTAAGGCCCTGATAATATAATGCCAGATAACATATATCACAAATGATTTGGAACATTCTATATCATATGCGATTTTAAAAATATTTTTATCAGTATCCACCACACTGGTACAATTGATTTAGAATTGCTTATGATCTATCCATCTCTGCCACTATTTAGGACTGGAGTTGGGTAGGGTAGGGTGTGCTGGGATAGCAAGGTACAGCTCATTCATTCTCCCATCGAACACACTGGCATTACTGTGGGCCTACTCAGAGCCAAGCACAAAAGGTTCAGGCCTGAGCAAACATGACGTGGTCCTTGCCCTCAAAGAGGCTTGAGACCAGCAAAAGAGCCACAGCACGACAGGTGACATTGTCACAGTGGTGTGAGCTCCAATGAGCGTCTCCAGGAGAGTGAGCCACGGAAGGCCTGGCCTGGTTGGTCATGATAAGAGTTAGTGACCTGGAAGGGTTGTATGGGCCCAGAGGGAGCAAAAAGGACCCAGGAAGGGAACACAGATCAGTGAGGGAACCCAGCAAAATTGGGGCTCAGAACAAAAGTGGTGAAGGTGGCTGGGCACAGTGGCTCACACCTGTAACCCCAGCACTTTGGGAGGCCGAGGTGGGTGGATCATGAGGTCAGGAGTTCAGGACCAGCCTGGCCAACATGGTGAAACCCCATTTCTACTAAAGATACCAAAAAAAAAAAAATTAGCCAGGCATGGTGGCACAAACCTGTAATCCCAGCTACTCAGGAGGCTGAGGCAGGAGAATGTCTTGAACCTGGGAGGTGGAGGTGACAGTGAGCCGAGATTGTGCCAGTTCACTCCAGTCTGGGTAACAGGGTGAGACTCTGTCTCAAAACAAGAAATAAAAAACAGTAATTAAAAAAAAAAAAAAAGAGTGGTGAAGGTGAGGCGAGGCGAGGCAGGGTGCCCAAGGTGCGGGGCTAAAGGCCTGGCATGTGTGGGGTGGGAGGGGAGAGGGGATATGATCAGACCCTCTGGCAGCCTTTGGGGAGAGCAGACTGGGAGAAGAAAGAGCAGGTGCCCAAGCACTGTGTGCACACTCTACCAACAATGAGGCAGCATGGCCCCCCGAGGCCCTGGGGCCCAGGGAGAAGCGGGGTGGCTGACAGATACACAAGCTGCTGTGCAGCAAACTGAAGGAGGACAAAAGAAAACAAGGCAAAAGGAAATAATGGCAGCACATCATCCTGAAGCCCAACTTGACAGGTGGGTCCTGGTGCCGACTGGGCCATAGCGATCTCTTCTCCAGCAACAGTAAGAGGTGGCTTAGCCCAGCACATCCAAGGGCAGGGCACCCACACAAGGAAGCAGAGTTGAGCTTGCAGCAATGCCCCTCCCTTGTTGCCTAAGGATGCAAACTCCTGATGAGAGGCCAAGGAAGATGTGGGAGGAGAACTACAGCCCAGAGGTAGGAGGAGGAGAGGGACACCAACCACCAAATCTTTTCAAAAAGGAAGCACAAGTATATGTGATGCGTCTGTAGGATCCTAAGGACAGCAAAGAACCCAGAAAACACAGGAACCCACTCCTCTGGATCCAAACCAAAGCCCTGATGCATGAAGCCTGGGTAATAGCACCCTGGCTGTGCAGAGGTGCAAGGAGCTTAGCAAACCTTACCACACTAATGTCATTCTCCAGGTGAAACAAATGGACCCTGTTCTGCTCCCGGGCTCCTCTCTGAGTCCCTCTGAAAACTCTCTTTGAAAAAGTACCCCAGTTTCCAAGTCTGGAATCAGCACAAACACACCGGCATCCTAAATGGATCCAAATAGGAGTGTCTGGTTTCCAGTTCTTCCTCCAAATGGCAGCCCACATTTTCCTTCCTCCTGCCTATAGGTTGAAGTGTCACCAGGATACTGCACAGACAGGGACATCACTTCTAAAAACAGATGTGGGATCAAATAACATTCATGTAAGCCAAAAATCATTTTACTTTGTCTAGGCTGATAACTAATTCTACCTTACTTGGGTTATCAAAGTGGCACCAGAGACAACCCACAGGAGTTCTAGTGTTTCTAAAGCTCAAGATCTGTGACAGCCAAAGAAAAACAAAAACAAAAACAAAAAAACACCCAAATAAGCCCCAAGGAGGGAGGCAATTGTGTACCAGCTCCCATAGCTAGGACTGCCACAACCTAAATGTCACTACCAGAAGGCTTGCTGTTTCACGGGAGTGCAAAATGCCCGGAGAATTTAGAGCTCCTCTGATCAATCTCTGGGGACAAATGTCCTCAGGCGAATTTCATGCTCATGTGAAACATTGAGTGAACCACCGTTTATTGCAAATCCAAGTTTTTTTTGGTCTGTTTGTTTTGAGATGGAGTTTCGCGTTTGTCCCCCAGGCTGGATTTCAGCTCACTGCAACCTCCATCTCCTGGGTTCAAGCGATTCTCCTGCCTCAGCCTTCTGAGTAGCTGGGATTACAGGCAAATGCCAACACACCCAGCTAATTTTTGTATTTTTAGTAGAGACAGGGTTTCACCGTGTTGGACAGGTTGGTCTCGAACTCCTGACCTCAGGTTGTCCACCTGCCTCAGCCTCCCAAAGTGCTGGTATTACAGGCGTGAGCTGCCGTGCCTGGCCTCATGTCCAAGTTTATTTCAATTAAGGTGGAAGCATTCCAATAGCTTTTCTTTTTCCAAGTTAAAGTCAACTCATTGTAGATCTTACCATGTTTTTATGGAACTGCTCTTCAAAATTTGATCAGTATGAATCATTTTATGATGATACGGTTTATGATGAAGTGGTTTACTGGAAAATCTTATGGGAGAAATGTATGTGTGCCCTGTTGTGAGTGCCCTAGTTTGGAGACCTTGGAAATCCATCATAACCTCAGTTATTTATGCAGCACCTGTTTTCTGAGAATGAACTAATCTCCTAATTTCATACCTTTACATTGCAGTTTGCAGTGATTAACTGGCGCACCCTGTCCCATCATGTCATCGTATTGCTTGGCGGTAGTATGAGGTCACTTCCCATGGCATCAACAGCTAGATGAGCCTACTATGTCCCTAAGGGAAAGGTTGCAGCTAGTTCAGGGCACAAAGACGAAACATTCTTAAAATAAACAAGTAAACCCAGAGGCGAATAGAAGACAAGTTTTAGGAAAATACTTGCTAAAACTAGAAAGCAAGATGGAGAGGGCTTAGGAGAAAACAAGACATGTGAGTATTGATAGGAACACTGAGGATGGGTCCTTCTGAGCCAGGATCCCACAGTTCTGCCTCACCGGCACCACACTGCAGGTCCGGGAGTTCCGCAGCCCTCTGGATGGGCACGAGAGGACAGCAAGCGTGTTCCTGCACTGCCTGGAGAAATGCAATACTGAGGCTAAGAGCCAAGGTCCTGGAAAGCCTCGCAGCCCAGACCAGACCAGGGGCTGACCAGGCCCTGCAGAAGGGCTTAGCAAACACCCAGGTGAGGTGGAGAGGCTCTCAGGGTAGGTCCCAGCCCCTCAAGCACACACCATATAGAAGAGAGCCCCGCCTCTCAAGCTGCTGGGAGCTCCTGCCTGAGTAAACCCATCCTCCAGGGAAGGAGCCTGAGGGGAGATCTTGAATTTACCAGAAAACCCAGAAATTGACAGATTACTTTTTTGTATAGTTTTCTTTTTTCTTTTTTTTTTTTTTTTTCCGAGACAGAGTCTGTTGCCCAGCCTGGAGTGCAGTGGCACAATCTCGCCTCACTGCAAGCTCTGCCTCCCGGATTCACGCCATTCTCCTGCCTCAGCCTCCCTAGTAGCTGGGACTACAGGCGCCCACCACCACACCCGGCTAATTTTTTGTGTTTTTAGTAGAGACAGGGGTTTCACCGTGTTAGCCATGATGGTCTCAATCTCCTGACCTCGTGATCCGACGGCCTCAGCCTCCCAAAGTGCTGGGATTACAGGCGTGAGCCACCGTGCCTGGCCTTTCTTTTTTTCAGAGAAAGGATCTCTGCCACCCAGGCTGAAGCGCAGTGGTGTCATCATAGTGCATTGCAGCCTCAAACTCCCGGGCTAAACCCATCCTCCTGCCTCAGCCTCCCAAGTAGCTGGGACTACAGGTGCCACCAAGCTTGGCTAAATATTTTTTTATTTTTTTGTAGAGACAGGATCTCACTATGTTCCCCAAGCTAGTCTCAAACTCCTGGCCTCAATAAATCCTTCTGCTTTGGCCTCCCAAAGGGCTGGGACAGTTTCCTTTTTTATACCCAAGTTTGTGACACGAAACCTGGAGCCCACCACAGGGGAGTCTCTGGCAAGTTGGCAAGCTCTGCAGACAGCTCCACATGAGGCACTCTTGCTGCTGTAGTTATTGTTGGATGTGGGATCTCTGCATCAACACAAGCAAAAATGAAATAGATGACAGAGATGAGGGTCTGGATGGAAACTGAGAGGTGAAGCCGGCTGGGCTTCTGGGTCTGGTGGGGACTTGGAGAACTTTTCTGTCTAGCTAAAGGATTGTAAACACACCAATCAGCGCTCTGTGTCTAGCTAAAGGTTTGTAAAGGTACCAATCAGCACTCTGTAAAAACGGACAAATCAGCACTCTGTAAAATGGACCAATCAGTGCTCTGTAAAATGGACCAATCAGCAGGATGTGGGTGGGGCCAAATAAGGGAATAAAAGCTGGCCACCCCACACCCTCAGTGATAACCCTGTGGGGTCTTCTTCTGTTCAGGGGGTAGTTTTGTTCTTTGCCTGTTCACAATAAAGGTAGCTGCTGCTGATTCTTGAGTCCACACTACTTTCCCCAGAGGGTCTGTAGCTTCGTTCGTGAAGTTAGGAAGAGCATGAACCCAAGCCTCCTGGGAGGAACAAACTACTGTGGATGTGACGCCTTTAAGAGCTGTAACACTCACTGCAAAGGTCTGCAGCTTCACTCGTGAAGTCAGTGAGATGACGAACCCACTGGAGGGAAGCAACTGCGGACACACCATTTTTAAGAGCTGTAACACTCACCGTGAAGCTCCACGGCTTCATTCTTGAAGGCAGGGAGACCGAGAGCCCACTGGAAGGAACCAATTCTGGACCTAATGTGATGTATTTGTTGGCACACGCCCTGGTCAGTTGTGTTCCAAATTGTATTACCAATCAGAAAAATGCATAGGCATATTTTATTGTGGTAAAACCAGATAAAAATTAGTGTATTTTACTTTTAACTTGAAAGAGCAATATATGAATCTTAAGTTAACTATAGTTTGCTGTTTTTTTTTTTAAGCAACTTCCAGAACATTATTGAGGTTAATAGAAACTCAAACTAGTGTGCTACAAATTTGGTGTCCACATCTCTGTCCTACTGGCCTGTGGGACCTGATAAGCCTTCTGAATTAGTGTGTTTAAAGTACAGGGGGCTGGCCACTCATGCTTTATAATCCCAGCACGTATAAGAGGCTGAGACAGGAGGACCTTTTGAACCCAGGAGTTCAAGACCAGCCTGGACAACATCGACCCTATCTCCATAAAAATTTAAAAATTAGCCAGGCATGGTGGTGCGCACCTGTGGTCCCAGCTACTCAGGAGGCTGAGGCAGGAGGGTGCTTGAACCTGGGAGGCTGAGGCAGTGAGCTGTGATTGTGCCATTGCACTCCAGCTTGGATGACAGAGCGAGAGCGAGACCCTGTCTCAAAAACATAAAGCTTGAGGGAGGAATGAGGAAACTTCGTGTCTTCTAATTTCTGATACCCTTGATCTATGAGCAGTATAGAAGCAGGCCTCCTGAAACCAAGACAGCCCATTACTGGTATCCCTAGGAGTGAACAGCACTGGGATTTTGGAAGCCTGTGCTGAGAGCAAGCATGGGGAATCCACCCAAGTGCCCATCAATGGTAGACTGGATAAAGAAAATGTGGTACGTATACACCATAGAATACGGTGCAGCCATGAAAATAACAAGATCATGCCTTTGGCAGGAACATGGATGGAGCTGGACGCCATTATCTTCAGCAAACTAGTGGAGGAACAGAAAACCAAACACCACATGTTCTCAATTGTAAGTGGGAGCCGAATGATGAGAAAGAAGGTAGCAACGGACACTGGGACCTACTTGAGGCTGGAAGATAGGAAGAGGAGGAGAAAAAATAACTATTGGGTACTAGGCTTAGTACCTGCATGATGAAATAATCTGTAGAAGCAACCGCTGTGACACGAGTTTATCTATATAACAAACCTGCACATGTACCTCTGAACCTAAAAGTTAAAAACGAAAGAAAAAAGAAAAACACAGACAATTAAAAATAATTTTTTATTATATATTATTTTACATTTGTTATGGGTCTATATTTACACAAATACTCTGTAATATGATGGCCACTAGTCACAGTGTGGCTCTTGAATATGACCACTTAAAATTGAGATGTGCTGCAATTTAAAAATAATATACATTTGTAAATAGTTGGTACAAAAAGAATTTAAAATACCTAATGGATATTATTTTACACTGATTACATGTTGAAATAATATTTTTGATATATTGGATTACATTGAATATATTATAATTAATTTTACCTTTTTTAAAGCTTTTTCTAATGTGGCACTAGAAATTTTTAAATGACATATGTGGCTTGCATTATGTTTCGATTGAATAGTGCTGGTCTGTATGATTCATCTTCTTAGGAAAGAAATAAAAGGAACATGATTCCATAAATATGATGAATATCTCTGAGTCCCGTGATATCAGGAGAGGAAATGACATACTATTAATTTCAAATAGTTGACAATCACTCATTAAGGAAGTTGACATTATGCAGTGTCTACTTTGTGCCTAACACTGCTGGCTGTTTCACATAAATTATCTCAGTTAAACTGCCCATATCTGTCAGGGGGCAGGGTTAAGTCAAATAAGTAAAATCACTGGAGGAAATCATTAGAGAAAAAAAATATGTAGATGTAAATGGATTATTCTATGGCAACTGCTTAAAAAGTCTCTGATAGGCAGGTGCCTTTGCATATAAATCCACCACTTGAAGTTTGCAGGAAAGGCTATCAGGAAGGGAAGACGGTTGTAAATTGGGAAGAGCAAGGACAATGTAGAACCCACAAGCACACATTGCAGCTCGTCAAAAGTGACTGGACCCATCACCAGTGTTGCGCTGGAGCCCTCTCCTATCAGCTCACAAGAGTCTAGTGTATGGATCTCTTCCTAACTTTGCATTCAATGACACCACATTGAGAGCTTGAAATCAGCCACAAAGGGAGTACTTACACCGCATCAATTGGCAAACACTATAAACCAGGGCTTTTGCTTTTTCCAGAGAGGTAGTTTTAGAACCTATCCACATGTCTGTGTGTGTCAGTCTCTCACTGCCCCCAACTTTGATAATGCAGGTGACCTGCAAGAGAAGCAGATGCCCCTCATTGTGGAGCTAAACACGTCTCTGACCCAGGCATTGGAGGAGCTGAAGGAGCCTCAGGTGAAGGTTGAACAGCTGCAAGCTCAACTGCTTCTGCACACCTACGAGGTGAGCCAGCAGAGATCGACATTGCATGTGCCCCTATACCCACCACACCCACCTTTCAACAGTAACAGCAATGCAGCTACACAGCAACACAGTTGCTACTCCATTTCCACTCTCTAAATCTGTGCAAAATGTCCTTCAAGGCCCATCCTAACTGGAAACATACAGGAACAAGAATTCTGGGGAATGCATTTTGGCTTAGCCAAATTGGTGTGTTTCAAAGTCACTACAGCCATTTGAACAGGGATTATTATACCCATTTTAAAGGTGAGGCTACCAAGACCCAGGAAGGTTCAATAACATTTCTATAGTCACAAAGCCAATGAGGCAGGATGTGGGCAGGATGTGTGACTCTAATTTCTGTGCTCTTTCCACTGTCAGACACTGGGCTCCAAAATAAAGGCTTCCTCTTTCCTCTAAAATCTGGAACATGACAAGGATTCTCACTTTCACCGCTGTTATTCAACATAGTACTGGAAGTCCTAGCTAGAGCAACCAGGAAAGATAAAGGGCATCCAAATTGGAAAGAAAGAAGTCAAACTATCCTTGTTTGCAGATGATATGATCTTATATTTGGAAAAACCTAAAGACTTCACAAGAAAACTATTAGAACTGATAAATTCAGTAAAGCTGTAGGGTACAAAATCATCATACAAAAGTCAGTAGAATTTCTATGTGCCAACAGTGAACAATCTGTAAAAGAAATTAAAAAAGTAATCTCATTTACAGTAGTCACAAAGAAAATTAAATACCTAGGAATTAACTTAACCAGAGAAGTGAAAGATTGCTGCAATGAAAACTATCAAGCACTAATGAAAGAAATTGAAGAGGGCATCAAAGAAAGGAAAGATATTCCATGTTAATGGATTGGAAGAATCAATATTGTAAAAATGTCCATACTACCCAAAGCAATCTTCAGACTCAATGCAATCCCTATCAAAAAGACCAGTGACATTTTTCACAGAAATAGAAAAACAATCCTAAAATTTATACAAAACCACAAAAGACCCAGAAGAGCCAAGCTATTCTGAGCAAGAAGAACTGAACTGGAGTAATCACAGTACCTGACTTCAAATTATACTACAGAGCTATAGTAACCCAACCAGCATGGTACTGGCATAAAAGCAGACTTATCGCCCAATGGAACAGAATTGAGAACGTGGAAACAAATCTGTACACCAACAGTGAACTCATTTTGAACAAAGTTGCCAAGAACGTACACTAGGGAGAAGACAGTCTCTTCAGTAAGTGGTACTAAGAAAACTGCATATCCACATGCAGGAGAATGAAACTAGACTTGTCATATGCAAAAATCAAATCAAAATGGATTAAAGACTTAAATCTAAGACCTCAAACTATGAAACTACTACAAGAAAACATTGGGGAAACTCTCCAGGGCATTGGTTTGGGCAAAAATTTCTTGAGAAATACCCCACAAACACAGGCAACCAAAGCAAAAATGGACTAATGGAATCACATCAAGTTAAAAAGCTTCTGCACTGCAAGGGAAATAATTGACGAAGTGAAGAGACAACTCACAGGATAGGAGAAAATATTTGCAAACTGCCCACATGATAAGGGATTAATAACCAGAATATATAAGGAGCTCAAACAACTCTACAGGAAAAAAATCTAATGATGTCATTTTGAAATGGTCAAAAGACCTTAATAGACACTTCTCAAAACAAGACATACAAATAGCAAACAGGCATATGAAAACGTGCTCAACATCATTGATCAGCAGAGAAATGCAGAGCAAAACTACAATAAGATATCATCTCACCCCAGATAAAATGGCTTTTATCCAAAAGTGAGGCAGTAACAAATGTTGGCAAGGATGTAGAGAAAAGGGAACCCTTGTATACTGTTGGTGGGAATGTAAATTAGTACAACCACTACGGAGAACAGTTTAGAGGTTCCTCAAAAAACTAAAAATAGAGCTACCTTACAACCTAGCAATCTCACTGCTAGATATATACCCAAAAGAAAGAAAATCCTTATATCAAAGAGATATCTGCACTCTCATGCTTATTGCAGCACTATTCACAGTAGCCAAGACTTGGAAGCAACCTAAGTGTTCATCAACAGATGAATGAATTAACAAAAAATATAGTACATATACACAATGGAGTACTATTCAGCCATAAAAAATGAGATCCTGTCATTTGCAAAAACATGGATGGAAATGGGGGTCATTATGTTAAGTGAAATAAGCCAGACACAGAAAGACAAACATCACATGTTCTCACTTATTTGTGGGATCTAAACATCAAAACAATTGAATTCATGGGCATAGAGAATAGAAGGATGTTTACCAGAGTCTGGGAAGGGGAGTGAGGGTTGGTGGGGAGGTAGGGATGGTTAATGGGTACAAAAAATAGAAAGTATAAATAATGTCTAGTATTTGACAGCACAACAGGGTGACTGCAGTCATTAATAATTTAATTGTTCATTTTGAAATAACTATAAGAGTATATAATTGGATTGTTTGCAACACAAGAGATAAATGCTTGAGGAGATAGACACACCATTTCTCATGATGTGATTATTATGCATTGCATGCCTGTATCAGAATATTTCATGTACCCCATAAATATTCACCTACTATGTGCCCACAAAAATTAAAAATTAAAAAAAATTTATAATTTTTTTTTTAAAAAGCAAAATAAAGGCTTTCTTTGAACAGGCATGTTCCCCCTGCAAGGAGACTCCTGCAGAAGGAGGGAAACTGACCTCATCATTACCACAATTAACCTGCTGCCATCCCTGTACTGGCTTCCCATTAAGACGCTCTCATGAAGCTCACACACCCTGTGAGATGAAAAGGTGTTGCTCACAGGCGAGGAAAGCAAGATGTGGAGAAGTTTTAATAACTTTCTGGCCAGGCACAGTGGCTCACACCTGTAATCCCAGCACTTTGGGAAGCTGAGGCAGGCGGATCACTTGAGACCAGGAGTTCGAGATCAGCCCAGGCAACATGGGGAAACCCTGTATCTACTAAAAATACAAAAATTAGCTGGGTGTGGAAGCAACACACCTGTATTCCCAGCTACTCTGGAGGCTGAAACCTGGGAGGCGGAGGTTGCAGTGAGCTGAGATTGAGCCACCGCACTCCAGCCTGGACTACAGAGCGAAAATTCGTTTTAAAAAAAAAACAAAAAAAACCCCACCTTCATATAAGACCCTTTAGGAGTTTTACAGGAGACAGTGGAATAAACAAGGGGCAGAATGACAGAGGTCAGGGCACATCCCAGCCGCAGCCCAGGGACCGAAGGGAAAAGTAGTTGAAAATGTGATACTAGCTATTGAAAATGCTTTAAATCTGCTTCATTAATTGTAAGGCATACAGAGATTTATTTGTTTCAATGCAGCATAAAAATACCATGTTTCTCCTAAAGATGTCCAAGGAATCAGGATCCCTCCTAACCCTGACTCAAGTCTAGGGGAGCTGGGTTTTAAGCGGCCGACTGCCTCAGCCTTGTGGGCCTGGCAGGAGGATTCTTCCTCACCACAGGCCTCCTGTCCGCAAATCCTGCTCTCTGGGTCTGTTTGCAAATGCCTCTCCGCTGCAGATGCCTCTTCCTTCTTCCCATGTGAGGCCAGGCACATCCCCTCTCCCTGGCAGGCAGATGGCAGAGGTGGGAAGTGAGTGCAGGAAGCCTGATTGCAGTTGGTTACAGGGGCGGGAAAGTGGCCCAGCAAAGCCTGAGGGAGGCCTTTTGATTCCAAAGATAGGGCAGCAACTGCCTCTTCCATGAGCTCATCATTGCTCTTCTTGCACACGTGTGTTTTGAAGAGAGAGGGAAAGAGGTGTGAACCACAAACACAGGGCGACTAAGATGCACCTTATGGTTCCAGGCATGTGCTTGAGGTGCGTGTAACTTTGTCTCTTGGTTCAGCTTCCTGTATTATTTTTCCAGCTCTTGTTGAAAGTCCATAAAGTTAAGTTCTGTTGATCCAGAAGTATAAATGACTAAAAAGAAATATAACAGATCTGATGGCAAAGAAGGAAGGGATTTCTCTGAAATGGGCAGTTTGGGCCAGGGATGGCGGCTTATGTCTGCAATCCCAGCACTTTGGGAGGCCAAAGCAGGAGGATAGCATAAGGCTTGGAGTGGGCAACACAGCAAGACCACATCTCTACAAAAACAATTAACCAGGCGAAGTGGCGCACACCTGTAGTCCCAGCTATGTGGGAGGCTGAGGCAGGAGAATCACTTGAACCCAGGAGATGGAGGTTGCAGTGAGCCAAGATCACGCCACTGCACTCCAGAGTGGGTGACAGAGCAAGACTTTGACTCAAAATAAATAAATAAATAAATTTAAAATAAAAATAGGCAGTCTGGTTTCTGAACAATATGGCCACATTGCCTCATAATGTTCTAACTTGCTTTTATTATGAAAATTGTGTGTATTTCTGAAGGATATTTGATGCTCTCTTTTGTAAATATTTTTTGGAAGCATTTTACATATGTTTATTTAATTTTATAAGGGTACAGACACATACTTAGTATTTCTTATTAAGTATATAATATGTGTCCATAACACCTTGGTATTTCTGAATAATTTAGAGAAAATAGACTTTCCCCCTTGAAAAGAATTTCTGCTTATAAAAATAGAGTTGCATTCAATTATTTTTATCAACATTAGTAATAATATTGGTTACTCATTCAAGTGGTGTGAATGTTTCAAATCAATTTCAGTCTGACCAATGTTTGCTTACAAAGCAGCCACAAGAACACCCTTGTTAACAGTAACTCAGAAAAGAAACTGACCAGCTCAGAGAAAGAAGCTGCTTAATCACTGCTCAGTCACAGACGCATTTAAGAAGTTCTGTCTATTCTGTGGTCAATATTGAGCAGGATTCCTGAATTGTAGCAATAAAGAAAAAACTCATTTTCCAAATAAATGTGTAATGTCCTAGAAACTGGAATTCTACACCCCCCTGCTGGATTTTCTGGTTTATGAGATTATTTTTAACAACATGGAAGAAAAACTGAGACATTGTATGGATTGGAAAGGCTGTCAGTTGTTCTAATAGGGTCATCTGCTCTCCAACTCAGGCTGCCACAAATGAGTATGAGGATTTATCATGGAACTAGCATTTGGAAGGCAATAGAATGAAACATGCAATTTAAAGCATTTTTGCCCTGAGACTAGGCACTAACATGATTTTTAGGAAGTGACTATTTTCTCCCAAAACATGACTTGTCCTTCCATTTTTTTAAGTGGTGGCTTTGCATAAGCAGAAATTTTTAATTGTGATCATGTTCAATTTATCATCTATTTAAATGGTTAATGCATTTTGTGTCATGTCTTAGAAATCTTTCCCAAGCATATGCAGATATTTTATATTTTCCTTAAGACTTTATAGTTTTATCTTTATTTATAAACATAATGCATCTTATATCACATATATATGTATATGTGTGTGTGTATATATATATATATATATATACACACATACACACACATCCAAATGTTCTAGCATCATTTATAGAAAAGAAGCTCTTTTCCTCATTGAATTGCTTTCATAGCTTTGTTGCAAATCAATTGGCCATTTATGTGTGGATCTATTTATGGGCTCTCTGTCTTGTTCCATGGATATATATGTCTACTGTTATGTAAATACTGCTTGGGTTTCTAATCCATCATGACAAATCATGCATGGATGTTAAACATTTGCTAAAATGTTGGCTTTTCTGTCCTAACCGTCATCCTGTTGCAAGTTTGCTCTTCATTTCACTTTGTCCCCAGGGATAAAAGCATTCCTGGGTCTGTTTTCACCTGGAAAAATCGTATACCTTTCTAGAAATTAATTAGCTTAGATTTCTTTATGTCCTCAGCTCTCTGGTGTGCTTAAAACAACCACCACCACCATGATACTACAACTTATCAGAGTTTTTCCTCTGCGACAGCGTGAAGGCAATGTTTCCTGCAATTTTCCACCTCTGGACTGAAGGCAGAAGTCCATGCAGGAAATTATATTTGAGAGGTGCAATTCCCGTAAGTAGTCAGGCTGCTCCAGATGGTGGTAGAGGGAAGCAAATAGAGCTTGGTGGTGGTGCATTCTGAGCATTAGGTTTTTCCAGATAACCCAAAGAATATGCTCTTATTTCATCTCCCTCTGGAAGCACAATGGTAGACACGCGCTTACTAGACATTGGAAATCAGCCTGGGAGCAATTTTTCTCATCTACAGTTGACCTTTGAGCAACATGGTTTTGGACTGAGAGAGTCCATTCATACTTAATAAGTCCTTCCTGCCTCCCTTTCTACCTCCTCCACCTTTCGCCTCTGCCACCCTTGAGGCAGCAAGGCCAAGCCCTCATCTTCTTCCTCCTCAGCCTACTCAATGTGAAGATCATGAGGATGAAAACTTCTATGAAGATCCACTTCCATGTAATGAATAGGAAATACATTTTCTCTTATGATTTTCTTAATAACATTTTCTCTTACTTTATTGTAAGAATTTAGTACATAATACATATAACATATAAAAGATGTGGTAATCAACTGTTTATGTGATTGATAAGGCTTTCTGTCAACATTAGGCTATCAGTGGTTAGTTTTTTGGAGTGTCAAAAGTTTCCTGTGGATTTCTGACTATTATGGGTTCGGCACCTTTAACCCATGCATTGTTCAAGGGTCAACTATACAATATTGGGCCAGAATTCAAAGCACATTAAATGGAACTAAGAGCAATCTGCATTTTCTAATTAGAAAGCAATATTCTCATTTGCATTTACAGAAAGACAAAGCAATGCAAAGCAAAAGCCAGATAGCATCATAGTCTTCTCCATGCTGTGCCCCTCCCAAGAGCGGGGGCACAGGCACATCGGGAGTCCCACTTCACCAGACACATACAGAGAAAGTTCCAGATGGCATGAAAACAAGAGAAAAGGAGCCTTGCTCCTCGAATGGCCACATGGAACCAAGAGCTTCTTTAGTCAGCCCTCCGTGTCTGGAGGTTCCATATCTGTGAATTCAACTAACCTTGGATTGAAAATATTAAACAAAAATGCACCTGTACTAAACATATACAAGATCTTTTTCTTGTCATTATTCCCTAAACAATACAGCATAACAACTATTTACATGGCATTTACTTTGCATTAGGTGGTATATATAATCTATAGATGATTTAAAGTATACGGGGAGGGGGCGTACCTTGGTTATATGCAAACGCTACTTCATTTTGTACCACGGAATTGAGCATCCCTGGATTTTGGTATTTGAGGGAGGTCCTCGGACTAATCCTCCAAAGATACTTAGTGACAACTGTTTATATTTCCTGGTTTCTACGTGAGAAAAAAACAGACTTCTTTGTACTTAAGGTATGAAATGTTATTCTCTTTCTTGCAGCCACTTAGCCTTGCCCCTGACTAATGCCATAGTTCGCCCAGTGGTTTGAAGCCTATTTCTGTAATGATCTACTGCAGAGATGGGGACCAGGAAAATAGACAACCACGGAGCTCTGTACAGATCATCATATTAACTCCTACAACTCATCGTATTAATTCCTCAAAGGGCACTTAATTAGAAGTCCTAGGTGATGACACCTGGGAGCACCTTTGCTTGTTTTGAAAACAGATGGAAAGTGATAAGGGTATAGAAAGGAGAGAAATGATGAACAAGGGAAGCAAGTGGGAATAGCAAATATAATTGTACAGAGAGTTCGAGGAGTTAGGAATGGGGCAGGGGCGTAGGCCAGGCGTGGTGACTCACGCCTGTAATCCCAGCACTTTGGGAGGCTGAGGCGGGCGGACTGCTTGAGCTCTGGAGTTCAAGAACAGCCTCGGCAATATGGTGAAACCTCATCTCTACTAAAAATACAAAACACTAGCCAGGTGTGGTGGTGGGCGCCTGTAATCCCAGCTACTCAAGAGGCTGAGGTGGGAGAATCGATTGAGCCCAGGAGGCAGAGGTTGCAGTGAGCCAAGATGACTCTGTCTCAAAAAATAAATAAATAAATAAAAGAAATGGGCAGGGGTGGGTCAGTCTGAAAAATATGAAAGAGAGAAATTCAGCCGGTGTTATAGAACATTATTTTCAATCCCAGATTGTCAACATGTAACAGGATTTTTGAAGGGAAGGAGGTAGCAAAAATTTTAACCAGACGAGCTAATCTTTGGACATCTGGAGTAGTCCCATAAGAAAGCTGTGCTTCAGGCTGGGTGCAGTGGTTCACACCTGCAAGCCCAATTCTTTTAAAGGCTGAGGTGAGTGGATCATTTGAGGCCAGGAGTTCAAGACCATTCTTGGCAACATAGCGAGACTCCATCTCTACAAAACTTTTTTTTAAAAAAACTAGCTGAGCATGGTGGCACACACCTATAGTCCCAGCTACTCGGGAAGCTGAGGCAGGAGGATGGCTTGAGCCCAGGAGTTTGAGGCTGCAGTGAGCTATGATAGTGCCACTGCACACCAGCCTGGGTGACAGAGTGAGATCCTGTCTCTAACTGTGCTCCCAATCTATGGTTCCTGTCTGTAGTGGCAGAATTTTAAGATGGCTCCTAGACCTTTGCTTTCTGGTGTCACTCCTGAGATCATTACATGTTATATTGAAAAGGCCAGTTAGGTTACCTGGGTGGGTCTAATCTTATCACATATGCCCTTTGAAAGCAGAGTTTTCTTCAGCTGGCAGTAGAAGTAAGAGAATTTTGAGGCATGAGAAGGACTTGATGCTCCATTGCTGGTTTGAAGATGGGGAAGGACACACAAGAAGGAATGAGAGTGGCCTTTAAATCTGAGAGTGGCCTCAGCTGACAGCGGGCAAGGAAACAGGGACCTCAGTCCTGCAGCCTCATGGAACAGAAATCTGCCAACAGCTTGAATGAGCCAGTAATTGAATTCTCCCCAGAGCCTTCAGATAAAAGCCGTGAAAGGAAGATATATTGGGCCACCAAAATCACTAAGCTAAAGGGAAAAGTCAAGCTGGGAACTGCTTAGAGCAAATTTGCCTCCCATTCCACTCAAAGTCACCCTTCTGCTCACTGAGATGAATGCATATATGATTGCCTCCTTTGGAAAGGCTAATCAGAAACTCAAAAGAATGTGACCATTTGTCTCTTATCTACCTGTTATCTGGAAGCCCCGCACTACTTCTAGTTGTCCCGGCTTTTCAGACTGAACCAGTGTTCATCTTACATTTGTTGACTGATGTCTCATGCCTCCCTAGAATGTATAAAACCAAACTGTGTTCTGACCACCTTGGACACATGTCATCAGGACCGCCTGAGGCCGTGTCACAAGTGTGCATCCTCAACCTTAGCAAAGTAAACTTTCTAAATTAACTATCTGTCTCAAATGCTCGTGATTCACAAAGCCCAGTGCACTTTTATTTAATCTTGGGATGTCCTAAGCAGAGAACTCAGCCACACCATCCCAGACTTCTAACCCACACAACAAAGAGGTAAAAATGTGTGCTGCTTTTAGCCTCTAGGTTTGTTATCATTTGCTGTGTGTCAATAGAAAACTGATACTCAAGTTGTGCCGGTAGGTACAGATGCTTCCAGGTGTGTTGGTTGGGGAAGGCAGGTGAGGATGAGCCCAGTGAGAAGAGGCTGGGATGCAGATGCAATGAAGGAGAAAGAGTGGGACCCAAAAGGGGAAACTGCAGACTTGTTGTCCATCAGGCAGGCAGCCACATGCTATCTAAGACCTAAAAGGCTCTGGTGATTCAAAGAATTGGTTTCCATGAGGTCCTGCCAGTACCAAGGAGGTCACACCGAGCAGCCCCACTGTTCAGGTTTAGCATCACTGCAAACTCCCAGCAGGGCCCAGCCAGTCCCCAGCCAGAAGAGAAGGAAGGGAGACTTAGTGAGGGAGTTTATAAGAAACAGACAGGTGTCAGGACCCCGGAGAAACAGTCTGGGGGTAGGACAGAGCTCTTATCAGTGAGAAGTTGGACAACCCAGAAATATCTCAGGCACCTGGGACTAAGCCAAAATACTGGGGAGAGAAAAACAGAGATGATGGGGTTAGGACATGGGGCCAAGAGAAGCTGCAGCTCCGTGTCTTATAATGATACCAGGTCAGCCACATAGAACTAACCCCAGCCTGCACCAACTCCAGGACAAAAATAGTAATCTCTGTTGACACTCAGGATGCATTGAAGAGCTGGAAGTAGACCACACCGGAGCTGCTAGTAGCGGTCTTAAGGAGCTGAGGAAGAATGCCGCTAGTGTCTATGAAGGACTCACACTGTGTAGAACGATGAACTCACCTCAATACAAGTTTAGCTTCAGTTTGGGCCAGGGGCAGAGAAGTGGACTGTGACGGAGGTGGGGTGCGGATGTCCATGACCATAGGCAACTTCCTTTGATGCTGTCAACTTTAATTTTATAAACTGCAAAACTGGCGTACTAATCCCTGCTATTGGGGTTCAAAACATACCACTCCAAAATATGACTGTAGAATCCATCACCTCACAATGTGCCTCTTTGGTATATTGATTACTTTGAGCTGATTATTTTGAGAAAATGTGAACACAAAAGTAACTCTGAAAAACTCCCCTATAAATTTACTCCTATAAAGGAAATTTTCATTAGTAAAAGTATGCACACCAGGAAGACAGCTACTCCCAGACATCTTTCTCACTTACAGACTTTTATCTGCATGACGAGGCAGAACCTCTTCCCCGACATGTCCTCCCCTCACCCTTCCATGCCCTGCCTCCACCACCCCTGAAGCCCCAGCCCCTCTTCCTTTCTGGAGCTCAGGATGTCAATTAAGTTTCAGTCATCTGGCCCTTCTCACATTTTTGTCTCACATTTTTGTGGGACTGCTGTGCATACGTACGTAATTAGAATAGTTTTTATCCTGTTCATTTTTTTTTTTCTTGAGACAGAGTCTGGCTCTGTTGCCCAGGCTGGAGGGCAGTGGCAAAATCTCGGCTCACTGCAACCCCCATCTCCCAGGTTCAAGCAATTCTCTGCCTCAGCCTCTCGAGTAGCTGGGATTGCAGGTGCCCACCACCATGCCTGACTAATTTTTTTTGTATTTTTTAGTAGAGTCAGGGTTTCACCACATTGGCCAGGCTGGTCTCGAACTCCTGACCTCAAGTGGTCTGCCTGCCTCGGCCTCCCAAAGTGCTAGGATTACACACATGAGCCCCTGTGCCCAGACTGTTCATACTTTTTTTGTTAATCTAATTCATAGCCCAGTCAAAGAACCTAGAAGGGTGAAGGGAAGCCCTTTTTTCCTTCACTACACTGCCCTGTCATGAAGGTAATAATGTGTGAAAGGAAAATAAACCTTGGGACTCCAGAATCACTAAGCCAAAATCACTAAGGGAAAAGTCAAGCTGGGAGCTGCTCCGGCCAACCTGCCTCCCATTATATTCCTAAATAAGACAGCTACAAAGACAAAAAAGCTACATATCTCCCTCACAATTTTCCCGCAAGAAAATTCCCAGTGGATGAAAGACAGGGCTAAGTTGTGATTTTTTCTTATTTTGCCCAAATTCCTATCTAAGGAGTCTGGGGAGTCATGCCCTACAAACCACAAATTCTCATCAGATGGGTTTTATTTAACCCTATATATCGTGACTTACTTTCCAATGTGACTCTGGCATAACATTTTGTGACAAAGAAGAAGATAAAAATATTTTACCCCAAAATATGTTTCTTTGCCATATTTTGAAATGGCCCACTACACTGCCCTGTCATGAAGGTAATAATGTGTGAAAGGAAAATAAACCTTGGGACTCCAGAATCACTAAGCCAAAATCACTAAGGGAAAAGTCAAGCTGGGAGCTGCTCCGGCCAACCTGCCTCCCATTATATTCCTAAATAAGACAGCTACAAAGACAAAAAAGCTACATATCTCCCTCACAATTTTCCCGCAAGAAAATTCCCAGTGGATGAAAGACAGGGCTAAGTTGTGATTTTTTTCTTATTTTGCCCAAATTCCTATCTAAGGAGTCTGGGGAGTCATGCCCTACAAACCACAAATTCTCATCAGATGGGTTTTATTTAACCCTATATATCGTGACTTACTTTCCAATGTGACTCTGGCATAACATTTTGTGACAAAGAAGAAGATAAAAATATTTTACCCCAAAATATGTTTCTTTGCCATATTTTGAAATGGCCCTGCAAAGCCATCCTTTGTGGGGGAAAATTTGCATCTGTAAAAAATCTCTATCAACATAGCTAGATCTTTTTCTTCCAGGCCCCCCCACCCAGTCCTGAAGAGATTAACTGAGAGTCTAGTACCTTTTGGAGGTCTGAATAGGAAATATTTGTCATTTATTGTCTCTATGGGCAGCCACTATAAGACTTCAAAAGAATCTTGGTCTTTACAATCTTTTATCTTAACCTGAATATTCCATTTCTTTCTTTCTTTCTTTCTTTCTTTCTTTCTTTCTTTCTTTCTTTCTTTCTTTCTTTCTTTCTTTCTTTCTTTTCTCTTTCTTTCTTTCTTTCTTTCTTTCTTTCTTTCTTTCTTTCTTTCTTTCTTTCTTTCTTTCTTTCTTTTTTTTCCCAAGAGTGTCTCACTCTGTTGCCAGGCTGGAGTGCAATGGGGTGATCTCTGCTCACTGCAACCTCTGGCTCCCAGGTTCGAGGAATTCTCCTGCCTCAGCCTCCTGAGTAGCTGGGATTACAGGCAGCCACCACCACGTCAGGCTAATTTTTGTATTTTTGGTAGAGACAGGGGTTTCTCCATGTTGGCCAGGCTGATCTGGAACTCCTGACCTCAGGTGATCCACCCGCCTCCCAAAGTGCTGGGATTACAGGCGTAAGCCACCATGCCCGGCCCCGAACATTCCCTTTATATCCATCCCAGGTCTTCAGACAAACTCAACCGATTGCCAACCAGAAAATGCTTAAATTCACCTATAGCCTGGAAGCCCCTGCTTCAAACTGTCCTGCCTTTCTGAACCAAATCAATGTATTTCTCAAATGTATTTGATTAATGTCTCATGCCTCCCTAAAATATATAAAATCAAGCTGCACTCCGACCACCTTGGACACATGTTCCCAGGACCTCCTGAGGGCTGTGTCATGGGCCGTGGTCACTCATTTTTGGCTCAGAATAAATCTCTTCAGATATTTCACAGAGTTTGACTCTTTTCGTCAACAACAGACAGAACTCAAAGTCATCCCTCTGCTCATGTGAGACAAATGCAAATCTGATTGCTTCCTTTGCCCTATTGTTTCACTAAGCCAGATTAAGGCGTAAGCGACTATTCCTGTAAATGGCACATTCAATGAAGAGCTAATCAGAAACGCAAAAGGATGCAACTGTTTTTCTCTTTTCTACCTAAGACCTGGAAGCCCCCTCCCCACTTGGAGTTGTCCTACCTTTGCAGACCGAAGGAACCAGTGTTTATCTCTTGTCTCCCTAAAATGTATAAAACCAAGCTGTGCCTGGACCACCTCGGGCACATGTTGGGACCTTCTGAGGCTGCATCACAGGTGCATCCTTAACCTTGACAACATAAACTTTCTAAATCGATTGAGACCTGTCTCACATACCTTTTGGTTTACAACTGTGAAATATATGTGTATCTGAAATATATATGTAAATATATGTGAACGTTCTCTTAAGCTGTCAGGTGAGAGGCGCTGGTGTATCATTTAATTACCCACCACCATGGTTCTAACAGAGCTGGCCAAACAAGAGAGGGATGTGATCTGACTCTTCAAGTGAGCCCACACAAGCACAGCAGACAGATCCTAGCACCCAGTCTTCCTATTTGAGAATACTGTGGTGCCAGCCAAGGCAAGGAATTACCCGATTTTATTACATCCCATACTCTTAAATATGTATTAGATACCTACAGCCTTGCTTGTGCCGATACCATGGAAGGATGCAGCAAAGATTGCAGACTTGCCTGGTGACTGATGGCGACATTAAAACAGGCAAAAATGCCCCTCTCTGATCTTCCTCACTCTCCGAAGGCATAGGAGTTGACTTTCGGATAGCAAATGCAGCAATCCCTGGAGGGTTTTCAGCCAGCCGCCTGTGTGGAATTTAAAGTATTATGCATGATTAATTACCAAAAAATTCAGGCAGGCACTCTCTGTCAGGAAAGTGTTTAAAACCTTCCTGGTGGCAGATTGTGCTGCTAGCAAGAAAAATAGATGCTTCAATACCACTCAGTTTCCAAATGCATTTCCTTTCAGAAATGCTTGTGTTAGCCTGCAAATATGTGCTGTCCTACTCTGGCAATTTTAGATGCGCAGCCCCGAAGCAAAGGCTCCTTCCTGTCCTGCCAGAGAAGGGGGCGCGATTGGATGCCATGCAGAGGTGCATGACACGCATCACAGGTACGTGGCTGCCTGTCTCCTGGGCACCCTTTCCATTTTTCCTTTGCAGAATTTGTCTATGCAGCATATTAAAAATCTACCTCTACCTTGATACACTGAAGTTCTCGCAGTGAAAATGTTTATTAAGAAACATATCTGTGCCAGCCGTGGAGGCTCACGCCTGTAATCCCAGCACTTTGGGAGGTGGAGACGGGTGGATCACCTGAGGTCAGGAGCTTGAGACCAGCCTGGCCAACATGGTGAAACCCCATCTCTACTAAAAATACAAAAAAAAAAATTAGCCAGGTGTGGTGGCGGGTGCCTGTAATCCCTGCTACTCAGGAGGCTGAGGCAGGAGAATCACTTGAACCCTGGAGACGGAGGTTGCAGTGAGCCGAGATTGCGCTATTGCACTCCAGCCTGGGCAACAAGAGGGAAACTCTGTCTCAAAAAAAAAAAAAAGAAAGAAAGAAAGAAAAAAAAGAAACAGATTTTTGCCAGGCATGGTGGCTCATGCCTACAGCACCAGCCAGTTGGGAGGCTGAGGTGGGAGGACAGTTTGAGCCCAGGGGTTCCAGCCTGCAGCGCACTATGAACTCTCCTGATGAAAAGCCACTTATTCCAGCCTGGGTTACCTCACCCCCCAAAAAAAATGTTTTGGAAAAAGCTTTAGTTCCAGAAATGTGATCATCTTGATATAATTTTAGAGGGAATTGTTTTTCATAGCCACCACAGTGGAGGGAAAAGTGCTTTCTTCTATCCTTCTAGGTACTTTCGTTGGTCTACAAAATAAGTTGACATAAGACACATTAACCGGAGAAAAACACTTTTAATTATGTACGTACTCACAGGGAGTGTGACAAACATAGGAGACTCAACAAAGCAGCTAGATGACTGAGACTTATACGCTCTCCCTATCCTGAGCTACAGAAAGGAGCAGGGGCTTGGGCTTTGGGGGAGAGTGGAGACATGTTATGAGAGTAAAACCATCTTTGCAAAATTATAACTGAGGAAATTATGACAGTGAAAGAAATCAGACCTAACCAACTCCATCTTGCTTCTAACCCTTAAGCTGTCCTTGTTCGTTCCTGGGCATAGGCAGAACTAACTTTGGGAAGGAATTCAGCTCATGGTTTGACCCTAAAACAAAATTGATAACAACCCTTTCCTGAAAAGAACCCCTTCTTGCCTGGGACCAGTCTGCCTTTGCAGGACTAACAAATTAGCTACAAGATTAGAAATTACAATTTAGGGGTCATGCAGCCTCTGGTTCCAAGAGTCTGAACCTCCCCAGATTGCTCCTGGGGATAACATCACTATTGTAAAACCTAAGATCAGCACTTGAGATATCTCGCAGACCCTGCACTCAATGGATCAGCTGACACTAGCTAAACTGGTAATCCGGCCCAACCAGTTCTGCCATGGCACCCAGGAATAGAAGACATTAAAAAAACCTAACTTCAACCCCCTGTGATTCCATCTCCAACCTAATCAATCCCCACCTCCCAAGCCCCTATGTGCCAAATTATCTTTAAAAACTCTGATCCCCGAATGCTTGGGGAGACTGATTTGAGTAACTATGAAATTCTGGTCTCCTACACAGCCGGCTCTGTGTGAATCACTCTTTCTCCATTGTCGTTCCCCTGTCTCGATAAATCGGTTCTATCTAGGCAGCAGGCAAGGTGAGCCCATTGGGTGGTTACAAGAGGGTAACAAGAGGGGAGGAAATGTATGGTGAATAAGCATTGCCTGGTTACCCAGATAAAAGTCTCTCTGTCAGAGGTGTTTCAACCAGAGCAACTCCATATTGAATAGGTGCTAAGTAAGATAAGGCTGGACCTGCTGGGCTGCATTCCCAGGAGGTTAGGCATTCTTAGTCACAGAATGAAATAGAAGGTCAGCACAAGATACAGGTCATAAAGATCTTGCTGATGAAACAGGTTGCAGTGGGCCGGGCTCAGTGGCTCACGCCTGTAATCCCAGCACTTTGGGAGGCTGAGGTGGGAGGATCATGAGGTCAGGAGATCAAGACCATCCTAGCTAACCCGGTGAAACCCCTTCTCTACTAAAAAAAATACAAAAAATTATCTGGGCGTGGTGGCAGGCACCTGCAGTCCCAGCTGCTCGGGAGGCTGAGGCAGGAGAATGGCGTGAACCCAGGATGCCAAGCTTGCGGTGAGCGGAGATCGTGCCACTGCACTCCACCCTGGGCAACAGAGTGAGACTCTGTCTCAAAATAAATAAATAAATAAATAAATAAATACAAGTTGCAGTAAAGAAGCTGGATAAATCCCACCAAAACCAAGACAGCCATGAGCATGAACTCTGGTCGTCCTCACTGCTACACTCCCACCAGCGCCATGACAGTTTACAAATGCCATGGCCACGTCAGGAAGTTACCCTACATGGTCTAAAAAGGGGAGGCATGAATAATCCACCCCTTGCTCAGCATATCATCAAGAAATAACCACAAAAATGGGCAACCAGCAGTACTCGGCGCTGCTCTGCCTATGGAGTAGCCATTCTTTTATTCCTTTACTTTCTTAATAAACTTACTTTCACTTTACTCTGTAAACTCGCCCTGAATTCTTTCTTGCATGACATCCAAGAACCCTCTCTTGGAGTCTGAATTGGGACTCTTCCCCATAACATCTCTGTTGTAAAATTATCTCTGTTCCTAGTACAGCCATCTTTACTAATGAAATGTTTTTGTAGGTATAAATTTCCTGTACAAAAGGGGAACTTTTTGCTTTGTTTTAGCAGTTGGGGGAGGTAAAGCACTTTCTCTGCTTTGGCTGATTCTTAACTTATTTTAGTTCAAAGTAATGAATATGCCAAAGTGGAATATTTGGTGATGGCGTATCTTGAGCCCTCTGTTCCAGCTAAATCCTGCTTCATGAGGAAAGAAGAGGGTCCTTTAGAAGTGCCATCATTGCTCGAGATGATCCTGTAGCTGCCCTGCAATTAATTGTATAAACATACTAGGTGAACTTGGAGTTCTCCTAGAAAATAGAAGAAAACCCTGAAAAGTCTCTGTCACTCTGCAGGTTATGACTACCATAAGGACATGTTATACAATACACGTGACCATGCTTGCAGTTCTGTTCTGCAGGATGCCATGCAGCCATGCATGCTAAGGTTAGAAAAATAGACTGAAAACATAAGATAGACTGTTAAGTAATAAAATTAAGAAATAAAATAGTATAAACTGTACATTTTTAACCATCCTATTTAAAAATTAATTTTCTAAAAAAACACTGAAAGGCCAGGTGTGGTGGCTCCCGCCTGTAATCCCAGCACTTTGCGAGGCCAAGGTGGGTGGATTACCTGAGGTTAGTAGTTCAAGATCAGCTTGGTCAATGTGGTGAAACCCTGTCTCTACTAAAAACACAAAAATTAGCCAGGTGTGGTGGGTGCCTGTAATCCCAGCTACTCGGGAGGCTGAGGCAGGAGAATCTCTTGAACCTGGGAGGCGGAGGTTGCAGTGAGCCAAGATCATGCCATTGCACTCCAGCCTGGGCGACAGAGCAAGACTCCATCTCAAAAAAAAAAAAAAAAAAAGAAAAGAAAAGAAAAGAAAAAAGAAAAAAACACTGAATGGAAATGGATCACATGATTCTTTTCTCCCCACTTTTCTCTGTTTACCAAATCCCTTTATTGAGCAAGTATTACTTTTACAATGATAAAGGAAAAGAAAGAAAACAAGGAGTGACAGAGCTCAAGGCCGGAGACCATGCTGCTGATGGGCTGTGTCATCTAAGTCCAGCTCCTCTAATGTTTTCTGAGCACCTGCCAGGCTCAGTGGACACACTGGGATACTACTCAGGGCAAGACACCATGTTATCCTCCTGCAGCAACAATCGCTCCCTTTCTGTACCGCTCACACAACTTCACCTTGCCTCATCTCAGCAGATGCAATGGATCAGAACCTATGGCTAAATGACCTTGTCAGCACAGCCACCTGGATGTTGTATGGCAGATGCACCTGAGAGCAATAACTTTACCCCGAGAATGACCCTGTGGCCTAAGAAGAATGTGTGTACCTTGTCCCAAGCTAAGGAATCCAAGAGTAGCAGATCTGGAGAGTCTTTCCTTATCCATGAAGGATGTCCAAACCCCTGGCCCATCCTTTGGAAAGCAGGCCATACAGAGGATTGAGGCCCTTTGTTTTGGGTCAAATGAGGTTGCCAGGTGGAGATGGCTAGGTGGAAGGTGCTAAGTGAAAATGTGATATAAACTGCATGCTTTTTAGAAACAGTAGCAGTTCTCCAGTCTAGCCCACTGCCACTGGACTGTCCCTGTGTGTTTGTAAATTCTTCAGATAAACCCCGTGACTCACTTATTATCTCTGGACTTCTTTTTTGGCCTCTCAGACATACTGCCATCCTTACGGGAGTCAGTACGGGTTCAGCACAACAGTTGTGACATTCTAGACCACTCTGAAACCACCTTTGGCAGTGAGGGAAGTCTCACATGGAAAAATTCTGGCAGTGAAAGAAATTGGACATCGCTGATTCCACCCTACTTCTAACCTCACAGGATGCCCTTGTTCATTCCTGGGCGTAGGCCAAACTAACCTTCAGATGAATTTAGTTTATAGTGTAACTTTGAAACAAAGATGACAACATCCCCTTCCTAAAACTAACCGCCTCCTTGCTCTGGGACTGAAACCACCTTTGTAAAACTGACAAATTAGACACAAGGTTAGAACTGTGGTTCAGGAGTCTTGCAGTCGAAGGTCGCAAGATTGCAACCTCCTGTAGGGAACGTCACTACTGTTAAACCTAGGACTGGTATGTGAAGTGTCTTTTGGACCTTGCATTTTGATGGACCAGCTGTGGCCACCTGGACTGGTAACCCATACCAAGACAGTGACTCAGCTGGTCTTGTAACCTTCACCTAGGAACTGATTCAGCACAAAACGACAGCTTCAACCCGCTATGATTTACCAACTAAGATGGACCCTAAAGTTAATGAAACAGAGTTACTTACAGGCCGGGCGCGGTGGCTCACGCCTGTAATCCCAGCACTTTGGGAGGCCGAAGTGCGTGGATCACAAGGTCAGGAGATCGAGATCATCCTAGCTAACACAGTGAAACCTTGTCTCTACTAAAAATCCAAAAAAAAAAAAAAAACAAAACCCAAATTAGCCGGGCATGGTGGCGGGCGCCAGTAGTCCCAGCTAGTCAGGAGGCTAAGGCAGGAGAATGGCATGAACCTGGGAGGTGGAGCTGGCAGTGAGCCAAAATCACACCACTCTGCCTGGGTGACAGAGCGAGACTCCGTCTCAAAAAAAAAAAAAAAAAGTTATTTACAAATGGAAGTTTAGGGCCTGGCTGGCATGGCAAATTTCTAAATTCTTACAGCTACAAGAAAAACCACACCCTTGCTAAACTCTCCAACAAAAGGAATTATTAGGCTGATTTACAACCCAGACCACTACAACCCTGATTGGAAAGAGAATCGGCCTTACAAGCATTCTTTTTTTTTTTTTTTTTTTTTGAGACAGAGTCTGGCTCTGTCACCCAAGCTGGAGTGCAGCGGTGAGATCTCGGCTCACTGCAAGCTCCACCTCCCAGGTTCACGCCATTCTCCTGCCTCAGCCTCCCAAGTAGCTGGGACCACAGGCGCCCGCCATCACGCCTGGCTAATTTTTCTATTTTTAGTAGAGACAGGGTTTCACCATGTTAGCCAGGATGGTCTCGATCTCCTGACCTTGTGATCCACCTGCCTCGGCCTCCCAAAGTGCTGGGATTACAGGTCTGAGCCACTGCGCCCGGCCACAAGCATTCTTTTCTGATAAGCAACTACGGAACTTAAGCCAGTTTCAACAGCTTATAGAGGCTGAGCACAAACTGTCTCTGTGTTCTATAGTTCACCTTTTGACATAAAGACCCAAATTCCACCTCATTTTAATGCAAAAAACCCCATCCCAAAGTGAACATGGGATGTATGTTACATATATTATGTATGTATATATATGGATATGTACATTTATATGTTAATATGTATACATATTGCATGCATATATACATGTATAAGTATATGTGTATTCATTTAGCATGTAAATATGTTACCCATTCTGCATGTGCATAAATATGTACATAACACCCATAACTATGTACAGCTTTCCCTCCAAACCTGCTGAATATGTTTGACTCTATTGTGTAATGTGGACCCTGTGAGGCATAAAACCCAAATTGTCCTTCCAGTCTTCAAAGAGAGAGCACCTTCAGTCCATGCTGGCGACTTTCTCCTCCTGGCTTGCAAACCAATATCATCAATAAAGGTCTCCTTCCTAATATTTAGCCATCTTGGTAGTGTTTTGGATGACAAAAGGTTTAAAGAGTTGTGACCAATGTCCATCTATGGCAAAAAGTCAACTTCCGTCTAAGCCGAGTTGGCACCCTGGGAATTGGATTACCTTGCTCAGGACAGCAAATACGTCTAGAACTTGGAACCAGAGTCAGTGAGGTCCAAGTCCCCTAATGGCTCAAGAGACTTCATTCACTTAGGCTTAAGGAATACATTTCTACTCCTAAACCAGTCACTGTTACTCTAATGTAGTGTACGTCCTTCAGGCTCTACAAGTCCAAAACTGAATCATGCTCCTGTGCGTCTCCTACACTGTTAACGATACTGTTGAATACCCGATCACTCAGTGACCAAACTTCACTGGTCTCCCCTGTGTGTTCATCTCCCAAGTCCTCCACGTTCAGGTTATTTTGCAGCCTTGTTTTTGTCTCTGAGCCCCTTCTTTAAGCTACTCTCCCCTTTCCCTTTGGTTGATGATTCAGGTTACGCTCTCCTGATTTTTGGGCAAAACCACTCCTCCTTCTGCTGTGCTGCTCCAGAGGTTGTTCTTTTGTTTGTTTGTTTTGTTTTGTTTTGTTTTGCGATGTAGCCTCACTCTGTTGCTCAGGCTGGAGTACAGTGGCACCATCTCGGCTCAATGAAACCTCCGCCTCCCGGGTTCAAGCAATTCTCCTGCTTCAGCTTCCCAAGTAGCTGGGATTACAGGCACCCACCACCACACCCGGCTAATTTTTGTACTTTTTGTAGATACGGTGTTTTGCCATGTTGGCCAGGCTGGTCTTGCACTCCTGACTTCAGGTAATCCACCCACCTCGGCCGCCCAAAGTGCTGGGATGACAGGCGTGAGTCACTGCGCCCGGCCCAAGGTCACTTCCTTAAGGTCTGTACAGTCAGGTCTTTGACTGCCTTTCATGCCTTCCCTGCATTCCTTGGTGTCTCCTACCTCTGCACCTTTGCCTGTGCTGCTCCTTCTGCCCAGCAGGCCCTTCTCCCTTTTTTCTCTGGTGGTCTCCTGCTCATTCTTCATGTTCCAGATCGTTGTTTTCTTCCCCTAAACCTCTCCATTCCTCTTCTGTCTGTAAGCTGCCTCTCTGCTTTTGCTCTTCTCTCTACTGGTAGAGTCCAGAGGGGTGTCTGACTCCCCCCCAGACTCTGTGCTGCCAGAAAACAGCCCACAACCTGCTTATTGTGTGACCAGGTGCTAGCACACACCTGGCCTGTGGGAGCTGCATGGCGAAATGAAAGGATGACTGATGAACGATTTTTTTCCCGTAGCCTGGGAAGAGAGCTCACCTTTCTTCTTTCGGCAGGTAGTTACTGGCCACCACCTTCAAACAAACCTTCAAATGTGCCAGGTGCAGTATCTGATAACCAAGGAATTTCAGATGAGAAGAAAAGCATAAAAAATGAAACCTACCATAATTGAAAACCCGTAATGACTCCATGGTGGCAAGCTGTGACCTCTCATTCCAGGGCTCTTCTTCTGCATGTTGCCTAAATTCAGTTCCATTAATTCCACATGTTGTCACAATTACCCATTTCTGAAAATAATGTATACTCATACATAAATATAATACATTCCTGAGTGCCTCTGAAGACCCAGCATATAGACAAAAGGGTTATTTGTAAACCGGTTGCTGTGGTTGGAATGTGTCCCCCAGAGGTCCTGTGTTGGAACCATAACTCCTAGTGCAACAATGTTGAAAAGTGGGGACTTAGGAAGTGATTAGGTCATGAGGGCTCTGCCCTCTGATGGATTCATTGCATCATGATGGAGGTGGGTTCACTATTATGCGAGTGGGTTCCTGACAAAAACGGTTGAATTCAGACCCTCCCCATCTCTTGCAGTGAGTACTCTCTTGCTCTTCCACCTTTTGCCATGAGATGACATGGCAAGAAGGCCCTTGCCAGATGAAGCCCCTCAACCTGGCACTTCCAAACCTCCAGAATTGTAAGAAATAAGTTTCCTTTCTTTATAAATTATCTAGTCTGTGGCATTCAGTTATAGCAGCACAAAATGGACTGGGACCATGTTCACATACCTAATCTGCTTTGCTAGGCAGAGTTGCTTGAAGGCAGAAACATAAATTGCCTCGTACCTTACAGTTGAGTGTATAGCTGAGCCATGAATGAAAGCAGATTTATTCATTTAATAGGCACATCTTTCAAGCAGGCTTTGATTATTCTCAAATTATTCTCACTGAGAGAAAGGACACCTCCCAACCACAGTGGTCAGCTGTCACATCAGTAAGTATTCAACACCCAGCTTTTAGGACCTCCCAGTCCCACCACACAGCTGGAGGATGCCACTGTTTGCAGAGAAAGGTGTCGTGCGATGAGGCATTAGGTGAGGGCAACTCACAAAATCAAAGCACAGGGGCGGTGGGCATCATGGCTGCCATTCATCACACAGGCTGCATCTGCCACCACCACCAGCCTTCCAGCAGTGGGAACCCCCGGGGCCACCACCTCAGCTGTGATCTCCCTGCAGCCCCTTCCTCTGTCCACTCTCTATTTGTGAAACAGGTTCACCAACAACCAATCCAATCCCAAGGGAGGACTCCACTGCATGGAGGAGAGCAACCATCAGAAACAGGAGTCCAAGCAATTCTGCTCCCTGGAGTGCAATGCTACCAACTGCCCAAGACGAGTGAGACAGAACACACTCACAATTGGTTATAGGAAATAGGTTTATTACTCACAGATAGGGAGCAGGGGACGAAAGAAGACTAGGTTCCACTGTGAGCCAGTCCCCCAAGGCTCAAGAAGCCTTCCCAGAGCAGATGGAGTCTCGACTTCATCTGCCCCGCTTCCACTACAGCTGAGGAAACCTGGCAGGCAGCCCACCCTGGGTTCTAGAACTCAGGGGACACGTGGCTCACTAGGAAAAGCTTTGCTAAAGCAAACGAAATATGGCCTGAGAAGGACTCCATACTTCTATATTTGAGTCCTTGTGGATGAACTATAACCTAGCTTAATAGGCAAAGATTGAAAACCTAACTAAGGAGTATGTGCTTGTAACAATATTAAGTCTTGGCCAATCCCAGCAGCCATACTTCAACCACTCACAGACTGCTGAGTGTTCAAACTACTCAAACAAGGCAAACGCCAACCTGTAACCAATCCAGCTGTTTCTGTACCTCACTGCTGATTTCTGTTTGTCACTTCCCTTTTTTTGTCTATAAATTTGTTGTGACCACGAGACACCCCTGGCGTCTCTCTGAATCTGCTGTGAATCTGGGGGCTGCCCGATTCGCAAATTGTTCATTGCTCAATTAAATTCCTTTCAATTTAATTCGTCTAGCTGAAGTTTTTATTTTAACAGCTTTGAAGGACGTGCTGCTTCCGGGAGAGAGAGAAACTAAGCCTGGGCTGTCTAAGACAGCCCCTCCCCAAGATATCACCTTCCCTAGGAGGGGCAGGAACAAGGCCCACTGTTCTGGGCAGTTTCTCCCTGTCTCAGGATATTGCATTCCCAGCACACGCCACACTTACTCTGCAAACCACAGGCAAGAAGTAAAGTGGGGAGATAGCCGGTTGGCCAAGGCTATCCCGGGACTGTCCAGTACTATTCAAGGCCCCCTCAAATCTCAACACTCGCTTCTTATGGAGACACCAAGACCTTGTACATTCTGGGGGAAACCTTCCCCACACTCTTGAATTCATTACCACATGCTCCGTGCTGGCCTGTCACATACGTGTAATGATACATTTGATTACTTGTCACTCTTTCTTTAATGCTTGTCCTCCCTGTAATTCTGTTAGGCCACAGATAAACCACTTCTAGTCCATGCAACACTATCTCCCTGGCCCTTAGCCCAATGCCTGGCACACAGTTGGTGCCCCCCAGTGTTGCCAGTTGGCTCACGGACCGACTGCCCTTGGAGTCATGCTGCTAGGGATGCTGCCCGGCCTCAGGTCCGAGAGCATCAGAGTGTGAATGTGAGTATTGACAAGTGAAGCTGACTTGGCTTCTGGGTCCGGTCGGGACTTGGGGAACTTTTCCGTCTAGCTAAAGGATTATAAACGCACCAATCAGCACTCTGTAAAAATTGACCAATCAGCAGTCTGTAAAATGGACCAATCAGCAGGATGTGGGTGGGGTCAAATAAGGGACTAAAAGCTGGCCACCCCCAGCCAGCAGCAACAATCTGCTTGGGTCACCTTCTGTGATGTGGAAGCTTTGTTCTTTCGCTTTTTGCAATAAATTTTGCTGCTGTTCACTGGGTCTGTGTTACATTTAAGAGCTGTAACCCTCACTAGGAAGATGTGCAGCTTCACTCTTGAAGCCAGCGGGACCACAAACCCACTGGGAGGAAGGAACAACGCCAGAGGTGCTACCTGAGGCACAACCTTTAAGAGCTGTAGCGCTCACTGCAAAGGTCTGCGGTTTCACTCATGAAGTCAGCAAAACCTGGAACCCTCCAGAAGGAAGAAACTCTGGTCACATCTGAACATCTGGAGGAAAGAACTCCAGACAGGCCATCTCTAAGAGCTGTAATACTGACTTCGAGGGTCCACGACTTTATTCTTGAAGTCAGCAAGACCAAAAACCCACTGGGATTTCAATGCTGGACACAGTATGTGACTGTGAGCCTGAATGTGTTCCGGTGAGTGGGCCTGAGTGTGTATTAGTGTACGTGTGGGGGAGAGTTTGGGTGTGAGTGCGCACACTCCACTGCACTTTTAGCATGAGCGCAAGGCTTTCAAACCAGAAAGGGCAAAGGTTTTAATTCTGTTCAGATTCGTGGAGTTCACGTCATGTTGTTTTAAGATGCATCCCAGCCGTGTTGCTTGTGTTTTCCAAAATGTGTATTTATTCAAATCTAAAGAAAGATGTGCATTTGGTTTTTAAAACTGCAGAGCGCTGAAAATCTGGCCTCTGAAAATCTTTTATCTGCAACTGTACTGGTTGCGGCTCTCTGGGCTCTGGCAAATCTGCATTTCACGCCACGTATTCCCAAACATTGCATGTCCTTGTAAACCACCTGGGCAACTCACTGAATCTTTGGATTGGTTCTGTCTGATCAGTTCTTTCCTGATGATGAGAAGCCAGGGTTCTGGCTGGGCACGGTGGCTCATACCAGTAATCCTAGCACTTTGGGAGGCTGAGGAGGGCAGATGGCCTGAGCTCAGGAGTTTGAGACCAGTGTGGGCAACATGGTGAAAACCTGTCTCTACTAAAACACAAAAAATTAGCCAGGCATGGTGGCGGATGCCTGTAATCCTAGCTACTCGGGCTGAGGCAAGAAAATTGCTTGAAACCGGGAGGTGGAGGTTGCAGTGAGCCAAGATAGTGCCACTGTGCTCCAGCCTGGGTGACAGAGCCAGACTCTGTCTCCAACAACCACGAAGAAGCCAGTCTTCTGTTCTCCGTGATATGCGTTAGTTCAGTCCCAGGAGCGTGGAGTAACCCTGCCCTTCCCTGCATTTGGAGTACGTGGAGCACGAAGCACACAGGTTAGCAACCAGGCTCAAAGAGCAGATAGCCTAGTTCAATTGCAGAGACCCCAGAAACCACAAGCTGTTGAGCTGCACTGCTTGTTTTCCATTACACATTTAGAAGTTGCTGCTTTAGGTCACTGGAAGAGTGCAACAGTGACAACAAACGAATAGCTGCTGCTTTGGCAGGGGTAGGTGAGGGTGTGTGGAGACAAGGATCACCATCCTTTGAATGGCAGGATTTTTCTCTCCCACGTTCATTTCCCTAGGCAATACCAACTCCCTGGGGGGCTGCTTCGGCTCCGGCCCCTCCACCAATGATGGTGGAGTCCGCCTGTCCCTCCTGCAGCTGTCTGTGCGAATCTACTCCTTTCACCTCTAAAAGCAACTCACAGCAGGCACCCTATGTTCCATGTAACACCTTTCTCTCAAAGCTGTATCATTTGAATTTGTCCCCATCATAGGAAGTAGCAAACCTCAGGAATTTCTTGCCAGTTTGTGTGCTATCTTCCTTAGCTTCGTTTGATTGGAGTTGCTCTCCTCCCTTAGTCAGCATGTGTGACTGCAAGTAACTCTGTAGTGGGTAGGCTTTGGGCGTGTAGAAGCAGCCTATGCCTCCCACCTCCACCAGCGGGAAGCTGGCCGGTCAGCTCGGATGCCTGCACAGACACACGTGCAGAGGCAGAGACAGAATCCAGGCATCCCTGTCTTTGAACTTTTAAGTTCCACAGGGTTAGTCAGCCATGAGGCTTGGGGCTGAACATCTATCTTGAGCTACCTATGCCGAGGCGATGGCCAGATGAGAGCAGGTGCCCTGTTGAGGTGCGGTCCTTGAGCAAGGGCAGGAGGGCTGCATGTGTACCAGGAAGGAGCGCTGTAGCCCCTTTGTCAGAGAGCAAGACCCAGTAATAATGGCAGGTGTGGATAATACTGGAAGGGCAGCAGCAGCCCTCAGATGAACACGTGGGGCCTCCACAGGAGGTGACAGAGCGCCAGGCAGGAGAACGCAGACGGGGGCGACAGGAGCCCTTGGCAATGGGAGGAAGAGGAAGGTGGCCTGAGGAAACAGGGGCTCACTAGGCCTTTCTCAGCAACAGCAATTCTCAGAAGTTGGTTCATGGATGCTCTTGTTTTGATATGATTAATTTTTAAGTAGTTTTTGGGCTGAAAAGGAAAAAAAAAAAAAAAGGTTGGGCAGATGCATCTGTTACTCCTACGCAGCATATGGCAGTAAACTGGCATTAATTTTACTATGTTTATGTGTTTACTAATTTATTATATTTAGTATGTTTATTATGTTTGTATGTAGTTATACAGAAACAGGAAATAAAATACAAATAGGTGGGCTTCTTTTGGTAAAGAAATTAGTTATTTTTAGTTGTGAGGTAAATTTCAGTCAATTCGACTTTATACAACTCTTGCAATTGATATGTCTTTCCATGATCTCAATTTTTAAAAAATGCAAACCTTTATTCCAAGTGTAATTATCGAAGGACTTTTTAGACATAAAACAGAAAGTTCCAGCTAATTACAAATGTGACCGACTAAGAGCATTTAACAGGACAAACCTACAAACTCAGAGTTCCTAAGAATCATCTACCTGTCAAACACTTCCAGCCAATGATATCCCTCTCCATGTAGCCAAACATAGAGCAGGCCGCATAAGAGGTTATTTTAAAAATGATTAATACCCAGCGTTGTCTTTCTTATTTGCAAACGATGGTTATTACTGTCATGGACCATTATGAATGGGAAGACAGACAGTAGGAAATGCTGCATTACCTATTAAAATTTAATGTAGAACGTCATCCCTCAGTACCGAGGGAGGATTGGTTCCAGGACCCTAGCGCATACCGAAATCTGCAGATGCCCAAGCTCTTTATGTAAAATGATGTAGCATTTGTGCATAAACTACACACATGCTCTCATATACTTTATGTCATCTGTGGATAACTTACAATACCTAATACAATATAAATGCTATGCAAATATTTGTTATACTATATTTTTACTTTTATTATGTTTTATTGTCCTATTATTTTTTATTTTTATTTATGACTATTTTCAGCCTGCAATTGAATCGGTGGATGCAGAACCCACAGATATGGAGATCCAATTGTACTTTGAAATTTCATTCTCATAAGAAACTAAGGCTTGCTGACTGTTTTCCCAGCAGTCTTCCAAAATTTACATTGGTACAATAAGGCAATCTAGATACCATGGCAGATCGCCCAGCTGAAAACAAGTAAAACTGCCGAAAAAAAATGTGGGAGAGATATTTTTACAGGCAGCAATAATTTGGCAAGTGAAGCAGAAGATTCAGCGACCAAAACTCCAGTGAAAATTGGAACCTAGGAGATGAGCTGGTTTTGCCTTGAGGGCATCTGGCAAACCCAGGGATCTCCAGCCTTGGAATTCCAGGGCCAATGGTGCAGGGAAAAGTGCAGAGCCAGCCCACACTGGGACCTGGGACACAGCCTCTCCAACGCTGCGGGACAGGGAGGAGCTTTTCCTGGGGTGTCCCGGTGGACTGGAAATGTACCCACTGTCCGTAGGACTAGCCGCATCAATCCTGAGCACTGAATAGAACGGAAAAACATTCCTGCTGATAATTCATGATCACCAGCCAGCCCTCAGGAGAGTTTTCAGCTCGAATTTGAATTACCCAGGTGGTCAGAAAAACCTCAAGTTGAGGATTCAGCTTAATTTCATCTCTGGCTGATGACAGTGCCCTGGTGCTCGGCAGCAGAAGGACCCACAGAGGCAGGCATCAAATCATTCCTGTGGATAACAGAAAAGTTGGACATGCAAAAATTCATACATTGGGCAAATCAGACCTGGAATTAAAAATAGACCGGCTCGGCCAGGCACAGTGGCTCACGCCTGTAATCCCAGAACTTTGGGAGGACAAGGCGGGTGGATCACGAGGTTAGGAGTTCAAGACCAGCCTGGCCAATGTAGTGAAACCCTCTCTCTACTAAAAATGCAAAAATTAGCCGGGTGTGGTGGCGGGTGCCTGTAGTCCCAGCTACTTGGAGGCTGAGGCAGGAGAATCGCTTGAACCCGGGAAGCAGAGATTGCAGTGAGCTGAGATTACGCCATTGCACTCCAGCTTGGGCAATAGAGCAAGACTTCATATAAAAAAATAAATAAATAAATAGACCAGCTCATACACCTACTATGTACCCACAAAAATTTAAAATTAAAAAAAGACCAGCGTATTATGTTTAAAGAACTAAAAGAACTGAATATACAAATAAGGAGCAAGAGACTTTATTAAACAATCAGGTCTGAAAAAGAATCTAATCAAATTTGTAGAAATAAAAAATATATAAACTAAAAATAAAGTTTAACATTAGGCTAGAGAATTTGTGACCTGAGACTTGGATCTGAAGAAATTATTCAGAATGTATGACAAAAACATGAAGAAATAGGACATGTAAAAGACGAGTCAAGATATAGGTGGAAACCAGGAGAAGTATTAACATATCAGAGTTCAGGAAGGAAAGGAGAGAGAAAATGAGATCAAGGCAATATTTTAAAAGATAATTCTGAGAATTTTCCAGAATTGATTAAAGACCACAATCCACGGGATGAGGAAAACCAATGAATCCCACACAGAATAAATTAAAAGGAGCCTACTCCTAGACAGTAACATAATATCATCTATGTGCAGAGGGAATTTTATACACTGGAACAAATATCTCTCAAAACAAAGAAGAAATAAAGATATTTTCAAATCTACCACTGAGCAATTTTCTCACCTACAGACCGTAACTAAAGGAATTTCTAATACATGGTCAGAGATATATGAATTGAAGAACAAAAGAAATATTAAATATCATAAAATATAAATATTCATTTGTAAAACAACAACACTGTGAGATTTTAAAACTACAAGATCAAAGGTAAAATCAAAATAGGTGGCAAATTAATCACAGCACAAAAGTCAGAAAAACTGAGTTGTGTTTAGGATGAAAATAAAGATGTGAACTTTAGGTTTTAATAAGTTAGGCTAGAATTTCTAAGGTAATTGTGCTAGGCTTTGTTTTCCAAAGGTAGCTGCAACAATATTTCTCATCTGACGTGTCCTTCCAAAAGTGGAGTCTAATTCCCTTTGCCTTGAACCTGGGCTAGACTCTGATTTTCTTGTCGTCAAAGGATGTGGTGGAATGATGTTGTGAAGACTTCTGGGTTGAGAAAGCAATGCACTGCCCTCTTCTTCTAGGGTCACTGTCTCCTGGAACCCAGCTGCTGTGCTGTGAAAAGCCAAGCCCTATAGGAAGGTCCATGTAGGAGCTCTGGTGGCCAGCCCCAGCTGAGCCGAGCCTGTCAGTCAGTCCCGCCTGCAGGGCAGGTGTGAGTGAAGATGCCTCTTGATGATTCTGGCCCCAGCCTTTCAGGTATTCCCAGCTATGGCTCCAGACAACAGAGAAGAAAGACCAGTCATCCCCACTGGGCCCTGCCTGTCCAAATTCCTGACCTGCACCATCAGCGAGCCACTAATTCTTATTATTTTATGCCACTGACTAGGGGATGTTTGTTATGAAACAGCAGTAACTGGAGTAGTAGTCACTCAAGGAAAAAATAAAGATGTCTAACTTCCTAATTGTTATAGGGGAAATATATACAGAATAACAAACAAATAGTCCAAAAGAAAGAGAAGAAACCAAGAAAGCTTAAGGAAAATAGTAAAAATCAATCCAAATTTATTAATAATAATGATAAATGGGACTGGGCATGGTGGCTCATGCCTATAATCCCAGCACTTTGAGAGGCTATGGCAGGAAAATCACTTGAGGCCAGGGGTTTGAGATTAGCCTGACCAACATAGCAAAACCCCGTCTCTACTAAAAATGCAAAAAATTAGCCAGGCATGGTGGCACATGACTGTAATCTCAGCTACTCGGTGGAAGAATCCTCAGCTACTGAGGTGGAAGAATCACTTGAACCTGGGAGGTGAAGGTTGCGGTGAGCTGAGATCTTGCCATTGCACTACAGCCTGGGTGACAGAGCGAGACTCTCCCAACAACAGCAACAAAAGAAGATAAATGGAAATGGAATAAATGTGCCAAACTAATGATAAATTAAATGCTAAAGAATATCTGACTGGTTAAATAACAAAATCCAGCTATATGCAATTTAAGGAATATATCCAAAATACAACAACATATACTGACATATACATATTAGGAATAAACATGGGGAAAAGTAATAATAATTATAATAGATACTCACTATGGGCCAGGTATTATTCTAAACACTTTATGTATTAATATTAACTCAATTAATTCTAACAATAATCCATACTGAAACCTAAGTTCCACGAAGACAGAGATTTTTGTTTGCAACTGTTTCTCTCAAGCATGAAACAATTCCTGACATATAGTGGGTGCTTAATAAATATGCATTAAGTTGATGAAGAAATGAATGAATGAACAACCTTGTGAGGTCAGTCTTATTATTCTACCCATTTTGGAGATAGATAGGGAAATTGGAGCACAAAGTGACAGGGCCATCTATATTAGCTGAAATAGCTGTATTAATATCAGAACCATGGTGGCTTATGCCTGTAATCCCAGCACTTTGGGAGGCTGAAGCGGTTGGATAACTTGAGGTCAGGAGTTCGAGACCAGCCTGGCCAACATGGTGAAACGCCACCTCTGCTAAAAATACAAAAATTAGCCAGGCATGGTGGTGCATGCCTGTAGTCCCAGCTACTTGGGAGGCTGAGGCACGACAGTCGCTTGAACCTGGAAGGCAGAGGTTGCAGTGAATTGCACTCCAGCCTGGGCAACAGAGTGAGACTCCATCTCAATAAAACAAACGAACAAAAAATCAGAACAAATATATTTTGAAAACAAAAAGCATCACAAAAGAGAAAGAGGATCATTAAATAATGCAAAGATATCCAAATAAACCAAAAAGGTATAATAACTGTAAACTTATATGTAATTAATAACATAGCCTCAAAATATATTAAGCCAAGTTAGCCTCATTACAGGGAGAAATGGATAAATCGACCGTAGTAATAGGTGTTAACATACCTTTTTCAGTGATGATAGATCAAAGAGATAAAAACAAATAACCAGGCAATAGAGCATTTGAATAAAAATATGTAAAAGCTTGACTTGAAGGACATGTATAAAATACCTAACTACTATAAAGTACTTATTCTTTTCAAGCACAAAAATACATTTATTGACCAAATAGTGGGCAATAAGCTAGTCTCAACAAATTTCAAAAGGTTGGTATCATACAAATCACATTGGCCACCACAAAATGCCATTGTTACAAAAAGATAGATAGACAAACCACATATATTTGGAAAGTATAAAATACTCTTCTAAATAACATAAAATAATAAATCAATGAAAATTAGAAAATATTTAGAACTAAATTATAATAAAAATCACATATCAAACTTGTCAGATGTAGCTAAATCAATTCTTAGAGTAACATTTACAGTGTTACATGGTTATATTAGAAAAGAAGATTAAATATTAATGAGCTGCAGAATTAAATCAAGAAAGCAGAAAACTAACAGCAGAATCAAACTGACAAAAATAGAAAAAAATGAAGTAGAAAAGAGTGGAAATCCATGAAATAGAATATAATAACACAATAGGCCAGGCACAGTGGCTCACACCTGTAATCCCAGCACTTTGGGAGGCTGAAGCAAGTGGATCACTTGAGGCCAGGAGTTTGAGACCAGCCTGACTAACATAGCAAAACCCCATCTCTACTAAAAATACAAAAATTAGCTGGGTGTGGTGGTGTGTGCCAGTAATTATGGATACTTGGGAGGCTGAGGCACAAGAATCACTTGAGCCCAGTAGGTGGAGCTTGCAGTGAGCCAAGATCATGCCACTGCATTCCAGTCTGGACACCAGAGCCAGATTCTATGAAAACAACAACAACAAAAAAAAAAAAAAAAAAGAAGAATATAAAAAAAATATAATCACACAATATAATCACACAATAAACAACATCGTAAGGCAAGACTCGATGCAGTGGCTCTTGCCAGTAATCCCAGTACTGAGAGAGGCCAAAGCAGGAGGCTTGCTTGAGTCCAGGAGTTCCAAGACCAGCCCGGGCAACATAGCAAAAGCCCATCTATACCCACCCACCCACACACACACAAAATTAGCCAGGCATAATGGTGCACTTGTATTTCCAGCTTCTCGGTGGGAGGTGGCTGAGGTGGGAGGGTCACTAGAGCCTGAAAGGTCAAGGTTGCAGTGAGCTGTGATGGCGCCATTGCACTCCAGCCAGGCAACAGGGCAAAATTCTATCTCAAAAAACAAAGCAAAACAAAAGGCAAAAGTTAGTTCTTTTGAAAGACTAATGAAAAAGAAAATCTGTCTATATTGAATAAGGAAAAATGAAAGAAGACACAGAGAAACATGAGAAATGGAAAAGGTGCCCCTGACCTGGGAAGAGAGGGGCCTGGCTGGTGGTATCCATCTCATACCAGCTAGGGATGAAGAAACCGCTTGCTCATCCCAGCCTGGCTCCTGGTCTATGCCCATGCCTGGTTCGTGCCTTGGACATATCAATTGCTGGAATAAATTTTTTTTTAAAAATAGAAAAGATGATATAACTCTTGTCCTACAGGGATTTAAAAAGTTAAAAGATATTGGCAACAGCTTTAGATAAATAAACTTGAAAAGTAAAAGGAAATACACATTTATAGAAAAATAGAGGTTGCCAGTTAATAAAAAGGACATAGAAAGTATGAATAGTTATATGATTTCTCAAGTAACTGGATCAGTAGTTAAAAGTTTTCCATCAAAGACCAGTGGAGCACGGTGGCTCATGTCTGTAATCCCAGCACTTTGGGAGGCCTCGGTGGGTGGATCACCTGAGGTCAGGAGTTCGAGACCAGCCTGGCCAACACGGCGAAACCCCATCTCTACTAAAAATACAGGTGTGGTGGCAGGCACCTGTAATCCCAGCTACTTGGGAGGCTGAGGCAGGAGAATTACTTGAACCTGGGAGGCAGAGGTTGCAGTGAGCCAAGATCGTGCCATTACACTCCAGTCTGGGTGACAGAGTAAGACTCTGTCTCAAAAAAAAAAAAAAAAAAAAAAAGTGTTGCATCAAAGAGAAAACACGATTTGAGCTCTTCTGAATATTTACCAAACTCAGACTCTGGGATTTCCAAATTCTAGAGAAAGAGAGGGCTTCCAATTTGTTTTATAATGTTACCATAACCTTAAGAAGCCAAAATCAGACAGAAACAGCATAAGAAAGGGAAATTAGAGTCAAATCCCAGGCATCAATAAAAGATAATGCATCCTGATCAATTTGAGTTCATTCTAGGAAGGCAAGATTGAATAAAATCATAAAATCAATTAATGTATTAAAACAACAAACCAGAAAAATAAACTTCTATAATGTTTAGAAAAAGTGAATTTATCAAAACCCCACAGAGAATATTTTACATAATATAAAATGCTGAACACTTTTTTTTAAAGGTGAATAACAAGAGCAGAATACCCATTACTACTATTACTATTTAAAATTGTGCTGGAGGACTCAGGCAACAAAAGAGGGAGAAAATATTTGAGGAATGAAAAGGAACAAGCAAAACTGACATTATTCAAGAGCATTTAGCAAGGCTCCTGGAATGAAAAGCAAGATACAAAAATTGATTCGGTTTCTATACACCAGTGACAAAGAGAACATGCTTTTTATGAAGATATAATAGACTCAAAAATAAGAAATACTCGGGAATAATTTTAACAAAGGATGTCTGAGATCTTTATGAAAAATGTTAGAACACTTTTTTGAAAGATGTTTTTTAAAACCCCAATAAATAGATGTTTGTAAATTTGAGTTCTCAATATCATAAACATGTCCATTTTTCCCAAATTGATCTACACATATAATGCAATGCCTATCAAAATTCCAGCAATTTTCTCTTTTTAATGGAGATTTTGAGAAGCTGGGTTTGTTGTTGTTGTTTTGAAACAGGGTCTTGCTCTGTAGTTCAGGCTGGAGTGTAGTGGCATGACCATGGCTCACTGCAGCCTAGACCTCCTAGGCTCAAGTGATCCTCCCTCCTCACTCTCCGGAGTAACTGGGAACACGAGCGTCGGCCATCATGCCTGGCTACATTTTTTAATTTTGGTAGAGACAAGATCTTGCTATGCTACCAGGCTTGTCTTGAACTCCTAGCCTCAAGCAATCTTCCCACTTCGGTCTCCCAAAGCACTGGGATTACAGATATGAGCCACATGCCTGATCTTGACAAGCTGATTCTAAAATTACAGAAAACAGCAACGGCCAAGGATGTCTTTGACATTCCCAAAGTAGGAGAGCCAGGCAGGGAGACTGATGAGGGACTTACAACTTGACAAGTGGAATAGAGTGCACAGCCTAGAATCAGACTCATCCATACCCAGAACCCCGACTTACCACAGTCATTGCTGCAGACCACTGGGAAATAAATGCTGCATTTGATAAAAAAAATTAACTGAATCTCTACTTCTCACCACACACACACACATTAAAAGTGAGGGGTAGGTACATTAAAGGTAATTAAATGTGAAGAGCAAAATGTAAGTCTTTTAAAAGACCATGTATGAGAACAAATTTATGACAGAAGACAAGTTGACAAAACATGCACACACACACACGACACACACACACACACACACACACGCTACAGACTCTACCTGAAGAGACACATACATTGCAATTGAGAACTTCTGATTGTTAAAAGACATCAAACAGAGAATGAATGTATACATCACATGACAGGTTATGTATCTACAAAGGGGCATGAAGACATACACATACCACAAAATGGGGCCGATATATCTCACCATCTTATATATTCTGGATATAGCACCCGGAATACAAAAGAACTCCTTACAAGTCAGGCATTTCCTGGAAAACAAAGCACATGAGGGCCAGGCGCAGTGGCTCACATCTGTAATCCCAGCACTTTGGGAAGCCAAGGTGGCCGGATCACCAGAGGTCAGGAGTTTGAGACTAGCCTGGCCAACACGGTGAAACCCCGTCTCTACTAAAAATACAAAAATTAGCCGGGTATGGTGGTGGGTGCCTGTAATCCCAGCTACTTGGGAGGCGGAGGCAGGGGAACTGCTTGAACCTGGGAGGTGGAGGTTGCAATGAGTGGAGATTGTGCCACTGCACTCCAGCCAGGGTGACAGAGTGAGACTCTGTCTCAAAAAAAAAAAAAAAAAAAAAGGAAGAAAGAAAGCACACGAGGTCAATAAACAAATAAACACATGAAAAGATGTTCAGCCTCACAGGTACCTGGGGAAACACAAGCTGAAACCACGGGTGCTATCGCTTCACACGTCCCAGACTAGCTATGACAATGTCAAGCATGAACAAGAACACGAGCAGCCAGTGCCCTGGGTACAGCTTGCGCAAGTGTAATTGTTATAACGGTCAGCAATTTGGTAATGTGCATAACCTATGGGCAAGCGAATCCATAGCTAGATGTATGAACTAGAAACATTTTGCAATTTATATGTCAGGAGTCACATATAAGAGTGTTCATAGCCCCACTTTATGTGAAGGCAAAAAACACTGAAGACAGTCCAAATAGCCATCAAAAGTTGAATGAGTGGGTGTATTACAATGTATTAATTTAAGGACTACTATTTAAGAAAAAAAAATGAGTTAATTACTCCAACCCACAACACCTCAGTGAATCTCAGGAATTAGCTGAGGAAAGAAATGAAATTACAAACAATATAAGTAGTGTGCTTGAATTTATATTGGTTAAAAACATGCAAAGCTAAGCAATGCACTATTTGTGGATACAAATAAAATTAAGAGCATGATAATCACACAATTCTGCACAGGAATTTCCTCTGACTCTGGGGGCTGGGAAGGGGAATGAGGTGAGAGCAGGAAGAGCCTCTTAGAAGACTTTTCAGGTATGGTTCACCTTCTTCTTTCTTTGATTTTTTTGTTTGTTGGTTTGTTTTGTTGTTGGTTTTTGTTTGTTTGTTTTTGAAGACTGAGTTTTGCTCTTGTTGCCCAGGCTGGAGTGCAATGGCGTGATCTCAGCTCACAGCAACCTCCACCTCCTGGGTTCAAGCAATTCTCCTGCCCTCAGCCTCCAAAGTAGCTGGGATTACAGGCAGGTGCCACCAGGCCCAGCCAATTTTTTGTATTTTTAGTAGAGACAGAGTTTCACCATGTTGGCCAGGCTGGTCTCAAACTCCTGACCTCAGGTGATCAGCCCGCCGCAGCCTCCCAAAGTGCTGGGATTAGAGGCGTGAGCTACCGCGCCGGCCTCACATTCTTCTTTCTTAAACCAAGTTGTCTGTACATATTTTTTTGTTGGTGGTATTATTTATTTCTTAGAGACAGGGTCTCACTCTGTCACTCAAGCTTGAGTGCAGTGGTTCCATCCATGGCTCGCTGCAGCCTCAAACTCCTGGGCTCGAGTGATCCTCCCACCTCAGCCTCCTGAGTGGCTGGGGCTACAGGCATCCACCACCATGTCCAGGTAGTTGGTTTTATTTTTCTAGAGATGGGGTCTTGCTATTTTTCTCAGGCTGGTCTCAAACTCCTGGCTTCAAGTGATCGTCCCATCTCAGCCTCCCAAAGTGCTGGAATTACAGATGCAAGCCACTGCACCCAAACATAAATTTTTATTATGTATAATTTTTGTACCCCACATAGATTTGATAATACTGTTTTTAAAATCTATTTTATCTTCAATTTAAGGACAATTAAAAACTTTTTATAGAGTAGCCAGGTTTTGCCCAGAAATACCATATGATCTTTAATTCTCAATAACTGGGTGAGAAATATCTCCTGATTAAACCAAATGGGAAGGAATAAAATGAATCAAGGGATGTTGGCTTTAAATTTTTAGTCTTTTGATGGAAAACAGCAAGGAAGCAACTTCCTACTGATCATCTAGATTGAGTAATGTCCAATTAAATAGAATGTAGCTAAAAATAAAACTTCACCTATGATTATATAATGGTAGATTGGTACAAAGGCAAAACTGCCCTGCACGGGGAACTTCAACCCTACCATAAAGTTGCAAATCTCTTCTAAATTAACCTCTGAAGGAACTCCTGAGAACTCGTTTGTAAAGTGAGGTTAAAAAAAAAAGTTTGTAAAAATTGTGTGTTGTTAGGCAATTCTATCATTTTCCTGGTCCGTGAAGTGACCTGACAATTACGTGTTTTGACAGAGGGTTATGGAGCTGGCTTGGTTAAGCATATAGTAGTTTCCTGCCAGGTGGCAAGCGCCCCCTTCTAGGCAATCACTGCCAGGTTCACCATCACAACAGACACGACCTGGGGTGACATCAAGAATCCGCAAGTCAGCAGGCATCCTCAAAGC